>NC_000002.12:157186587-157489618 GCF_000001405.40 Homo sapiens
GAAGAGGGAGAGGGCCTCATAAATATCAGAGAAAAAGAGGAGTACAGAGAAAAGCACAAGCACAAAGGCCTTGGGCAGGAAAGGATTTGAAAGCATTCAATGTCTACATATAGTTCCCAGAATGTGGCAGAATAATGTACAATGAATTGATCTAGGAGACTCAATAAAATAAGTAAAGCATTAAAGTAATTTACAAAAGAGACTCAAGGAATTTAGACATTGACTCTAAGTATTTAAGATAATGTAATTCCAAAGCATTCTCTATCAACTCAGTAAAATTCAAATTCAATATTGCCCTGTAAAGTCTACAATTTCTGTCAGGGCTGATATTTTTAAGTGGGGAAAATTCCTTTAGGCTCAGTCAGACCAAGGAAGAAAGTCTTAGTTTTTCTTCTCAAACTGACCTACCCTTAGATCAATCTTTCACATGGTTTGGTAAATAAGTCTCTTTATAGTTCATGGGCTAACAATTCCTGATTCATAAAGAATTTTCCTTCTTCTCTCTCAATGGTGCTAACTCTTTGACCTCCATTCTCACACGCTTTGTTTCTGATCCCCAGCTCCCAAACTTCGTGGACCATCTATTTCTTTACCACCATGGCAAATACTCTTGACAGAGCACCAGAGATGCCTGAGCCTTAGAGTCCAGACTTTATCCACCTGATTCTGAAGTCAACCCCATGGTTTTGGAAATTCTCTTGCCACTCTCACTGACCCAACCATCCGCAAAGGTTGAAATAGTCAGTCGGGCACGGTGACTCACGCCTGTAATCCCAGCACTTTGGGAGGCCGAGGCAGGTGGATCACCTGAGGTCAGGAGTTCAAGACCAGCCTGGTCAACATGGTGAAACCCCGTCTCTACTGAAACAAATATAAAAATTAGCTGGGTGTGGTGACGGGCGCCTGTAATCCCAGCTACTTGGGAGGCTGAGGCAGGAGAATTGCTTGAACCTGGGAAGCAGAGGTTGCAGGGAGCCGAGATTGCGCCACTACACTCCAGCCTGGGTGACAATAGTGAGACTCCATCTCAAAAAAAAAAAAAATAGTCAGTCATGATAGGGAAAGGCTGCCCCTTATTTAACTCCCCTCCTCACTGTTTCCTTATTTTGCTGTTTTAAACTGTTATCTCTGCAGCACATCTACAATTCTGCATATAAAGTTTACAGCAAAATAATAAGTTTTATTTTATAAAAAAACTTTATTAAAAATAATTTTCCTATGAACTGAGGGGTGTGAAAGTTGTTTAATACTATAATCATACTAGAATAAAGGCCTTAACCTAGTGTCATTTTGTAAATATGTGCATTTTCACAGGGAGAAAGTCCATAGTTTTCAACAAATTCTCAAGAGAATCAACTATATTTGTAAAATAAGATAGTAAAAACCAAAGAACTGTTTTTTAGGAACATGAATTAACAAGATAAAGAGCCTTCTGCAATGATATTTAGAAGGCAATGTATACCTGCTCAAGATATAGGCAATATTAAAAAAGAGACTATCAGTCAACATTAACTTACCAGACTGATTAAAATTCTGTGCCAATTAAGAAATCTGAAAACTCCAACTAAAAAACAAATATGTATTCTCATTATTAACTATCTATTTTTTAATGAAAGATTATCCAAAAGAGAACAGTTAAGGGCATATGAGAGTTATATAGAAGGCTACAACTAGTGACTTTACCAGTGACCTTACCATACTATTAAAAAATCACTATATACATGCACAAGAATGAAAGTGTATTCTTTCATTGTAGAAATTACAAATACTACTGTATCAAGGTACCACCAAGGTGACTGTTTCAGAACACAGGCCGGGGGACCTATTTTCTGTTCCTGCTTTGGTCTTTGTCTCTCTCCATGCACCTTGAAAAGATGTGTTAGTCTTTATATCTCCTTTTTTTCCCCATAAAGTCACAGAACCACTTGTTTATTATTTACTTTTTAGTGTATTCAGAGAAAATTTTAAATATCAGGCCAGTTTTTCATAACTACTCAAGATATTCTGTTCACTACCATGCAAATACCCCTTCAGGAGATGCAAATTACTTTTATTATTATATTAAGAACTGCAAAGTGAAGCCAAAGAATAATTCAGTGAGTTACATAATATGTGTTCTAAAGATGGATATAAAATAATTTTAAATTATATTTTTGTTGTAATAACAATTCCGTTCATGTTCTCTGCTAGAATATGACAGCATTTGGCAAAGGTGATGCACGAACCCCAGGGTGTTGTACAAGACAGTCAATTAGGTTTGGAAGGAAAATAATTAGCCTTGTACTTATATTTACATTGGCTTTATGATATCATACTCCTTGTTTCCCATCCTTTGTGTATGTGATGCAAAGTAAATAAATTATAGTATTTTATAATATATTGGATACTAGTTTGCTGTAGTCTACATAAGCATACTAGTTTTGATACACTTTATTGTTACTACTACTACTGTCTTATTACTAAATTGTTAATATACTATATAATTATAAAAGAAATATGTAGTGTAGTCCTGTATGCATATAATCTAGTAAACAAATATTCACAGTTTGTAGGGCAAACGCATGCCAAAAAGATTTACTGGCTATGGAGTTTATTATTAAAATCAGTTTGGAGACCACTGGTGCTGTAGTGTGACGCTTAAGGATTCAATCAACAACACACAAGTAAAAATATAAATGTAGAAAAGCACATTGAGTAAGGATAACGGTGTTGCCTTCACTATTGACACCTATGAAATGGAATTTTAATAGGGCATGTTGGAGGGTGGTCAACAGAGACAATTTTGCTAATTAATATGGATGGAGGATGTTACTTTAAGAAGGGTATGGAACACCTGAAAGTGTCTAGTTGAGAAAGAAGAAATAGCAATCGTGTGTGCATGCCTCCCAAGCGCCTTGTTGGCCTGTCTCTCTCAAGAAGTGTATGATTAAGACATACAAGTTTCCAGTCATCAGTGTAAACAGGATTTTGATTTGGTTTGGGAAAGCAAGCATAAAGAAATTATACGTATCAAAAAGAGTAGATAGGTCACAGTGTCTGTAGTTCTTATGGAAGAGGGAAGCACAAAAAGCCCACATTAGCACATCAGTGAGAACTCCATTTGCCATACACCTACTATGAAAACCGAGAACTGAAAGGCCTTGTACCTTGCCTCCTTTTCAGGTCTGTTCAGAAAATAAACCAGAACCATACTTAAAAAAAAAAAATGATGAAACTACAAATAACATATTAAATTATTCTTGAGTTGAAATAGAATGAAAGTTTCAGCTTCTGCCTTAGTGGATGGGAAATGAGGTTAGTTCAGACAAATCATAGTTGCAGAAAGTAATCTTCTTGTAGGCATCTAAGATAATTAGGAAACAACCCAACAACTGTTTTTAGAGTCTTCCTAGTCTTGGGAGAGCATAGCAGAGGAAGAAAGCATCTGCAAAAGGCTTGGCGTTCCCTGGAAGACAGGCACTGCTTGAGTCCTAGTACTACATGACCATATTTGTTTTAACTTAGTAATGTTCAAAAATTACGATATTCCAAAGATGGGAGGATAATAATGCCCATGAACTATCTGGAATAAAACTATAGATCAATTTTCAGAAAATATCCAATGTGGGATTTAAGGGTTCTTTCACTTTCTTCAAATTCCTGGGATTTTTAAAACTATATTGTTGCTAAGTGAGTCAGTTCACACACTCCTCATGACCTCCCCACCCCTACATTCCCGCGGATGCTTTGTGGAACTGCTGATGCACACTGATGCCCCAGTAGAGGTTTCCTGCTAGCCTTCGTGTTTTTCCTCTCTCCTTCAGCTGTCATTCCTTCTCAGTTTATCATCATCGATAAAGCCTAGAGGTAGCTTGTCTGCCATAAATACTTATCTGATACAGAAGGGAAAAAGCCTTTTGGAACATGACTAGGTGGCCTGTCTTGTCCTATATTTGCCTGGGGAAATGTGAGAATTTGTAATCCCTATTGCTAGGGATTTCTGGTCATTTTGAAGTACCATTAAAATGATTATCAAAGATTTAAATTCAGCAATGAAACACATGATTCTCTTAATGACAAGGTCAACTTAATTGGGTGTCTGTCCTAAGTGAAATATTGCTCATAACTGGCATCCCCCGATGTAGTTTAACATAAAATTATAAGTTGGAATTATTTTTTTAAAAAAAGCAGTGTATAGAAACTGAATAGTATAATTTCAGATCTGAGATTTCTAGCAGAGATTACAAGAAAACATAACTAATCAACAATCTTTATCAATTAAACATATTTTAATTAGTCCTGTGCTAGTAGGCAAGTCTAATCTGTCTCAGTCCCATCTTTTAAGAAAGACTTGTCTAAAATGTTAACCTGATTTCTCATTTATTTTCATTATTAGTCAGGTGTTATGACCTTCCACTTCATTTGCTTGATCCCTATGTCCTTGCCTCGGAAGAATCACAGATAAATTGTCTTGTGATTATATTTACTGATTAAAAATATTAATATGTTACCAATTTCTCAGTCTAATGTACTTAACACTAATTTTCAGATTTGTAATACATTTCCACCTAGTCCTAATTATGTTTTCAATATTCACTGAGATAGGAATATTTAAAACTGTCTAATGTAGACATTTTCACCTACTCTTTTTCCAAAAATTGTAAATACATGGCACAGCAGAAGTCCTCCCTCCTTGACCTCAGGGAAACTGAATTAAACAACACTTGGCACCAGGCTTTCAACCTGTATAATCATTATGGTAGGCCCTGTGCCAATCCTGTTTATGCACAACCCTCAGCATGCAGTATTAAGGAACAACAAGGATGGCAAGCATCCCATTGAAGAATTAATTAGCAGACCGCCTGGACTCATCAGAATGGTAAATAATTATCCTCTGACAAACTTAGTCAGATGTTAGAAGAAATTGCCATTGGAATTGATGTCAATGGCCACAATTCATTATTTAAAAGCTACCAGTGGCTACATTTTGCATAGAACTTGAAAGACGCCCCAGTCAGGTGATGAGCCATCAGTATCGCATTTTCCTGCCTGTGGGAATATCCAGCTGTCCTCCCCGCATCCCACACTCAGACCCAGTCTTCCAGGTCAGCTTTTTCTTTCCTTCACACTGAATCCTCATACCATACTCAGATGTGCCCAAGTAATGGATTGATTAAACATATTACCCTGCCTTGTTCAGCATGATTTTAATCCTGTCTGTGGCATCAAAACACAAGGACAGCTTCTTATCATTTATCCCAATTCTTGGCAAGAGGAGAGATTTCTTAGGTGTTTGTTGTCCTCTTCCTTTGACACTATTACCTTTGGTCAGGTTAAAAATACTTGTGAACTAAATGACTGATAATTGGTTAATCTACCTAAGTTAGCAATGGGTAAGAAGCATTACCTGGAAATGCATTCTCCTCCACGTTTTAAAATGGACAAGGAAGGTAATTCAATACCTTCCTACATAGTACGCATCCTTCAGTTATGCCAACTACGAAATGGGTCACTTTAAGTAATTTGAGGAAGAAAGAACACAGTTAAGTAGAATCATGATGCAGACTTTCATTTTACGAAAAGCATTAAAAA
Organism: Homo sapiens; assembly: GCF_000001405.40. Lineage (NCBI taxonomy): Eukaryota > Metazoa > Chordata > Mammalia > Primates > Hominidae > Homo > Homo sapiens. Next base: position 157,192,159 of record NC_000002.12, read on the forward strand.
TTCAACTAGGTCAGATGCTTTCTAGCTCAGAGTCCCACTGGAGTCTCATAAAGCTTAAATATGTAGGTTTAGGTGGTACAGTCCTCAGAATCACTCTCTCACCCTCATAGCAAAATGCCTCTTACGATTATGAGGAGGAGTGCAGTACACTTTCCCATAAAAATATATCATGATATCCATCAAACGTATTGTACAGCATGATAGATATTCCCTTCTAAATTTTGACAGGACAATGAGCATGGCAGACTTGGCAAAGTCGCATGAATTGTTTTTACCTCAGAAATGTGTGCCAAGTAGTCCCGAGCAAGTAGGCATGAAGGCATCCCTCTCATTGCCATGTAGCCCTAAGGAGTTTATGCACTGCAGGCATTGCTAACCAAGATAGATGCAGATCACATCAAAGTTTCCTTTCGTAACTCCACTGTAAATCACCCCATTGTCATAAATGCTTCAGTCCTAGTCCCAGATTACGTAGGAGGGCTGTAACTGTTAAATTCTTATCTTTGAGAGTAATGACACTCAAGATGGCGGCAATCATACCAAGGTAACTTAATCCTTAGGTCAGGCATTATGGCTGTGTGTTCTCCTCTTCCATTTTTAGATTATCAAGGATTCCATGGTACTACACAGAAACCACATGAGTAGATACAATTTTAATATACAGTGTAGTAAAACCTGACTCAACTTTCCACCCTTGGGAACAGAATAATCAGTTCCTTAGTAGAGGCGGTCTTTAACAAAAGGTCAAATAAAATTGTTCTGGAGACCTTGGGAAGCTTTAAGTAGTTGCTTTCGACAGGGAGCTACTTATAGAAGGTGAGTCCGTTGTGAAGGTGTCACCTTGCCTCCATGGAAATCAGATAACCCCATATCCACCCCCTCTGCCTTCTGCTTCACTTCCCTCCAACCCACATCCCCATTCATACACAAAGGCAAAAAGTTATAAATGTTGTGAAAACTTTAGTTTCAGAATATACAATAATGATTCTACTTGAATGAAAAAAAAGACTATGCTTCATATAGACAGCATTCATTCTTATGCACTGTCACTGAGAGACTCAGCAAAAGGCTGGTCAGTTGCAACAAGAAACTTCTATGTGGTCTGAGGTTGAAATTTCAAGTTAGATGAAAGCACAGATGTTATTTGTGGGTAAAAACTCTGAATTGTTTCATAACGGTAGCTAGTTTCCTGAAAGCTTTTTGAAAAATGTTGGGATACAGTATCTCCAAAAACCCTACAAGGCAGGTAAATAATGATTTTTTTTCAAATATAATTTGCTCCTAGCTTACATTTTGAAAGGCAAGATATAGTGAAACTGTAAGATTTTTGATCCTCAGGAAATGCTTTTAAGTCAATACAGTCTGAAAACAAGTTAGGGAATTAAAAAAATAAATAAATAAGCTCTCCACTAGTTTTAATGACAGAGGCTTTGGCAAAAAGAAAGAAAAAAAAAAGCCAGCACAGAAAGGCCCCTATTGATGGAACAACAGTTGGATGATCAAGAGATGGTATACAAAGAATGCCTTCTTTGGCTAAGAGGTTGAATGAAAGATACATACAGACTCTTCAACTCCCAAAACTTAAGATTCCATGAAATCTCAATATGGCACAAGCCAAGCAGTCTTTTTAGAATAAAGAGCAAAAGAATAAAACAATGGCATACATGCAAAAGGAAATAAGTAATCTTAGAAATGAAGCACAGCTTTTCTATTTTTAGAGGACTCTTTACCTTCTCCTCACATTTGGACCCAACTGCCTTAAGAGAATTTGCTGTGACTAGCATTTCACAAGCTCCAGTTTTGGTGCCATAATAAATATGATAATATGTCAGAGACTATACAGTGATATACAGATGTTTGTTACTTGGAGGAATTTTCCTCAGTTATGGATAGAAATAACACTGACAGCCACAACCCAGCCTAAAAACATATCAAATTGTCTCTTAGATTAAAAAATTTCTCTTCATTGTCACCTTCATATTAACATTTCTACTCAAGAGTGTAGTGGGAGTGTTTTTTGGAAATGGTAAGCTCTTTGAACTCTAATGATTCTTCTAAAATTAAAGTCTTTTGTCAACCATTTTAGACATTACTTTCTCAATGGATATACAGAGTGCAAAAGCACCATCTTGTGGCATAAACGAGAAAGTACTTTGGCGCAAGCCCTTCTGAGGCACATTTTTTCACACATACTTTTTATGAAATGTTTGTCAAGATTAATTCTAAGCACTTGGTATATTTCTCTAAAACAGATGGCCAAATGACTTAAGACAATTTAGCATTGAATATATTTTTAATACATTTGTATACAGATCTGATTCCAAACAAAAATCCCAGTACATAATAACTATATGAGATTCCTTAATCAAATTTGAAATAAAAATAGAATTTAGTTTTAATAAATGGAAAATTTAGTCTTTGTGTTTTATTAGTGAAACATTGCCTGTTGATCATTTTAAATTGAAATGTCAGTTATTTGCCCAGTAAGAAGTAGCAATTTTTCTCACAGAATTAATACAGATAAAGTTTTTAAGAAATTACTATTTGTATATGAGGTAAGAATTATTTAAGTATCAACAGATAGGCTTACAGAATTTTTAAAAAAAGAAATATGTTATATATAACCATAGGATTTTTTTCTCTGTTTGACAGTACTGAATATCATCTGTCTTCTTAAATATCACAATTTCATTACTATCTTATTATTGCTCCCACTTTAGCGATGGGATAACTAAAGTACAAAAAGGCCAAGTAACTTGCCCAAGTTCACCGAGCTAGGAAAAAGAAGAGCAGAATTTGAAGAAAAACTCCAGGTCCTCCTCTATTTTTCTAGTGGTTTCCAAACCCCAGTCCACAGGCATAGCTGGACTGACTGCACTGGGATTGCAAGGAATGCATTTCAAATGCCAGGGGATTCTGATTTAGTAGATAGGTTATGACATCCAATAATCGGTATTTTTTAAAAAACTTCCTGTGATTCTAGTAAAGAAAACTAGCCTATGTAAGCTAAAGAAAATGGGCACGATAATTACAGACATATAAAACTGAACATCAGTAAATTATCTTCATTTTACCTTTCAGCCTTAGATTATCTCAATTTACAACCTCACTTCAAAATCTACTACAAAACACACCTACTCTGAAAACTTTTCCTTATAAATCAAACTCTACTCTTTAATTATTTCTTCACTACACACACACATACTTAAAAGTCACATTAACAATAACCATTCATGTAGCAGAAATTGTGTTGGATGCCCTAGGTGTTTTATCATGTTGAAACAGTAACAAATACACAGTACCCTTTATATAGCCAACTGAGTTCACAGAATGCTTTCATTGAATTTCGTCCATGACTTGTATCTATAGCCAACCCATAGTCACAACTGAGAAGCAAGTATAATTTTAACACAAATGGAAGTTGATGTTTTATTAAGGTTAATGAGTAAAATGAAAGTGAAAAAAAGAAGACACATGGTGGGCTTCATTCATTAATCAATGAATGAGTGATTATTTTGCTGAATCACATCATTATTTTCAAATAGTAGAAAAATATTTTCTCAATTTTTGTATTATTTCACAGTGTAAATTACGAACACAATACACCTTTAGATTTCATCTGCAATATTAATGTTTATCATCACATTCTTATATATAAAAATCAACAACAGTATAAATTAAGCCCAATTTATACTGTTTGCCAATTGGTATGCAGTGTATTATTATTATTTTCAACCTTTAGATATCATTGATGTAAATAATCTCAAAAGCATAGGTTGTAGTAGAATCTAGCAAAACACTTAGAAAATGAGTTTTGAGCATATGTTTCCTTTGGTTTTAACATAATTTACTTACTCAAAAGTTTATACAATTTAATTTTTAGTAATGATAATTTTTAATAATTGGATTCCCAAATTCCTTAAAATTTAAAAATTTGCTGTTGTGGCCGGGCGCGGTGACTCACGCCTGTAATCCCAGCACTTTGTGAGGCCAAGGCGGGCGGATCACGAGGTCAGGAGATCGAGACCATTCTGGCTAACACGGTGAAACCCCCTCTCTACTAAAAAAAAAAATACAAAAAATTAGCCGGGCGCGGTGGCGGGCGCCTGTAGTCCCAGCTACTCGGGAGGCTGAGGCAGGAGAATGGTGTGAACCCGGGAGGCGGAGCTTGCAGTGAGCCAAGATAGCGCCACTGCAGTCCGGCCTGGGCAAAAGAGCGAGACTCCGTCTCAAAAAACAAACAAACAAACAAACAAATTTGCTATTGTAAGCCAGTGGGAGTAGGCTCCAACATACCTCTGATCATTCATATGTTACAGGTAAGGAAACTGAATAATCCAAGTAGTTGATTTTCCTTAAGTCTTATAGAAAATAAAAAGCAGATCATGATTCAAATCCAGTTCTCTTCAATTCCAGTTGATACTCGTGCCCAGTTGCTATACTACCTGCCTCCCCAGTTCGCTTCTGCTATATTAATGTGTTCTTACTTACATCTTGAGTTAAAATATTTGTGAACATATTTATGTGTGAAGTTTCATTCTTCTTGGTAACCTGAATTTTGGGTCCTGTTTCCTCTAAAATCCCTCATAATATCTGACTTATTTTTAAGCATAAGTAAATTCTCAAAATTTTGTTACATGACAAAAGGAAATTAAAAAGTTAAAGGACTTATCTTGCCACTGGAGGCTTAGTGTGGACAACAGAGAGTTAAAAACTCCTAGAGAACCAAGAATCATAGAAGGCTCATACACTTTTGTAAATTTTACCTCCAGGAGCCCTACCAGGTCCTCACAGTAAATATTTAAGAAAAGTCCCCTGACGCTTCCAACAGGGAAAGGAGAAAACAAACCATTTTGAAATAAACGAGAATATTCTGTTCTTAACAAGGCCTGCCATCAGAAGAAACTATTCTACCAGAGTCTAACTACAGGGGGTTTATTGGCGCCTAACCTACCTGGAGGAAGGGAAATAGCCAACTCCAAGCAACTCTAGCCATTCTGTTACACCAAAGGGGCCGGGGTGGGAGGGGTGGGGCTGGATGCAAGAGGACGGTCTAAGAAGCACTGGTGAAGTTTACAGTTCAGGGGCATAGGCTTACCAGACGTCAGAGACCTAACTATAGGACTACAGAATGCTTCTCTCTGCCTACACTTTACAGTACGTTACTAAAAACCTATTTATCAATTTGTATTATTTAGTACGTCAAATCCACCTTAAAAGAAAATTTAACAAGAAATACTAAAAGGTTAAAAACACAATTTGAAGAGACTGAATAAGCATCAGAATCAGTCAGATATAGCAGGAATGTTGAAATTAGCAAACTAGGAATTTAAAAATATACATATATATGATTAATATGCTACAGGTTTTAAGGCAAAAAGTAGACAACATGCAAAAACAGATAATGTAAACAGAGATATGAGAATTCTAAGAAATAATTAAAAAGAAGTGCTAGAGATAAAAAAATTGTAATAGAAATAAAGAATGCTTTTGATAGGCTCATTAATAGACTGCGCACAGCTGAGGAAAGAATCTCTGAGCTTAAGGATATGGCAATAGAAACTTTTAAAACTGAAAAGCAAAGAAAAAAAGACTGAACGAAAAAAATGAACACAATATCCACAAACTGTGGGACAACTATGAAAGGTGTAACATATGCATAATGGGAATACAAGAAGGAGAAGAAAGAGAGAAAGAAACAGAAGCAATATTTGAAGTAATAATGACTGAGAATTCCCACCAAAGTAATGGCACACATCAAATCATAGATCTGGGAAACTCACAGAACACTAAGAAAGACAAATGCAAAAACAAAAACAAAAATAAAACAAAATGACACCTATGCATATTATATTCAAACCTTGGAAAATTAAAGATAAAGAAAAAAAACACACCTAAGCACATTTAAAAGAATATAAGTCATATTATGTCTGCTCTCAAACCACAATGGAATTAAACTAAAAATCAATATCAGAAAGATAACTAGAAAATTCTAAAATAATCAGAGATTAAACAACACGCTTCTAAACAACACATGGATCAAAGAAGAAACCCCAATGGAAATTTTAAACATTTAGGAATAAATGTAAATGAAAATACATTTTCTTGGCTGAGCGCAGTGGATCATGCCTATAATCCCAGTGCTTTGGAAGGCCAACATGGGAGGATTGCTTAAGGCCAGGAGTTTGAGACCAGACTAGGCAACATAGCAAGACACCATCTCCACAAAAAAAAAAGAAAAAAGAAATAACTAGCCAAGGATGATGGTGTGTGCCTGTAGTCTCAGCTACTAAGGAGGCTGAGACAGGAGTATCACTTGAACTTGGGAGATCGAGGATGCAGTAAGCTATGATCATACCACTGCACTTCAGCCTGGGTGACAGAGGGGGACTGTCTATAAACAGAAAGGAAGAACAGAGGAAGGAAGGAGGGAAAGAATGTAGGGAGCAGGAAAGGAAAGAAATACAATTTATCAAAACTTGTAGGAAGCAGAGAAATCAGTGCTTAGAGGGAAATTTATGCATTGAATACATACATTATAAAAGAATAAAAATCTAAAATCAATCACATAAGCTTTAAAGAGAATAGAAAATTAAATCAAAATTCAGCAAAAGAAACAAATAAAAATAAATCAAAATTGAAACTAGGAAATCAATTGAGAAAATCAACAAAACCTAAAGCAGTTTCTCTGAAAAGGTTAATAAAATTGATGAGCCTCTAGCTAGGCTAACTAAGAAAAAACTCTCAAATTACTAATATCAGAATGAAAGAGGGCGCATCACTACAAATCTTAAGGACATTAAAAGGATAATAAATGAATGTTACAGACAACTATATGTACACAAAGTTGATAACCTAGATGAAATGGACCAATTCCTTGAAATACACAATTTACCATAACACACAAAATAAAAACTAGACTCTCTGAATAGGTCTATTTCTATTCAAGAAATTAAATCAATAATAAATAATCTTCCAAAACAGAAAACACCAGGCCCAGATGAGTTCACTGGTAAATTCTATTAAATATTTAAGGAAGTAAATATATCCATTCTCTACAATCTCCTCTAGAAGACAGAAACAGGGGGGAATACTTCCTACTTCATTCTATGAGTCTAGTATTACCTAATACCAAGTCAAGACAAAGACATTCCAAGAAAAGAAAACTGCACACAAATATCTCTCATGAATATAGGTGCAAAAATCCTCAAAAAATATTAGCAATTGGATTTAACAATGTATAAAAAGAATTACACATCACAAGTAAGTAGGAATTTGCTATACAAGGCTGGTTCAACATTTAAATCAAGTAATATAATCAATTACATCAATAGGCTAAATAAGAAAAATCACATGACCATATCAATAGATGCACAGAAAGCATTTAATAAAATCCAATACCCACTCAAGATAAAATCTCTCAGCAAACTAGAAATAGAAGGGAACTTTCTCAACTTGATAAAGAACATTTATAAAAATAAAAAAAAACTACAGATAACACCATACTTAGTAGCGAGAAACTCAAAGCTTTTCTTCTAAAATCAGGAAACAGGGAAAGTTATCTCTCCTCATTGCAGTTTTCCAACATCATATTGGAGGTTCTTGCTAATGCAATAGAATAAAAAAGTAATAAGAGATATAGAGATTTTAAGAAAAAAAAACTGTTTTTGATCTATGTTGAACATCTGAAATGATTGAAAAAAGTCTCTGGAACTAATATGCAATTAAAGCAAAGCTGTGGGATACAAGTTTAATATATAAAAGTCAATTATTTTTCTACATATCAGCAATAAAAAATGGAATTTGAAATTAAAAACATATTACCATTTATATAAGCACTCAAAAAATAAAATACTGAGGTATAAATCTAACAAAATAGTATAAAATTTATATGAGGAAAACGATAAAACTCTAATGAAAGAAATAAATGTGGAGGCATTCCATGTTCATAGGTAGGAAAACTCAATATTGTGAAGTGGTCAATTCTTCCCAACTTGATCTATAGATTCAACATAATTCCAATCAAATCCCTAGCAAGTGATTTTACGGATACTGACAAACTGATTATAAACTTTATATGCAGAGGTAAAAGACCCAGAATAGCCAACTCAGTATTAAAGGAAAAGAATAAAATTGGAAGACTGACACCACTTGACTTCAAGATTTACTATAAAGCTACAGTAATCAAGACGGTGTGGCATTGGTGAAATTAATTCAAATATGGATCATCATAGGCCTAAATGTAAAATGCAAAACTATCAAACTCTAGAAGATAACATAGGAGAAAACCTAGATGACTTTGGCTATGGCAATGACTTTTTAGACACACCACCAAAGGCACAATTTATGAAAGAAATAATGGATAAACTAGATTTCATAAAAATTAAATACTTCTGCTTTGTGAAAGACAATGTCAAGAGAATGAGAAGCCAAGTCACAGACCGAGAGAAACTATTTACAAAAGACACATCTGACAAAGGGCTGTTATTCAAAATATACAAACTCTTAAAATTCAACAAGGAAAGAGACAATCCAATTAACAAATGGACAAAAGACCTGAACAGACACTTTACCAAAGGAGATATACAAACGGCAAATAAGCATATGAAATGTTGTCCATCATCACATGTTGTCTTAGTCCATTTTGTGATGCTATAACAATACCTCAAGGTGGGCAATTTATAAACAACAGAAATGGATTTTCTCATAGTTCTAAAGGCTGGAAGTCCAAGATGAAGGCACTAGCATTTGGTGTATGGTGAAGGCCTCTTGCTGGATCTTCACATGGCAGAGGTAGAAGGTCAAGATAGCAACCTACCCAAATGCCCTGTGAAGTCTGTCTTATAAGGGCCTTAATCCCCTTAATCCCATTAGAAAGGAAAAAACCCTCACAGCCTAATCATCTCTTAAAGGTCACATTTCTTAATATTATCACATTGGCAACACCTGAATTTTGAAGGGGACACAATCAAACCATAGCACACATGATTAGAAAATTGCACATTAAAACAATATACAAATATACAACTATTAGAATGACCAAAAAACAAAATACTGACACAAACAAATACTGGCATGGATGTGAAGTAACAGGAGTTCTCATTCATTGCTGATGGGAATGCAAAATGGTACAACCACTTTGGAAGACTGTTTGGAAGTTTCTTCAAATCTAAACATACTCTTTCCATACGATCCAACAATTATACTCCTTGGTATTTACCCAAGTGAACTGAAATGTATTTCTACCCAAAAGTCTGCACATGGATATTTATAGCAGCTTGATTCATAATTGCCAAAATGTGGAAGCATCCAAGATATCCTTCAGTCAGTGAATGGGTAAATAAACTGTGATACATATAGACAATAGGATATTATTTATTACTAAAAATTGAGTTATGAAGCCATGAAAAGACATTGAGGAAATTTAAGTGCATATTACTAAGTGAAAAAAGCCAATCTTAAAAGGTTACATAGTATATGACTACAACTATATGACTTTCTGGAAAGAGCAAGATTATGGAGACAGTTAATGATCAGTGATTTCCAGGGTTTTGGAGGAAGGAAGGCATAAATAGATAGGACACAGAGGATTTTTAGGACAGTAAAACTATTCTGTATCATACTAAAATGGTAGATACATGTCATTATACAGTTGTTCAAAACCATAGAATGTACCACTCCAAGAGTGAACCATAATTTAAACTGTGGACTTTGGGTGATACTGATGTGTCAATGTAGGTTCATTGATTGTAACAAATGTACCCCTCTGGTGTGGGATGGTGATAGTGGGGGAGACTGTGTGTGTGTGGTGATAGGGGTATAAGGAAACTGTACTTTTCACTTAATTTTGCTCTGAACCTAAAACTGCTCTAAAAATAAAGTTTACTGATTTTTTTAAAAGATACATTAAAAAAAGAAATGAGAAAAATCCCTCTCTTCATCAACAATTTGGTTATCCTGAGACAGAATTCACACAACAAAGTCAAGATAAACAAGATAAACATGTTTTCTTTCCTGTTACTCACAAATTCTCAGAATAATGAGATATTCTCTTGTGTCCTTCAAAGGTTAACTGATCTTCTTTAAATATTAATATAAAGATGGGGTAATAATATATAATAGAAAAAATCCATGCCCTTTCTCTGTAAACCAGACACATAAAAAATTTTAAAACTCATTATTTTGTATTGTTATATTTTTGGAATAGTTTGTCATGTGTATTCAAAGCACTTGATGGAAGGATACAGCAGGAATTGAACATTGCCATAACACCTATATTCAAAATGCTAGTGGCACTAGTTGTTCAGGTAACCTTGAGATTGTATCTTAACCTCTCTTAATTTTACTTTCTCTATCTGTTAAATAGGCCTAATAATACTTTTTTATGAATAGTAGACATCATAGATCTCAAACATTTGGTGGTTGGCCAAAAAATATATATTACCAAAGAAGACTTTCATTCATGATACACAACCATGGGACAATCTACTTCATTTTCCCTGCCTCTGGGACTATAATTTTCGAAACAGCCAAAAGAGGGAAATGTCTATCAAATGTTTACAGTTAGTCAAGAATGTTTAAATAACTTTTCTTAGGTAACTACAAGTTAAGTAGCTCTTAATTAGTAGGAAGCACTCTATTTTTATAGGCCAAATCTCAGACACTTTTGTTTTAAAGACAAGTAAATAATCAGAGACTATAGATAAGTGTTTTTCAGCCTTGGCATTACTGGCATTTGGGGGTCAATACTTCTTTTTTATGGGGGGCTGTCCTGTACATTATATGATGTTTAGCAGCATCTCTGGCCTCTCTATAGACTAGATGTTGATAGCAAATCCCCTAACCACACAGTTGTGACAACCAAAATTGTCCTCCAGACATTGCCAAATGTCCCTGGGATGGAGAGAGTGGGCAAAATCACTTCCAGCTATAGAGGAATGGTGACCTTCAAAAGTAAAGGGTAAAAGCACCTCAACCTTCATTTTTAAGAATAATTGTCCTCAATACTACTTTTTCTGACAGGATTTTTTGACCAGAACTGACTTTGTGGCCCTTCTTTGAAATGTTTCCTGGTTTTCAATTATCTGGAAGTGTAAGTGACAAAAAACTAGGTTTAAGTTATTTTGAACCATTATATTCACATCTAGTTTTGCCTTCTTCTACTATTGGTGATTTGTTACAGTGATAATGATACTACGTAGAATAAATATGTTCTAATTTGATTATTTCACTAAACATTGAATATAATCATTAAAATTAGATTGTGGTGCAAAGATATTTCAAATAATCATTTTATTTATTTATTTATTTTTTGAGATGGAGTCTCACTCTGTTGCCCAGGCTGGAGTGCAGTGGCGTCAAATAATCATTTTAAATAGCAAAGTATAAAGCGTTCATGTTGTATTTTGACAAATTTTCAAGGAATAGTTTGAGGATCACGAAATTGATCAGTTCCCCTTAAGTTCTCCATCAATTCTGCATAAATGTGCACAGAGTTCTCAAAGAACCTTTGAGGGGCCCTAAGAATAAACACTTCTTTTGATCTAGCCTCTCCTCCAAGACCTCATGAAGGTCACTGTCTACTGTCACCCTGTGTGCCAAAGCGACAAGCTTGGTCTAAATCAAAACTTGTTTTGATTAAACTTGCAGCAAGCTGTTCACCAGAATTTCTAACAAATAAGTCCTTCTGTTCACTTGCTAGAGTCGTGATCAACGGGAGCCAAAATAAAAATGCTGTCAGTCCATGAGATTCTTTAGTCAGTGAAGAAGAGAAAGATTGGGTCACTGCTCTGGCAATGTGCTTACCAATAGCTTAAAGTGCGCATATGACAGAAAAAAAATTTTTTTTTCTCTAAAAGCCAACTTCTCATATCATGTTTTAGTATGTGGTTATACATTTTAATGTCCATGTCAAATATATATAAATATATATATATATATATATGCTGTTATTCAAGACTTTATCATAACAAATTACCGTGCTCTCCCAGAAATGACTATAAGTAAAAAGGAAGAAAAAGTTTAGTACTAAATTCTAGTATAATTTTCTAAAGACTGGAGATAAGATCGGAGAGGGGAGGAAGAAGATGTCAGGTTATTTCTCCTGTCTCTCTCTCACTCATGGAGAATATCCACCAGAGGCTTTAGCTCTTCCTTGGCTCCACTGCTATTAGAATGCCGCTCCATCCTTGCTCCAAGGTTCTAGGTTCTGACAACACAGCCCCTCCTGCTGTCGCTCCAATCCTTGGGGCAATAGCAGCTTCTTAATGTTGCTAACCTCTGGGACACCTCTTTAGCTTCTTAGCTTTTATATCACTTGCATAACCAATTTTCTGAATTAAATCCTATGTGTTGAAAGATTTTGTGTGATTTTGTTTCCCTGACTGCACCCCAACTGATAAAAATAACTGCTGTGTCTTCTAAGTTCTACAAGAGCAGAAGCACCCGGTATGTCCCAGCTGCTTAGTGGGCACGCAGTAAGTGTTTCTGTTGGATGAATGAAAAGAGCCTTACAATTTACTGACAAAATGGAGGCTCCCTGCTTGCCAAAAATAATTCTCTATTCATATTTAAATCTTCTATCTTAGCCAGTAATTTTTAAAAAATCATTGTCGTTCTCTTCTATACTATTTTTTCAACCTTCTTACTGTGAAATAAAACATAGACAGAAACTCAAACAAAGCAAGTGAATTATTATAGGCAAATTCCCTTGAACCACCACCCAGGACAAGAAATAGAATTTTTCCAGCCACTCCAAAAGCCCTTCCATGTGTCCTATCTCAATCATAGCCACCTCTCTGCTTTCATGGGTAACAAGTATTCTGATTTTTATAGTGCTCGCTTTGTTGTTTTTTTTTATGGTTTTATTCATGAAAGTATGTATCTACATACACTACCATTTCATCTTGCCTAGTAAAAAATAAGAAAAAGGTCTTTCCAGTCTCTTCTTTTTATTATTTTTTTTCATTTTTTATTATTTATTTATTTATTTATTTTTATTTTTATTTTTATTTTTGAGATGGAGTCTCGCTCTGTCACCCAGGCTGGAGTGCAGTGGCGCGATCTCGACTCACTGCAAGCTCCGCCTCCCAGGTTCACGCCATTCTCCTGCCTCAGCCTCCCGAGCTGCTTGGACTACAGGCACCCGCCACCATGCCCGGCTAATTGTTTTGTATTTTTAGTAGAGATGGGGTTTCACCGTGTTAGCCAGGATTGTCTCGATTTCCTGACCTCGTGATCCGCCCGCCTCCGCCTCCCAAAGTGCTGGGAATACAGGCGTGAGCCACCGCGCCCGGCCTCCAGTCTCTTCTAATCTACAGGTTACTCCTCCATCACTTTCTTTTCCTTATAACATAACTTTTGAATAACCTGGGTCATTGAGAGGTTTCCACAGTTTGGACCTTGATGATACTATACTAACGATGTAGTATAACACATTCTTTTGCATTCTGAATTTCCTTCAAATTAACTCCTGGATCCTGAGGTTCCATCAGACTCAGCCTATGCCTTTGGCAAAGCCGTATGTGGTGGTGTGTTCTTTAATCAGGAAGTATATCATGCCTGGTCTTTGCTCTTTCTGTAATGTTAGCAGCTGTTAATGTTCAATGCCCAGATCCATTAATTCACTCCAGTTGCAACATGTAGATATTCTAATTTCATCACTGAGTTTTCATTGAGTAGCTGGAATAATTTTGTACAGACATTTTCCCCTTCATCTACTCTTTGGCTATTTGTGTTGCAGTTCTTACAGGGAAGGCAGAATAAAGGTGACTGTAAGCAAAAAATCTGATAAGAATCTCATTTTCCTTCCCTTAAAAAATATATACACTTTTGGTCCAAATACCAAAAAGACCGTTTTTTGTTTGTTTGTTTGTTTTTTGAGTCCAGTAGTTTTACAAGAATTGTTGTTGGCCATTTGAGATTGATATTTTCCACTACATGCTGTGCTTTCCAGTGAATAATGACTGGCTCTTTGGATCTCCTTTCTCAAATCCATCAGATTCCCAGTTATTGTGTCTTTCTCCTGCACATTCAATAGCCTGATGAATTTATGGCCGTTGATGGTCTGTGCTTATCCATGTTTGTTTTGATACTTTGTCAGCTAGTTTTGTGGTAAATACTGTTCATGGGTTTTGACTTTTGATATTTAGCTGCTCTGTTGATTTAAATGCAGATTCAGAAAGATTCAAAACCTTAGACTGCCACTGTTGGCTTTATGTTCCCCGAATTCTCTGCAATTCTATTTTTGTAAACAAATACATTTTTCATTAAACACACATCAATTTAAGTATAATTTAAATACAATAAAATTCACCCTTTTTAGTTTATAGTTTTATGATTAATGTATGCATTCATATAATCAACATCACAATCAGCATATGGAACATTTCTATTTACTCACAAAAGTTTCCCAGGGGTCCTTTGCAGTTAATCCTCTCTTACCACCACCTGTCCCTGGCAACCCCTTTCTGGAATGTCATACACATGGAATCATATAATATGTATTATTTGGTGTCTTGTTTATTTCACTGAACATAATGCTTTTAGATTTATTTATAGTTTTGCATGTATCAACAATTTGTTGATTTTGTTGCTGAATAATATTCTCTTGTGGGGTTGTACTACAATTTGTTAATCTGTTCATCAATTGATGAACATTGGTTTATTTCCAGGTTTTAGCTATTACAGATGAAATTGCTAGGTTCGCATACATATATTTGCAGAGATATATGTTCTTATTTCTCTTAGTTCTTAATTTTATTTTTCTAGGCACAGGAGTTCTGATATATATTTAACTTTACAAGACACTACCAAACTGTTTTCCAAAATGGCCATACCATTTTGCTTTAGCTCTGGATTCCCGTTAGTTCTACAGTCTTGCCAATACTTATTTTCATGTTAATTTCAGCCAAGTTAATAGGTACGTAGCTGTATCTGTGGTTTTAATTTGCATTTTCACAATGAATAATAATGTTCAGTCCCCTTTCACGAGCTTGACAGTTGTATATTTTCTTTGATGAAATGTCAAGTCTTTTTGCTTTTTTATGGGATGTTTGTCTTATTATTGAGTTGTAAGATTGTATTATGTATTCTGGATACAAGTCTTTCAAAAGATGTGTTTTGCAAATATTTTCCCCAATCTATAGCATGAATTTTCACTGTTTAAATAGTGTCATTCAAAAAACAAATGTTTTCATTATGTAAAGTCCAACTTATTAATTTTCCTTTATGGTTGTGTGTGTGTGTGTGTGTGTGTGTGTGTGTGTGTGTGTGTGTCCTATCTAGGAAATCTCTGATGAACTTAAGGCAGAAAAGATTTTCTCCTATGTTTTCTTATGTAGAGTTTTTTTTTAAGTTTTAGAATTTTCATTAAGGCTTATAATCTATTTCAATCTCATTTTCTTAATATGGTGTGAGATAGGTGTTGAATTTCATTATGTAGCATCTAGATTCCAGTTATTTCAATCCTATGTGTTAAAAAAAAAAGCTATTCATTTTCCAATAAATTACTTTGGCACCTTTATAAAGAACCAGTTAACCATACATGTGTGGATCTACTTCTGGCTTCAATTCTATTCCATTACTCAATACATTTATCCTTAAATCAATACTTCTCTGTTTCATTTAGGTTAACTTTACAGCAAGTTTTGAAATCAGATAGTGTGAGACCTCTAAATTTTGTATATTTAAAATTATTTGGGATAATCTAGGTCCTTTAATTTTCATATTAATTTTGGAATCATCTTGTCAATTTCTACCAAGAAAATGCCCAATTGAAGTTTGATGGATTAGGAGATAATTGGCATTATATCAGTATTGAATCTTCTGATCCATAAAAACAGTATTTCTCTCCAGTGATTTATGTCTTTATTTTGCTGCATAATGTTTTGTGATTTTTAGTATAATAGCCTTGCATTTATCTCTCTTTCTGTCTCTATATATGTATGTATATATATATATATATATATATACACACACACATATATGTATATGAATATATATATAATTTTACCCTTAATTATGTGATGGGTTTTTATGTTATTATGAATGGCATTTTTCTTATTTCAATTTTCAGTTGTTAGTTGCTATTATATGGAAATATAGCTAATTTTTATAGATTGACTTTGTATCCTTTTCTATATCCATTAATATAATACTATCTCTATTTCCATTAACATAATGTTATTCCTATTTTTTAGTTTTTTAATATAGTAAACTATGTCATCTGCTGTTTAAAGGTTCAACCAACCTTACATTCTTGGGATAAACCTAGATTGATAATTATGCACTACTCTTTTTTATATCACAAGATTTGACTAATATTTTATTAAGCATTTTTTTCTATATTTATGAGAGATACTGTTCTGTGGTCTTCTTATCCTATAATGTCTTTGTATAATTTTTGTATAAGGATATAAGATAATATTAACTTGATAAAATGAATTGGGAAGTTTATTTGCTCTTGTTTTTCTGGAAGAGTTTGCATAAATTTTGTGTTAGTTCTTCCTTAAATGTTTAGTAGAACTTACCTGTCAAGTCGTGTGGGCCCAGAACTTTGTTGAAAGGTTTTTTAAGTTCTATGTCTTTTATAGACATAGAAATATTAAGGTTATCTATTTCTTCTTGAGCGATATTATTTTTTCTTTTTTATCTAACATTGAATTTATGACCATAAACTTGTTTATATTTCCTCTTTACCTTTTTAATGTCTGTAGGTTCTGTAGTAATGTAACCTCTTTTATTTCTGACATTGGCCATTTCTACCTTTTCTCTTTTTTACTTAGTCTGTTTAAAAGCTTACCAATTTTAATAATCTTTTCAGACAACCAGCTTGTAATTTTATTATTTTTTTCTATTGGTTTTCTTCCTTCTGTTTGTTTAGATTTAATTTACCCCTGTTTTTACAGTCTTAAATGGAGGTTAGATTATTAGTTTTCACCCTTTTAAAATATTTTCTAATATAAACATTTGATTCTACACACTTGCAATTAAGCAGCTCTTTGGTTATATTACCCCAAATTTAATATGCCATATTTTCATTCCATTCAAAATATTTTTTAATTTTTCTGATTTTTTAATACAATGTTTAATACTTTGTTTAATTGCCAAATATTTATTGATTTTCCATATCTTTCTGATATCAAATTCTAGTTTGATTTTATTTTGGTCTGAATATATATTTTGTATGATTTTAATTTTGTGTTGTTGTTGGTGTTAAGACAGAGTCTCGCTGTGTCGCCCAGGTTGGAGTGCAGTGGCCAGATCTGGGCTCACAGCAACTTCTGCCTCCCAGGTTCAAGCGATTCTCCTCCTCAGCCTCCCAAGTAGCTGAGACTACAGGTGCTAGCCCCCACGCCTGGCTAATTTTTGTATTTTTAGTAGAGATGGGGTTTCTCCATGTTGGCCAGATTGGTTTTGAATGCCTGACCTCATGATCTGCCCGCTTCAGCCTCCCAAAGTGCTGGGATTACAGGCATGAGCCACCGCACCCGGCAATTTCAATTTTTAATGTTTGCAGCATTATTAATGGCACAGAAAATACTCAATGTTAACTAAACAGTTCCACGTAAACTTAAAATAATTTTTCCTATTGTTTGTTGGAAAATATTCTATGGAAAATATTCTAATATTTTACCAATGAGGTAAAAATGGTTGACAGTACTTTCTAAGTCTTCTAACTGATTTTATGTCCACTTGTATTATTTATAGAGACAGGAATTTTGAGTTTTCCCACTATAATTGTGGATTTGTACCTTTATCCTTTCAATTCTATCAGTTTTTATTTATATATTTTGAAACTCTAATATTAGAAGAATATACATATAGAATTGCTATTTTTCCTGGATTAAATTACCCCTTTATTACTATGTAATATCCCTTTATGTCTCTTGTAAACTTTCCCGTTCTCAAGTCTACTTTATGTAATGCTAATATACCTACTTCAGCTTCTTTTGACAAGTGTCAAAGTGACCAAGTCCTTTAACTTTGAATGTATCTATAGCCTTATATTTAAAGTGAGATTCTTGTAGATAGAATATACTTGTCTTGCCCTTGTTAATTCAATTTGGCAATACCTAGCTCTTAACTGACAAATTTACATGATTTACATTTAATATAGTTACCAATATGATTGGCTTTAAATTTACCAATTTGTATTTACAAATGTGTGCTATATATTTTTTATTTTAAAATACATTTAATAAAAATAACCCATAGTTTTATATATTTTACATGTGTAGAATATTTACAAATTCACTTCCACAGCATTTACTTAATGTTTACTATTTTTTCATTATTTGCCTTTTTGACTATTTCCTTCAGTAGTAAAATGTTGTCCAGTGTTCTCTTTAAAAAATTAGTTTCTTGGGCAATCCTCCTTGTTCCAAGGCCTGTGTTCTTTTCCTTTTTGTCGCCAAAGCAGGATTTGATTGCTCCTTTAAGGTTTCCACTGGACAGTTGGGTCTTGGCAGCTGACATCCAGGTGTTGGCCCTGGCCGATTACTGAAATACTTCATTTTCAGTGCCTGTGTGGCCGTAATTCGAACACATGGATTAAATAAGAATAAGCCTTGTATGAGATCTAGTAAGTCGTCTCCTGCTGCACTGAAGATGTGATGCCATGGGATTCCAGGGAAACTCTTAAATGTCACATAATCTGGAAGACTACACATGTCCGGCCACTGTTCCTCAGTTGGTGTGCCCAAATATTCTTGTTAGCTGATCAAGCTCTGAATCTCCTGACAAAAAAGGAACCCTTAGAAGTAACTCTGCTAATATACAGCCAACAGCCCACATGTCCACACCTACACCATACATCCTAGCTCCAAATAGTAACTCAGGGGCCTGATACCACCTGGTTGCAACCTGATATGTATAAGCTCTACTGGGGCTCCCAAATGATTTGGCCAGGCCAAAATCTGCCAGTTTTAGAACTCCATTTTCATCTAGCAACAAGTTGCTTGGTTTCAGATCCCTATGTAGGATCCAATGTTGATGTAAATATTCTAATCCTTGAAGAGTCATCAACATGCAGGCTTTGATGTGTGACGGTGTCAGCACAAGACTATTATCCTTTATTATAACCTCTAGATCAGTTTCCATAAAACCAAAGACAAGGCTAATATTAGACTTACATCCAAAAGCATCAAGGAGACCAATTATATTTGGATGACTTAGCTCTTGTAATAATTGTATCTCTCTTAAGGCTGTTCTGTTTATACCATTTTTAGCTTCTGATCTATGTCCAAGTTTGATTTTCTTAATGGTGACAATTTGGTTGGTATTCTTATCTCTGGCCTTGTAAACCGTGGCAAACTTAAAGCCTCCAACAGCCGCTTCTGTCCACCAGGCTCCATTGCATTAGTATCTATATATTCTTCTTTTTCTCTTCTTTTTTCTGCTGTCCTTTTGTGTTAAATGAGCATTTTAATTATTCAATTCTATAGTCACTATTGGCCTATAAGATAGAGCTTTTTGAATTTTTTTACTGTTTTCTCTAGGATTTACAATATACATGTTTAACTTCTTACAGTCTAAATTTTAGGAATATATCACTTCAATATGTTGTAACAGCCACACATCACTTCCTTCCACTAATTCTTTGTGCTATTATTTTGTTATGTTTTACTCCTAATTAAGTTACAGTCTCCCCACTGTACTGTTACTATTTTTCTTCAGTCTTTCAGAAGTATTTTTAAATGAATTTTTATATTCTCACATCTTTACTATTTAGAGTGTTTTATCAATATTTTGTATAGATCCAGATATTTATCATGTATCATAGTCCTTCTGACTGTAAAACTTTATCATTTCTTATGGTATAAAACTTCACTGCCAATGAATTTTCTCATCTTTTGTTTGCTTAAAAAGTACTCTTTTATTTTCATTGTTAAAAGATAGTTTTGTGTGGTATAAAATTTTGAGCGAGTTAACCGTTTTTTTTCTTGTACTTTAAAGATATTGATTTATTGCTTTCTGCCTTATTTAGTCTCTTATGAGAAGACTGCTCGCATTCTTATCTTTGGTCTTCTATATATAATCGTTTTTTTTTTCCTTTGGATGCTTTTAAGATTTTATCTTCATATTTGGTTTTCAGAAGTTTAGCTTTCATATGCCCAAGCATTTTTTAATTACTTTTTCTGCTTTAAACCCTGGCTTTTTAAATCTGCTATTTGCTCTCTTTTATTCATTTTGGAATATTATTTGCCATTATCTTTTTTAATATATTCTGTGCCATAGTCTCTTTCTTCTCCTCATAAAACCTCAATTATATGTATGTTAGATTATTTGATATTTTTCTATGGCTACTGAATATTCTATTCTCTTGTTATTATTGTTTCTTCATTTTTCTGTCTTTTTTAGTTTGGATAATTTGCATTGGTCTAACTTAAAGTTCAACAATTCCTTTCACTGCTATATCCAGACTGTTGATAAGTCATTCAGCAGAAAATTTATCAAATAAATTATTCTTCTCTGTTTAGCATGTTTTAAAAAAATTTCTAGCATTCTCACTTGATTTCTTTTTAAATTTCTATATACCTGCTGAAATTTCTCATTTGTTCATACATGTGTTAACCTTTTTTACCGCACTCTTTAACATATTTAACATAGTTGTTTTGAAATACTTCCTCTAAAGTACCATGATCTTATCACATCTTGGTTTGATTCTGTTGACTCCTTTATCTCTTGATAATGGGCAATTTGTCATAGTCGTTGATATTGTTTGTGTGTACTGTATAATAATACATTGAATGTAGGCATCATGGCTAAAGAAAAATTGAGAGTGAGGTAAATCTACAACAGGAAATGGGCACATTTCTTATGTCAGTTCGTTAATATGGAGGTGAGGTCACTCTAAGTAGTAGTTGAACTCAGTTGGATGTGGTTGTGACTCTAATTACCTTTGATTCACCATAGACTTCAAATTCCTCCAGTCATAGACTACTACTACCTTGTGCTTAGGTTGAGGCACCTAGGGTGCTGGAGGGTTTTAACAGTATTTCTGCTCCATCCCACCTTTTAGCAGACCTTTCATCCCCATGCCACAGAGTGGGTCTCCGTTCAGTATCTTTCCCCTTTCCCAGAGAATATACTGCCTGCATTAGCTTTTTTCTAGGTACAAGGCTTTTGCAGGTGCCAGGGGATTTTTAGTTTCTTGTTTTAGCATTCTCATCCTTCCTTCCTCTCTCATCATGACAGCCAAGATCTGCCTTGCTTTTTCATCAGTGCAAGATCATGTGCTTAAGTAACTTTTCTATTCCATTCTTAGTGATATACAGCATTTCTCATCTACTCCTACTCCAAACTGGTATCAGGGGTGTATGGAGGTTGCCTGCTTCTCTCTTAGTGGCAACACCTCCTTTATTTTCACGTGAGGAAAGGATTCAGAACAGGGCTAGACATTGCACCTTTCCCTCAACAGCAACCAATCATATCTACATTCCTGTATCACCAAAGAATTTGCCATGCTTCCAGTCCTACTCAGGAGCACCTGGTTAGGGCCCATGGACAAGCACTGGTGAGTGTTTGCAGATTCTCCTTTGTATGGGGTTTCCGTGGGTTCTCAACTACCACGCTGGCCTATTGGGCCTTTAAGTATTTTTTAAATGTTCAATTTGCATTAGTCAGGATTACCAAAAAAAGAGGACCAATAGGATGTATATAAAATGATTTATTATAAGGAATTGGCTTATGTGATTATGGGCACTGAGAAGTCCAAACCCAAGGGAGACAATGGTATAGATCCAGTCTGAGTCTGAAAGCCTGAGAAGCAGGAGAGCCAGTCATATCAGTTCCAGTGCCAGTCTGCGTCTGAAGGCAAAAGAAGACTGCTGTCCCACTTTGGAGGCATTTAGACAGATAGAAATAATTCTTTCTTAGCACTTTATTCTATTTAGGCCTTCACAGATTATTTTTTGTGGTTTGTTGTTGTTGTTGTTTTAGTAGAGACAAGGTTTCACCATGTTGCAGGCTGGTCTCAAATGCCTGACCTCAAGTGATCCACCCGCCTTGGCCTCCCAAAGTGCTGTGATTACAGGTGTGAGCCACTGCACTGGCCAGGCCTTCAGAGATTGCATGAGACCCACCTTCATTGAGAAGAGCAATATGTTTTACTCAGTCTACTGATTCAAATGCTAATCTCATCCAGAAACACTCTCACAGACAGACTCAGAATAATGTTTAACGAATATCTGGGCACTCGTTGGCCTTGTTAATTTGGCACATAAAATTAACCATCACACAGTTGTTTTCTTTTTATCTGATTTTATAGCTGCCATCTTTTTCTACTTTGTTCTGCCAAAGGCAAATTTAATGTGGCCCACCTCTCCTGGAGGGTCTTGACATCCTCTGAAATTCATTGTTCTTAGTTGCTTTGCAACCTCAACTATCTGATGAGTACAAATAAGACATAATTTTATAGATTAATTATTTTTATCATTAGAGTAGGAGCTTTTTATATCCAAAGTAGAAGCAGCTTTCCCAAATAGTCTTAACATTCAGGGTAAAAAACTTTTGAATCAAGTCATGTTCATTGAGCATCTGTCAGTTTGTTTGATTTTTTTCAATAACTGAAAAAAAATGAGTTAACAATGCAATGTCTCTAATCTTAATGCATTACAAATCTAGTTCATGGGATAGGATGGGACATATACTAAATAATACTGACAGTTTAGTGAGAATAAATTAATAATAATTTTATTTTAGCTAAGAGCCTACGTCACCAAGGCACATCACAATGTTCAAAAGTAACTATTCTGACTTCAAATTTTGCTTAAACCAATTCTATGTTGCTCAATATTTAAAACAGTAGTACCACTTGCCTCATTACTCACTTTATGATATACTTTTATTTCTATATTTTTCACATGCAAAACATTTATAATGGCATTTTTATCTTATTCCTGTTATTACTTTTAAGAATAAAATTGACCTTTTTTATTTTTTGAATGATCATGCTTGGCTCCTCTGAATGAAGCCATAGAATTTCATTCCTAAATTCTAACAAGCTAACACCATGCTTAACTAAATCTGTTCTTTTATGAAGAGTTTAGAGAACTAAAATATGATGGCCTTGAACAAGTTGTAAAGATATGCATCGTTTTCTTTGCTGAATAAAAGCATGGACATAGAAAGGTAGC
Source organism: Homo sapiens (assembly GCF_000001405.40). Taxonomy (NCBI): domain Eukaryota; kingdom Metazoa; phylum Chordata; class Mammalia; order Primates; family Hominidae; genus Homo; species Homo sapiens. Next base: position 157,215,297 of record NC_000002.12, read on the forward strand.
TTGACAGCGATCGACAACATTTTTATATTAATGTTTCCCTCGTGGTAAACATAAAAACAGACCCACTTCCCACAATAAATATTATTTATGTATGACTATGTAAGAGTTTACTAAAATAACAATTTACTATTTTTGAAAATTATGTTAGAGAGATCTAAATATTTCTTAATTTCAATTTTGCATTTTTTAATATCATATTATACAAATAACTTTTTAAAGTTTAGAATACAAACATATCTGTGGGACCCTGAAATGTTCAAACCCTCTTGACACAGTGCCTATAAATGTATTATTAACAAAATGATCTTACTCTCATCCTTTTAATCAAGGCCAGGAGTGATGGTAAAGACAGAAAAGGTGACAGAGGCCAAACCACTAGTGGCCACAGCTCCATAGTTTCTGGATAAAATAATTTATACACTAACACTAACAGAAATAACCCCATTATACACCCTAAAGGGGAAAGGGTAGCTGTGTCAATAACGGATCATGCATGTTTATAGTTATTTAGATTCATGTAGTTAAACGTGATCATCTACAACTCATTTGTAATATGTTTGAAAAAACAGATGAAGACAGTATCATTGGAAACTTTTCATACTGATAGCTAAGTTCTGTACTTCTGCTACAAAGTTGAAAAATGTGTCCTAAAAGGCAAATATATAAAAACATTCCTGTGAGAAGGGATAGCAAATTGTTCCAAATCTATATAAACCTCGGCAGGTATAAATCCTGTAAAAGCTGAGCATTCCATTAACAATTTAGAGCATTCCATTAAACAATTCCAAATGTCATCAGAGTTTCTCCAACATATAAACCATATTTCTATCAAATTCTCCCCCATTTTTGACTATTTGTTGTTGATGCTATTGGTGTGGATGCCAAACTGAAATCTGTAAGAATTAACCAAGACAAGTACCTTAAAAATTGAGTTCCCACTCCCCTATACAAAGCAATATGACCAGAAATGCCCGAGCATGAAAATTATTACAATTTTGATCTCTTGAGATTTTCTGGAATCTTGCTGAAAAGGAAACTGTTCTATGAAACTGTTATTTTAAAGATCCATTTCAACTCCTCTGAAAATTATTAACTAAGAAGTAACAGCATCAAGTTAATTTTGTGGGCAGTGGCCAATTTCCACTTGCTCTTCTCCCTCTGTTTTCCCTGCTACAAACAGTAAAAAGATGTCAGTGCAGTTGGCTATTCCCTAACAGTAAAATTCCCCTCCCATTCTAAACAGTTGAGCAGACTCTCAGTACAGAATAAACTATTGGTCATGGGTCAGAGCCCACAGTTCTTTGCTCTTTGTCTTATTAATTTTTAAAAATATATGTGATGATCATCTCCTGAATTTCAATTTCCTGAAGACAATATGACAAATTTATTTTAACTATTCTGATGCAGAAAGCTAATTAAGTAAACTGGTTCAGCAACTGATCATGTTTCACTAATTTCAACCATCTGCCTCAACATTTGTTCCTATGTGTACCAGCTTTCATAGCTTCTTTCCTCTAATAGCAATTAATGAAACTGTTAATAAGCTACATATATCATACACTGTTATAACAATTTACCAAAGGGTAGCATTATGAGACAAATTATATTTAACAATTGTAGAAAAATGACTCTGATTATCAAATGTACAACATCAATTAGATTTTTTAAATTTATGCTTCTCAATTAATTATCTAATTAATTTGGTGCACATTCTATGTATAATTTGTAATTTTAAACTCCTGGTCAGATTTTGCCATCTATTTTTACATGCTGACTGCTTATATGAGGCACATATTAATGAAACATAACTTCCCTGCAAATTACTGAGCCTTGCTTTTATTTTCATTCATTGTGCTTTTTCATAAGCACTTTTTCAATTGTTGTGCAATGCATAAAAAGGCAAATTGTACTATTATCCAGTTTTTGCACTATATTCAAAGAATGATATATGCACACACATATATAATAATTTTAATTTTAAATGAGGTTAATTTATAAATATCTTTTACAAATATCTTTTAAAAATAAAACAGTACACCAAAAACCAAAAAATAAATGGCTTTTACGAAGTAAGTCCTATCTAATTTAAACTTCTACAATAGCATTATGGATCTGGTTACTCCTGTACAAATGAAAAATATAAAATATGATTTGACTTTGCCAAAGATTTGGTATTTATTTTCCTGGTACTTAAAAAAATTTAAAAAATGAACATTTCTTCAAAATATGTTTTATAAATACACGGTATTGATGAGTAAGTGCTGAAAGCTCAACTCATCAATACTCTGTAGTTCTCTGTTTAGCCACTACTCTGTCCAAGGGTATGTGAGTGCACACACACTCACTCATATTCAAAATCATAGTCTTCTCTATTGTAACCACTACATTTGCTTCGATAACCACATTTATGATATTATTATAGAGGAAAAAATCCTGGATATCATGACATCCAGGACATTTTTACAAAGCTCCAAGATGTGGATGATTCTACACATTCTCCCCACCAATAAGTTGTGTGGACAGCATAGACCTAATCTAAGGATTTTCAGCCTGGGCATGGTGGCTCACGTCTGTAATCCCAGCATTTTGGGAGTCTGAGGCGGGTGGATCACTTGTGATCAGGAGTTCAAAACCAGCCTGTCCAACATGATGAAACCCGTGACTACCAAAAATACAAAAATTAGCCGGGTGTGATGGCACATGACTGTGGTCTCAGCTAATTGGGAGGCTGAGATGAGAGGGTCACTTGAACTGGGAGGCAGAGGTTGCAGTGAGCATATGGCACACCTGCACCCAGCCTGGGTGACAGAGCAAGACTCTCTCTCCAAAAGAAAAAAAAAAAACCCTAAGGATCTTCAAAATGCTAATAAACAAGTACATATTGGTATGGTTTAGTTAGGAGCAAGGGTTGAAGGGGCACAATGAGATGCTAAGCAGTCTTGGTTCCCTTGTGTTTTGCATATTTTTACACAGCAAAGAAATTTCTATTGAAACTATTACTACTTTACTATTGTTATAAAAAGAGAATTGAGATAACCCAAAGAATAATAATCAAAATAATGCAAATGACAAGAATGAGATTCTTGGAAGAATGAGGAAAAAGGAATTGCTAAAAACATTAAGCAAAAATGACAGAATAGTTTGTCCTCCTTTAAACCTGCCCCAATTTTATTGTATAAATAACTTACATTTTACAATGGATACACTATATCTTAATTAAAATAATCAGTTTGAAAATACCCTAAACCAAAGAAGCAATAAAAATACTGAGAAACCCTGCCTTCTTCAAATCACAGGAGAATAATTCCACCCAGCTATCTTAGTCTGATTTATTGTCACTAAGCAGAATGCCACATACTGGGTAATTTAGAAACAGTAGAAGTTTATTTGGCTCATAGTTCTGCAAGCTGGGAAATCCATGATCAAGGGGTCATCTGGTGAGGGCCTTCTTGCTGCATTATTCCATGGTGAAAGGGCAGAAAGGCTGTGAATTCCCTTGCAGCCACGGCAAAAAGAAGACGACAAAAATAATGGTTTCTACTACTTTTTCTTTTCAGAATCCTGAGACGAGAACCTCTTGTGGTGAGAAGCACCAACAATCACCACAGAGGGTCCCCAAATTAGCTACTACTCTAGGGAGAACTAACTCCTGAGGTAATCTCAATTCTGGCTCCATTCCCCTTACCTAAAATAGTCTCTCAACTTTGACCTTGATAACACTGGCAGCAGATAAAGATGAAGACACACATCACAAATTCAACAAGTACCACTCACTGACTGGTAATGGGAAATTTGGTCTTAAAGGTTCCGTAGACCAGAGATATCTAACTCTGCAGGCTTCCTATGAATAAACACCCCATATCCTACCCTCTCTTTGACTACCACTCTAAACGTGGCCACTCAGCAGCCATCTTCCTTTGTAAAGGTGAAGCAGAAAAGTTCCAATGAGAAAAGTCATTGACAACTTTGCTTATTGGTAGTACACTAGTCATTTTTCAACCAAGCCTTCAAAGACTCAAATGTATTATCTTGAATACAAAGAGCAAAATCTAATATCTCTAACATTTTCAGGAAAATCAACTGTTTAGTATAGGGTTTTTTTTCTCTTTTAATAATGTCAATTTTTTTGGTTTTTTTTTTGTGTTGTTGTTGTTTTGGAGACAGGGTTTCACTCCCCTCTCCCAGGCATGAGTGCAGCGGCATGATCATGGCTCACTGCAGCCTCGATTTTGCAGGCTCGGGTGATTCTCCCACCTCAGCCTCCCGAGTAGCTGGGACTACAGGTGTGTGCCACCACGCTCAGCTAATTTTTTTGTATTTTTTGCAGAGAAGGGGATTTGCCATATTGTTCAGGCTGGTCTCAGACTCCTGGGCTCAAGAAACCCACCTGCCTTGGCCTCCCAAAGTGCTGGGATTACAGACATGAGCCACCATGCCTGGGCAACAATGTCACTTTTGAAAACCATATTTTTAAGAAAATTATTTAACCATTAATTATTTAGGCTGTAATAACAACTTGAGTTATTTTTTGATTATTAGTGAACTGTTTATAATGAAATAATTCCCTAATAATTCACAAGACATGTAGAACCCTTTCCTCTGATAAATTGTCCCTAATATGCTTCTCTTTTGCATAGAGTCCTTTGTCCTTCCTCTAAATTGGCTGTTATTTCTCACCATTGTCAATATGTTACTGCTTCTCATCTGCTCCCTTACTCTATGTACAATTGTCTGGGTAAGGTTTTGAAAGTGTGCCAACCTCTTCTCTGGAGTAAGCTCTGGACTGTCATTTATCATTTAGAGGGCTTTTTCATTTACTCCCTGGTTCACAATTTGGTTTCGCACCACAAACTAAAATCTGCCTTCTGGACCCATTGAGGTTCTCCATATTGTATATGTTATTGTTGTTTTCCCAGAGAGCATCATATGTTTAAAATAGATTGACTTGTGTTACCATAAATAAGAAATAAGAACTTGCCAGGAGTTTAATATATAGCCTAATGGCCTTAGAAAAATGCAAGCAGTTTTGACAAGTTTCGTTCTCATAGGCATTTTTGGTTTCCACCAAAAAATGACTTTTAAATAAGAAAAACATAGCTATTTCCATGGTGGCTAGCTCTGGCTCTTTAAATTAGGCCAACTCAAGTGCATACATATACTATAGATCCTTAAAGCAAGACTTAGGTATCCATCAGGGTTTATAGCTTTTATTGTGAACCTCCTCTTACTTATTCCCAATCTATTCCTTCATTTTATTTCTACTAAGCCTCAATTTTCTGGATCTGTGACTCCTGACTTTATTTCTGCTTATGGTATTTGAGCTTCAGTTTTGCCAGTGAATCTGGTTTGGCTACTATTCCCATTTTTTACTCCATTGGTTACATCTGGTAGAAATCTCTTGCTACAGCCCCAGGAAATAACACACACACACACACACACACACACACACATCTAGTCACAGGAACCCATACATCTACCCTTCACTCTGTATTGAGAGAGTATTTAGACTCCCAATCTCAAGGTCGTTGTGCATTAGAGCAAGTTCAACACTTATTGATAGTTTGCATCAATAGGAGGCAAGTTATCCTATATCTTCTGGCAAAGTGAAAGGCATGTGAAATGGGAAAATGGAAAACATTATTTCATGACTTTTTTCTTTTTCACATGCATTTAACCACCTCAGGATTAAATGTGCAGAAATGTAATCAGAAACATGAATAGAAAGTTAGTGATTACTTAATAAGATTGTTTAACTTTTTCAAAATCATGAAAATTGCCAGCCACAATTTTTAACAATCTGCCAACTACTCCATAAGATAAAGCAACAGGATGTTGAAGAAGTCTTTTCCTATTGTCTTGGAAATTTTGCTGAAGTTCCAATAATGAAAACAGTAGGAAATAAGTACATTCACTTTCTGAACAAATCCAAACAAACAAACAAACAAAGTAGATACACCTATGCTAGACTTAATTAAGATTATAGAAACTATCTAGTGATTCCATCAATCACACTGAACTATTTCCTGCCTATAGGAGAATTGGTAATAAATTAGAAAGGGAGATTGAAATAGATCATCCAGATAGAGAGTGCTGTGTCAATTCATTTTCTTTCCCCAAACTGTAAAGAAGAGAAAGGAACTGCTCCCCACCCACAAGCAAAGAAAGATTGGCATGCTTGCCAGTGAGACAAGCATTTAACTTTCCACATGAATATTTGCTAAGCTCTGACAATCTTGGAGAACCAGAAGTGAGTGAGGTGATTAGGTGTTTGGACAGTTTGTAATGTGTCTTAGGGAGATTGGGAGCATATGAACAACGAGATTGACATCTGCTTCCTGCTTGGAAAATTTTGAAGGCAGCAATATGAGTGGAGTGTCAGAGATGGGCAGGGTAAGACCATTCAGCTGTAAGGTCAGCTTGTCCTTACAGCAGTTGGTGTGGTTAGAAATCCTAAGTCCCCTTAAGCCAAATGATCACTACTTACAATAGCTGGGCTCAAACCAAGTTGATGCGGTTTTGTCCAAGATGGCTGCCTTCTGCCTTGAGAAGCTCCAATATAAGTGGCTAAGTGGGTTGTTCCCCCAATGTCAGAAAGTAAAAGGGGTCAGGCAGAGCTCAGAGCTCATTGCTCTGTCATTGAATGTGAGCAGGCTCTAAACAGAGTTTGTCATGTATGAGTGCAATCTCCTGGAGAAATCGTCATATGTTCTGGGCAAGAAGCAGATGACTGTTTGCCAAAGGGCTTTAAAAATTCTGAACATTCAGCATGAATTCATAGTGGATCATGAATGATTCTAAAATTTGTCTTAAAAAAAATTCCATGATAGTCTATGCTGCAAAAACAGGTTTATTCTTAAAATAGCACCAAAAACCCTATGTTTGAGCATTCTAACAAATTTTATACTATCAATATTCTATGCCTGCGCAGTGGAAAGAAAGAAGGAAACGTGAGTAAGAAAGTCCTAAGTAATTTTTAACAATGATAAAGGAGCTTGATTTAATGTTAACAAATAGAGATGTTTCAAGTAATGACTTGGCCTTTTGAAAACACATTAAGGGGGGCTCCTGTGGTAATGTGGGCAATACTTACACAGTTAGACTATTACCACTAAAAGACAAGGACCTACCAGAAGTGCCCATCCTCACTTATCCACTGACAGTACAAAGATTGGGATTTACGCCATCATCAATCTAAATACTACAATTGATTGCTAAATGTGAATTTTTCCTCTCCTTTCTAAAAATAGCCCTCCTTATTGAATACAACAAATCCACTGAATAAATGAAAGACAAACCAAAATCTATTTTTGAACAAAAATTAAAAATAATACTCCTGAAGCTAAAGTGATTTTCAGTTTCAAATGCAAAAACAGAAAGATAGAAATAAACATGTACATTGTTTAGAAGAGGTGGAAAGATTTTGAATAAACAAGTGATTTAATAAACCACATAGCTTCTAATCCTTTCAAAATCCACTGTTCCTTTTCTACACACAACTATGCCAAGTTAAATCCTTCTCAAATGTCACAGTTTTGATTTCTGAAATGATCTTATTTACAGATACCAAGTCATATCTTCTTGTTTTCAAAATCTTTTAAGTTTATTAGAACTACTATCAGTGAGTTTAAAAACAATTCCTGCGGCCAGGCGCAGTGCCTCATGCCTGTAATCCCAGCACTTTGGGAGGCTGAGGCAGGTGGATCATTTGAGGTCAGGAGTTTGAGACCAGCCTGACAACATGGCGGAACCCCGTCTCTACTGAAAATACAAAAATTAGCCAGGCCTGGTGGCGGGCGCCTGTAATCCCAGCTACTTGGGCGGCTGAGGCAGGAGAATCACTTGAACCTGAGAGGCGGACATTTCAGTGAGCCGAGATCACGCCATTGCACTCCAGCCTGGGCAACAAGAGCGAAACTCCATCTCAAAAAATCGAAAACAAACAAACAAATTCCTGGGATATCCAACTGAAAGACCAACAAGTGACCTTGAAATTAACCTTAGATCCAACAACTTAGAAAAATCAAGAGGGAATAAGATAAGTTACATATTTTGGGGTTTTGTTTCTGTTTATCTCAGGATTTAACTGAATTCAGGATCTTTTAAAAACTCACATGTAGGGAGTTTCCTGCTTTTCTTCCTGGTTAAAAAAGAGACTAAAAAATGAAATTTAGTACTAGAACCATATCTTCTCATATTTTCATGTCTACTAAATCTATAGAGGGATGCTAAGTGATTAAAACATACTTCCATTTTCTGAATCCTAGAATTCAGTTTTAAAACATTTCAATGTTGGAGGAAAATAATATCAACCACATTTTAAATACAGGAGTCAAAGCAAGTACTGTGTTTTTAAGTCTAGATTCCATTTAGGCATCTTTTTAAGCTAGTTAGGTATGTATGATAAGTAAGCATGGCCCAGCTATAGAAACACAACAAACCATGATTGGACTAAAATAAGCTGCAGAGTGGTTTTGTTTCTCTCCCATGATCTGGCAGATCACATTGGGGAAGACTAGGTTGGGGGTGGCCATGACAGCTGACTCTCAGTCCTAACCCTTTGTAATGGAGGCATGATGGTTTTTCTGTCATCGTGTCCAAATGACAAAGGAAACAGCCAGAAAAATAAAACGTTTGCATCTGTTAAGTACCACCTACACCTGCCTACAGATCTTCATGACGCAGATTCAGAACAAAGTGCATATGTTACTAGGCAGAGGGGGCTGGGGTTCATAGCACGAATCCTATTGGCAGGGATGTATTTTAGTGAGTTGAATTATGCCTGTCTGATAAACAACATTTGGGTTCACCACAGGGAGGACTTGGAAAGAGAGGCTGTTCACAAGGAGATGCTGACACTTGGGGATAAAAAAGCGCTGAGGAAATATAACAGAACAAAATCCCATTTAACTACTGATGATGGCTTCTCCAGAATGAGGTTTTGCTGGTCATTACTATCCTGGAAAAAGTTACACAGATACTGATATTCCATTAAAAAAAAATAGACTCATTTTTTCAAATAACTATCACTATACCAATAGAATTCCACTGAAAAAGACATAAAACTTCCGGACAATTTTAAAGAAATTTGGGGTAAATTCCTCCCACAGACTATAAACTACTTCAACCATTGTGGAAGACAGTGTGGTGGTTCCTCAGGGATCTAGAACTAGAAATACCATTTGACCCAGCCATCCCATTACTGGGTATATACCCAAAGGATTATAAATCATGCTGCTATAAAGACACATGCACACGTATGTTTATTGGGGCACTATTCACAATAGCAAAGATTTGGAACCCACCCAAATGTCCAACAATGATAGACTGGATTAAGAAAATGTGGCACATATACACCATGGAATACTATGCAGCCATAAAAAATGATGAGTTCATGTCCTTTGTAGGGACATGGATGAAGCTGGAAACCATCATTCTCAGCAAACTATCGCAAGAACAAAAAAAACAAACACTGCATGTTCTCACTCATAGGTGGGAATTGAACAATGAGAACACTTGGACATAGGAAGGGGAACATCACACACTGGGGCCTGTTGTGGGGTAGGAGGATGGGGGAGGGATAGCATTAGGAGATATACCTAATGTAAATGACGAGTTGATGAGTGCAGCACACCAACATGGCACATGTATACATATGTAACAAACCTGCACGTTGTGCACATGTACCCTAGAACTTAAAGTATAATATATATATATATATATATATATATATATATATATATATATATATATATATATAAATATAAAAGCTGATCCACCATTATCAAGTAGGCTTCATCACAGGAATGCAAGATTGGTTCAACATATGCAAATCAATAAATGTGATCACCTAAATAGAACTAAAACAAACACCACATGATTATTTCAATAGATGCAGAAAAGGCTTTCAATTAAATTCAATATCCCTTCATGTTAAAAACCCTCAATAAACTGGGCATTGGAGGAACATACATCAAAATAATAAAGCCCATCTACGACAAACCCACAGTCAATATCATACTGAATGGGCAAAAGCTGAAAGCATTCCTCTTGAAAACCAGAACAAGACAAAGATGCCCTCTCTCACCACTCCTATTCAACGTAATACTGGAAGTCCCAGCCAGAGCAATCAGACAAGAGAAAAAAGAGGCATCCAAATAGGAAGAGAGGAAGTCAAACTATCACTATTTGCAGATGACATAATTCTATACCTAGAAAACCCCATAGTCTCTGCCCAAAAGCTCCTTCAGCTGATAAACAACTTCAGCAAAGTTCCAGTATACAAAATCAATGTACAAAAATTAGCAACATTCCTATACACCAACAACATCTAAGCAGAGAGGCAAATCAGGAATGCAATCCCATTCACAACTGCCACAAAAAGAATAAAATATCTAGGAATACAGATACCTAGGGAGTTGAAAGAAAAAAATAAGATTAAGAGTCACCTCTGAGTTTGAAATTTTGGATTTAGCTAGATGAGTTAGCTAACACTCATATTTGAAGCTTATTTCAGACTCTACAGTGTAGTAGATATGCAATTTATATATTTTTATCTTTTTAATTGGCCTTTTATTCAGTAATCTTGCTAAATTCACTTAAATTGTAATAATTTATTTATAGATGCCTGAGGATTTCTTAGTTATGCAGTTATATCTTCTGAAATGCAATGACAATTGTATTTTTTCCTTCCCAATTCTTGTAGTTCCTTTGTCTTGGTTGACTGTATCAGTTAGGCTCTTCAAGACAGCATTGAAGAATATGTAGTAAATTTGCAGCCATATTGTTCCATTCTTCAAATCCAGATGAAAGTTTCTGGCATTCCCCATTAAGTATTATATTTCTGGATGTTTTTGTAGATACCCATTATTAAATTAAGAACTCCCTTCTATTCACAGTTTGCTAAGATGTTTGATCATGAATGGGAATTGAATTCTAGTCTAAGCTTTTTCTGTATATATTGAGAAGACTATATGATTTTTCTTTTTTAATTTGTGAAGTCCACGGATTTTTATGATGATAAACCAATTTTGCATTCCTATAATAAGCCTAACTTAATCATGATGTATCATCCTTTTTGTGTATTGCCATTCCGGGTTTACTAATACTTTGTTTAGGGATTTTATATCTATGTTCCTGAGTAAGATTGGCTTGTCAATTTTCTTACTCAAAATATTCTTAAGAAGTTTTCATTTCAAAGTTACGCTTGCCTCATGAAACAAGTTGAGGAATGTTTTCTTTTTATTTTCTAGTAGAATTGCTCTAAATTGATGTCTTTGTTCTTGTGGAAAGAAGAGATATTGTTTGATTGGTCAGCTTAGTTTGGTTTTATTTGGGTTAATTTGTTTACTTTTTGAATTCAGAATTCAATATTTTAATAGCAAAAGATATTGATGGTTTATACTCTTATTATTTCATATTAAAATTTTATATTAACACTCTTATTTCTTATTTCCATTCTTGCATCAGTTTTGGTAAGTTTTGATTTTTTAGAAATTTCTCAATGTCACCAAAATTTTCAAATGTATTACTGTAAGTCATTCATGATATTCTCCTTCGATATTTTTTGTTTCTGAAGGGTCTATAATAATGTCATTTTTTCCATTTATTATATTTGTTATCTGTCCTCTTTTTTTCTTGATCATTTTACCAAACATTTACCCATTTTATTAGCCTTTTCAAGTTAATCTATTTTATTTGCCTGTTAGACTTCTGGCTTTGTCAATTTCTATATTTTTAAGAGAAGCATGTTTAGATTTAGCTTTTTATTGATACATAATATTTGTACATTTTGTTACATGCATAGAATATGGAATGATCAAGTCAGGGTATTTGGGCTATCCATCACCTCAAATATTTATCATTGCCATGTGTTGGGAATATGTCAAGTTCTCTCTTCCAGCTATTTTGAAATCTACAATATGTTGTTGTTAACTATAGTAAATCTACTGTACTATCAAACATTATTTCTTCTATTAATTGTATGTTTGTATGTATGTTTGTGCCCATTAAACAATTTTTATTCATTCCCCCAATGCCCCCCACCCCCCACCGCCAACACACACCCTTCCCAGCCTCTTTCTACTCTCTATCTCCATGAGTTCTATTTTTTTAACCTCTCACATTTGAGTGAGAACACATGATATTTGTTTTTCTGTGCCTTGCTTATTTCAGTTCACATAATAACCTCCAGTTTCATCCATGTTGCTGCAAATAACATAATTTTATTCTTTTTATGGTCAGGTAGTATTCCACTGTGTTTATTTACCACATTTTCTTTATCTGTTCATCTGCTGATGGACACTTAGTTTGATTCCATATCTTGGCTATTGTAAATAGTGCTGCCATAAACATGGGGTACAGGTATCTCTTCAATATACTGATTTCCTTTCCTTTGGATAAATACTCAACAGTGTTATTGCTCAATCTTGTGCTGGCTCTACTTTTAAGTGTTTTGAGAAACCTCCATACAGTTTTCCATAATGGCTGTACTAATTTACATTCCCACCAACACTGTATAAGGGTTCCCTTTTCTCCACATCATCACCAGCATCCGTTTTTTTTTTTTTTTTTTTTTTTGCCTTTTTAATAGTAGCCATTCTAACTGGGATAAGATAATATCTCATCATGATTTTCATTTGTGTCTCCCTAATCTTTAGTGATGTTGAGCAATTTTTCATACCTGTTGGCCATTTCTGTCTTCTTTTGAGAAATGTCTATTCATATCTTTTGCCCAATTTTTAGTGGGATTATTTGTTGCTGCTGTTGTTGTTTTGGCTGTTGCATTGGTTGACTTTCTTATATATTCTGGATATTAGTCCCTGGTCAGATGAATCATTTTGAGATATTTTCTCCCAATCACCAAGTTGTTTTTACTCTCTTGATTGTTTCCTTTGCTGTGCAAAAGCATTTTAGTTTAATATAGTCCCATTTGTCTATTTTTGTTTTCATTGCCTGTGCTTTTGAGGTCTTAGCCATAAAATCTTTGCCTAGACAAATGGCCTATAGTGTTTTGTCTATGTTTTATTCTAGTAGTTTTACAGTTTGGCATCTTACTTTTAGATATTTGATCATTTTGACTTGATTTATATATATGGCAAGAGATATGGGTCTAGTTTCATTCTTCTTCACATGAATGTCATTTTCCCAGAACCATTTATTGAAGAGGGTGTCCTTTCTCCATTGTATATTTTTAGCAACTATGTCAAAAATAAGTTAGCTGTAAATTTGTCGATTGCTTTCTGGATTCTCTATTCTGTTCCATTGGTGTATATGTCCATTTTATACCCAAACAATGCTGTTTGGGTTATCATAACCTTGTAATATATTTTGAAGTCAGGTAGAGTGATGCCTCCAGCTTTGTTCTTTTTGCTCAGGATGGCTTTGGTTATTCAGGCTCTCTGTTGGTTCCATATAAACTTTGGGTTTATTTTTACTATTTCTGTGAAAAATGACATTGGTATTTTGATAGTGATTACATCGAATCTTTAGATTGCTTAGTATGGTCATTTTAATAATATTAATTCCTTTGATTCATGAGCATGAGAAGTTTTTCCATTTATTTGTGTCCTCTTTAATTTCTTTCATCAGTGTTTTCCAGTTTTCCTTGTAGAGGTCTTTCATCTCCTTTGTTAAAGGTATTCCTAGATATTTCTTTTTGCACCTGTTATAAATGGGATTGTCTTCTTGATTTCTTTTTCAGCATTTCATTACTGATGTATAGAAATGCTACTGCTTTTTATATGTTGATTTTGTGTCTTTCAATTTTTCTTAATTTGTTTATTAAATCTAAGTGGTTTTCTGGTGGAGTCTTAAGGTTTTTCAAAATATAAGTTCATGTAGTCTGTAAAGAGAGATAACTTGACTTCCTCTTTTCCAATTTGGATGCCTTTTCTTTTTTTCTCTTGCCTGATTGCTCTGGCTAGGACTTCTAGTAGCAGGTTGAATAGGAGTGGTGAAAGTTGGCATCACTGCCTTGCTCCAGTTGTTTGAGGAAAGGCTTTCATATCTTCCCCATTCAGTGTGATATTAGCTGTGGGTTTGTCATATATCACCTTTATTACATTGAGTTATGCTTCTTTGATGCCTAGTTTGTTGCAAGTTTTAATCATGAAGGATGTTGTTGTGTCCTTGTCTGGTTTTGGTGTCAGGGTGATGCTGGCCTCAGAGAATGAGTTTGGAAAACCTCCTTCTTCTTCAAGTTTTTGAAGTAGTTTGAGGAAAATGTGTTTTAATTCTTAGCTATAAGTTTGGTAGAATTCGGCCATGGATCCGTCCAATCCTAGGCTTTTCTTTGTTGGGAAACTTTTTAAAATCAATCTTGTTACTTGTTTTTGGTCTATTAAGGTTTTCTTTTTCTTCCCTGGTAAGTTGTGTTAAAAGAAAATGCTTAGCTGAATTAAATTAAATAGTTTAACTGAGCAAAGAGTGATTCATGAATTGGGCTGCCTCCCAAGCCAGAGTAGGCTCAGGACTTCAACATAGCCATGTGGTGGAAGATTTATGAACAGAGAAAGGAAGGTGACGTACAGAAAATGGAAGTGAAGTACAGAAATAGCTGGATTGATTACAGCTCAGCCTTGGCCTTATTTTAACACAGTTTAAAAAATTGGCCGCCTTTAATTAGCCAAAACTCTGATTGTCACAAGAGTATGCTACTGTCTGTTTACAACTCCATTTAGGTTAGTTCATGATATACAGAGAAACCTTTAGGCCAGACTGCAAGGAGGTAGCTTTCAACTAAACTTGATTTAGAAGTTGTATGTGTCGAGGAATTTGTCTATTTCCTCCAGGTTTTCCAATGTATTAGCATACAGTTGTTCCTAATAGTCTCTGATGATCTTTTGTATGTTATCAGTGATATCAGTGATAATGCCACCTTTTTTGTTTCTGATTTTATTTAGGTCTTCTCTTTTCTCTTGGTTAGTTGAGCTAGCAGTTTATTGAGTTTCATTGATACACTATACATTATTTTTTGGTCTCTATTCATTTAGCTCTTCTACTAATTTTGATATTGGTTTGTTCTTGCTTTTCTAGTTCCTTGTGGTGTATCATTAGATATAGTTGGGTCATTTTTTAATCCACTCAGCCAATCTGTATATTTTAAATGGAAAATTTAACTTGTTTACATTTAAGGTTATTATTGGTATGTGAGGACTCTACTCATCTAACCAATATTGAATCACTGCAGCCTTTCAGGTAGATATGGAAATATGTCGATGTGGGTGTGTAGGGACTATTGGACCCCAGGGCAGGATGCAGTCTGGTGAGGACTGGGCTCTGAAAATGGCATTGTGCTACAGCTGCTTAGGACTCAGGGTGTAGTGAGGGTGGAAGCTTGTGTGAGCTCCCTCTCTGGAGCAATGCCATCACAAAATCTCCAGGTAGCTCCCTATGCTAGTTTCAGAGCCCATTAAGATTGAGGTGCTCTCCAGAGGGGCTAGGATTACAGAAGTCCACAGAGGGAATGTGGACTGCTAGGGGTCTCTTACTTACACTTTCCTTACACTGGGGAACCGCTCCTGGTTCCCAGACAATCCTGGCCAGGCTGGCTGCCTGCTTCCTTCTCCTTGCACACCTCAGGTGTTTCCTGTCACTTCTGTGTTAAATTCCTGTTTTCTCTATTAGATGTTCTATTTTACATAATATTTTGGTTATTCTTGTGGAGGAGGCAAGTGCTAGATGCCTCTAGTTATCTTGAAGCCCCTTGTCAATCTCTTTTTTTTTTTTTGTGAGACGGTCTTGCTGTCACCCAGGCTGGAGTGCAGTGGCATGATCCCAGCTCACTGCAACCTCCACCTCCCGGGTAAAAGCAATTCTCCTGCCTCAGCCTCCCTAGTAGCTGGGACTATAGGCACGTGCCACCATGCCCGGCTGTGTTTGCATTTTTAGTAGACACGGAGTTTCGCCATGTTGGCCAGGCTGGTCTTGAACTGCTGACCTCAGGTGATCCACCTGCCTCGGCCTCCCAAAGTGCTAGGATTACAGGTGTGAGCCACTGCACCCGGCCAATCTTTATTTTTATGAGTGTTTTCTATTATATTATTTTCAGATTCGTTTTAGTTTTTACTGCTTTGTATTTTTATTAGGACTAATATGTTATCTTTGATTGTTTAAGTTAGATGTTTACTTCACTGATTATTAGCTTTTTTACTTTTTCAATATATCTATTTCAAACTGTAAATTTCTCTCCAAACACAGCTTTAGCTACATCTCACAAGTTTTGATGTGCAGTACTTTTATCATCATTTACATCTACATTTTCTATTTTTCATTGTGATTTTTTTCCTTAACTCATGAATTACTTGGAAGTATGCTACTTAATTTCCAAATATATGGGAATTTTCTGGTTATTTTTCTGTGGCTGATTTCTTGCTCAACTGTATTGAAGTCAGTAACATGCTGTATGTTTACATTCCTTTGAAATATTTGAATCATAGTCTAAAATAGTGTCTCTTGTAAATAGCATATGATCTGAAAATATTTTTAATTGATACATTAATCTCTTTTTATTTAATGCAAGTACTGATAGTCATGGTTCAAGTATATTATTTTACTAATTGTTTTTCTGTTTGTTTTGCCCATTCTATTATTATTTTTCTCACACTTTACTTTCAAGTGCATTGATGGATTCACTTCTTTAAATTTTTTTATCATGGTAAATACATGTATCATAACATTTACCATCATAACCATTTTAAGTGTACAGTTAATGATATTAAGTACATTCATATAGTTGTGCAACCTTCATCACTATCCATCTCCAGAACTCTTATCTTGCAGAACTAAAACTCTATGCCCATTAAATAATAACTTTTCTGCTCTCCTCCCCTTATGCCCTTACAACCACCATTCTACTTTCAGTATCTATGATTTTCACTATTCTAGGTACCTAATATAAGTGGAATCATACATAATTTGTCTTTTTTGTGATTGGTTTATTTTACTTAGTATAATGTCCTTGAGGTTCATTCATATTATAGCATGTGTCAGAATTTCCTTTCTTTTTAAGACTGAATAATATTCCATTGTACATATATACCACATTTTTCTTATCCTTTCATCTGTCAGTGGACTCTTAGATTGCTTCTGTGTTTTAGTTAATGTGAATAGGTGCCATGAATATTGATGTACAAATATCACTTATAGATCCTGTCTTCAGTCCTCTTGGAGTATATTTCCAGAGATAGAATTGCTGAGTCTTATGGCAATTCTAGTTTTTTGAGGAACAGGCATACTGTTTTCCGTAACAGCTTCACCACTATACATTCCCATCAACAGTGTGCAAGTGTTCTAATTTCTCCTAAAGGATTGACGATTTCTTTATTCTTGCTTTCCCATCTATCAATATGAAATTTTTATATATGTTTACTTTTTTACACTTACTCTAGAAATTGCAATGTACATTCTTGACAAATTTAAATCTAACTTGATACATTCACCATCTTCCAAACAAAGTAAATAACTTGCAACGCTTTAATCCAAGTGCCTAAGCCCCACATTATATGCCATTTTTATTTTATATGTTAATTCTTTGTATTTTAAACTTTGTAAGACATCATTATTATTACTATAGTATTATGCAGTCAATTTCCATTTAGATTTACATATATTTTAGAATTTTACTATTTTTATTGTTCCTTGTTCTTTTCTGAATCTCAAAGCTCCAATTTAGATTTTTCTTCTATTTTCCCTGAAGAATACCCTTGACTTTTTTTTTTTTTAACTGTGAATGTGAGTCTGGTGGTCATCACTTTCTTGGCCTATTTTTGTTTTCTGAAAGATATTTTCATCAACTGTGGAATTTTTTATCAGCAATTGTTTTCATTTTAATACTTTAAAGAATTAATTCCATTGCTTTCTGGTTTGTTTTTTATTTTGTTTTGTTGTTGTTGTTGTGAAGAATTCAGCTGTCAGTCTAATTACTGCTTCTTTGAAGACAACCAGCATTTCTTCTTCAGCTACATTAAAAAATTTTTTTTTTCATCTTTAGTTTTCTGGATTTCTTTTCTTTTTAAAAAATTTCTTAAGTATTCTTTTCTTTTCTTTTTATTGCTTGGGGTTTGTAGGGCTTCTTAAATCTTTGGCTTACTGTCTTTTATCAGTTGCCTCTGCCCCATTTTTTTCTTCTCTCCTCTTAGACTTTGATTAAACATATGTTAGCCCTTCTCATGGTATTCCTTGTGTCTCTTACCCTCCCTTCTGTATATTCTAATCTTCCACCTCTCTGAGCGTGGATGTCTAAAGTTCTCAGCCGCTCAGCCTCACTGTGGCCTCTTTCTAAATTTAGCAATTCTAGGGGAAAATAATCTCTAACCACTGCCTCGCTGAACTCAGCCTCACCCCTGTTTTCATCCATTTTGCTCGGCTTTCTCTCTGTCTTGTTTCAATTCAAAAGAATTCAAGTAAATGTTTCTTTTTTATATATTATCCAAATTTTTTTTCTCAGCAAAATGATGGATTGGATATATCTCAACCATCATCACTTTGTGCCTACAGTATGTAAAAGAAAAATTAATACATTCTTAAGCAATACATTCCCACAGGCTGAATCATCTTCCTCAACTTTGAGAAGACATACACATCAGGAAACTGGAAAACCATCTAAATTGTATTTTTTGGTTGATGCCCTTGGTTTTTTGCATTAGACCTAATGACTACAATCTGAAATAGTAGAGGCAAATGTATCCAACTTTTCATAAAATTGTAAAATAGGTGAAGTTGTTTTTAGTGCCCTTTTGGATTATCTCCTCCAATGTCCACAGTTGTCAATTATGTCAAAGAAGGTTGGAGGAGGTACCTTGGGTCAAGCCAATTTTCTTTTTTCTCTGCATATAAGGACATTAATGGATTAGAATACCAAATGTGGGGAAAGCTTCAGAATTAATAATTTATTGAATAATAGTCATTAGAACTTCAAGGTATTGTAGACTTGTGAAATAATATTTTTGATGTTTCTTTCCATTGTTCCTTCAAATCACATCACTTAAGTAAATGCGTCAGTCCATTCCTAAGAAAAAGTACTATCTTTTAACAGCAGGAGTAAGATTAGGATGATGCCAATTAGGAAGTAATAGTAGCCAATGATTATTGAACATTTACTATATGACCAGTAATGTGCTGTATCCTTTATGCACTGTCTTATTTCTTTTTCACAAAAACCCAATGACAGCTTGGCAAAGTCACTCAATTCCAAAATGTCATAGCCAAGATTCAAACCCAAACCATTGACATTTGAGTTCATGCTTTATGTACAGACATGAAGAGTGGGAGCATGACTTCTTAAAATTATACATTTTTTTGAAAGCTTTAACTCTTCAGTAGTCTATATTTTTTGGTAATTGTATTAATAAGTTCAGGCTACTCAATCTACTCAATATTTGTTTTAAGTGTCTCAGTTAATCAAGTAATAGCTAGACCACTGCATTCTGTGTGCTAATTTCTAAACTTCAGACAGTAGACAGATGATAGAGGATGACATATTGGAAGCCAGAATTTATAGAGCCAGAGAAGAACTCCTGGAAAAAGTAAAGTTAAGCCCTGTGGCCAATTCACAATCAAGGATGATAAAGGAGTTCTTGGTCACAGAGTAAGCAGAAAGGCAAAGTCAACCATTGAGACAGAGTTGACCTCTCCTTCCTCAGCAATTCCCCTGAGCCCTTTCATGCTCATTTTTCTTGATATTTATTTAACTGTATTTATATGTCTGCTTTCCCTGCTATTCAAGAACTTCTGGATAGCCAGGACATTAACTTATTCCATTTTGATATTCCCAGCATTTGCCATGGTACCAGGTACATAGATACCGTGAATGGATGAATGGAAAAAGAGAAAAAGGAAGAAAAATACTTCAGATACTTAGGGATCATGAAATAATCTTCTACTGTAAAATTATTCTCTTCTTTAGTGGTAGAATACACAGGGACTAGAGGCTTAAAACTGGCTTCATTACAACCTGGAACATCCTGACATCAAGGTAGCTATTTTTATATTAAAATGAAACAAGAGGATCTTTTAAAAGGAAAAAATATATATACCCATTTTTGCCAATATAAAGATCTCTAAATTAAATTTCCAGTAGCAATTAGTTTTTATGTCACTGTCTTTTCATTTAAAAAAAAGCTATTTTTGGAAGAGATAGAGGAAGCTTTTAGAAATAATGAAGTCCTTACAGGGAGGGAAACATCACACACCAGGCCTGTTACGGGGTGGGGACCTGGGGGAGGGATAGTGTTAGGAGAAATACCTAATGTAAATGATGAGTCGACGGGTGCAGCACACCAACATGGCAAATGGATATCTATGTAACAAACCTGCACGTTGTGCACATGTACCCTAGAACTTAAAGTACAATTTTTAAAAAAAGAAAAGAAATAATGAAGTCCACTCTTTGTCACAGCTCATCTGGATAGCTGATCATCCACAGCTTCTCACAAGGATTTCCCAAGACAACATTCTATACTTTTAAACCTTGTGCTCTTGACCTGAACCTGAAAATTATTTCTATTAGCCTGGCTAAATACTCCTACTCCAAGCACTATAAACTAGACTAAGTTTCTCTACAAATACACATGTTCCTGACTATTTGAACAGCACTTCCTCTCTTGAGAAGACAGTGACTTTTGTATGGACAAGTTGACTGGTTAAGTCTGTACCACTCTAACTTCTTTAAAATAGCATAAAGTGCTATATTTTCAACATTTGAAAATGAGAAATTTACATTTCTGATTTAAGTGTTGAGATACTCTTCAAAGTAGTGACAATACAGAACAAGACAAATTATTCTGTGCTGCCAGAAAACTCCTATAGCTAATGATTGAGGGGAAATCAAAATGGTGACCCAGTAGTTTATGTAACACAAAGGGAACAAGAGACCATGTATCTTAAAGTGTTTATGATCATCAGTGGTAATGCTGATATCCTAGAGTATAAATTCTCTGACTGCAAAGAGGATCATGCTCCCCAAAAGATTTTAAAACTAATATAAATAGCTTTTAATCTACAGGTAAAATTTACTTTTGCTATAAATGAGAGCGTGTAATCAGGACAAAGTTATCAAATAGTCATAGCATTCTCCACCCACCCAGTCCCATTCTCTAAGACTCAATGCTAAGATAGATTTTAAATCAAGAAGAAACTCTCATTTTATTCTAGGTAATTTGGACAACGTTACTGTGGTTTGTCAAAATGAACATTGAGATGAACATCACTATAAGGAGATGGTGAAAATCACAGGTTAAGGAAGCACAGAGTAATAACCAAGCCAAGTCAGAAAAATATTGTGTGCTTACACATGTGCAAACCTGCAGTATTGCACAACTCCAAAGCCGTAAGAATACCTCTGGAAATATAATGATGAAAACATTAAGTATGATAATACTTCTCAAAGAATAATTGTGCCTGCTGGAATTATGCAATGCATTTCACCTAAGAGCTATGCCTAGTGAGGATATATGAAATTAATGTGGATGGGAGGCAGGGAAATATTAGGCAGAGAAGGGCAGGGTCCCTAATGAAGCCCCAACCTCAAGCCTGGACCTGCAGCCCAAAGTAAGTACATGCATTCTTGTTTTCCCACCTGAATGTTGTCTTTTCTAAAACCACCCTGGCCTGGCCTGCCGCCCATCCTGCATCCATAAAAACCCCATGCTCCACTGGCAGTAGGGTAGCAGAGGAGGAGAGAAGAGAAGCAGCAGCAGGACATCAGAGAGGAGCAGCTTGACTTCAGAGGGACAGCTTGCTGGGGGGACTTCGGAGAACAGTTTGGCTGGGGATGGCTAAACTCCAGGGGAAGACCACTTTCCCACTTCTTCCCCTTTGCAGCTCCCCAACACACTGAGAGCCATTTTCATCAGCAATAAATCCTCCACTTTTATCATCTTCAATTCGTTCGTGTGACCTGATTATTTTTGGACGCCAAACAAAAGCTCGGGATATGGAGGGCTGTCACTCTGAGCTATTAAACACTTAAGCCATCCATGGGTGGCAAATCTAAAAGAGCACACTGTAACACAAGCCCTCTGTTGCTCCGGGGATCAAGGATACCCCCCTAGATGCTGCTGTGGGGTGGCACAAAATTCTACTCCTGCCAGTGCCCAGAAGCACTCATCCTGGCCCCTGCACTCACTCACCTGCATGCTCCCCCTCCCATGAGGGTCTAAGAACAGTGGGCTGAATAAATGAGCTAACCCCTTCACAAGTCCCATGAAAGGTCAAGGGAACTATCTCTTTCAAAATCATGGTCAAGACAGTAAATGTTACATCTAAAAGGAAAAAGAGTAAGAAGAGTGACAAAATCAAAAGTTCAATAAATGCAGTTGATATTGTAGACATATTGGAACATTGTTACACTGCAGTAGCGATTGCTGGTTTGTCCAGTGTTATAGTGGCTCTGATAACTCTTTAAAGCAAACCCTTAAAATTTCTAGCAAACTCTAAAATTAAAAAGGGTGAGAACAATTGAATTTTAGCAAAGAACTTCCTTGGTGTATCAAAATCAGTAACATCCTTGGGCTATGTAATTTAAGGAAAGACCAAAGACTCTTCTGCTCAAAATGTCACCTAAGTCAGCCTACTTTCATACCATTTCACCATGAAGGCCCATCTTCAGTTTCAACATTAAAGGACCCTTTAATAGTAAAGGGATTGCTTTTTGCCCATTCTTTATTTCAGTAGCTTTGTTTCAAAAAAAAAAAAAAAAGGGAAAACATTGAGAAGGATTTACAAATACACATATAATACTGCAAAAGAACATAAATTGGGTATGGCAAGAAAGTGAGGCAATGGAAATATAATGATGAAAACATTAAGTACAATAATCTTCCTCTTGGAAAAGGTCGATCAATTGAGCCATGGTAAGCCATTAGTATCTGAGGGCAAATTAACTGGTCATCATTAAGGTATACAGGATAATTTCAGCTAGGGGTTGTCATGAAAGGTTGAGAAAGATTGGGGAAACCCAGCATGGGGAACCCAATCATGCAAGAACAGTCATCTCAGGTCAGAAATCACAGGGGGGCAAGACTTGAGACACAGAAAGACATCATAAGGGTTCTTAAATCCTGAAATAAATGTAAGAAATGAAATAATCAAGTTAGATATCAAAGTAAAGTTGTTATTTGGTGGGTGAGGGGGCTCCAGGATCATTTTGCAGAACAAGCTGTAACTATTGTCAGCTCACCAATAGATCTTCCACTGCATTACACAAATACAAGCTCCTTTGTTCTCCCACCAAAAATTCCACTTCTAAGGAATTTGTGCCCTACGTGGAGCGCACAAATATACAATCAGTGTGGTCACAACGTGTGGGCTCCCTTGGGGAGAAGGGTTAGGATAGAGAAAGAAGAATTTGTAAAAGAGAACCTGTAATAAAAACCCAAATGATACAGAGCCCTTGAAATGTTTAGTTCACTAACTTGTAAGGGCAACTGATAAATTTCTTCCTGCTACTGATGATTGTTGGGCCTCTTCTTTTGCTTTGTAATATCCTATACAAACAATGTGATGATCTGGTCCCTGTTTACCCCTTTAGGCTTATTTCTTGCATTTCCCTGCCCTATCACTTACCCACATTTTCTTAAGTCTGTGCCTTTGCACACACAGTTCCTTCTGACTAGAATACCCAATCTTTTTTGTCTTCCTGGATAGCTGTTATTTAATCTTTATTATTCATTCCTAGAATCATTTCCATTTCCCCTGACCTTTTCAAGCAAAGCAGATGTCCTTCTGTGTACATTATTAGTTGTGGCAAAATTCTCTATAGCATTTATCATTTATCTGTGTTGTAAGTGCTGGTTTATTGGCCTAAAAAACTTGATTTTAAGGACTATGTCTTACAAATTTCCACACCTCTACTTGTAGCATATACCGCAGTATCTGTCACATAACATTTGTGGCATGGATAGTTGTTAAATAAATTCATAATGTCCTAGTTTGTAATTTATCTGTATTACACTTTAGCCTTGCTCCTTCTAATTATAAATTAAGGAGCATTCACACATACATATACACACACCTAACACTCATTTGTTACCTATATCCAAATCACAAACCCATATTGGTTACTTTGAGGAAACTTTCAAACACACACTAATTCCAAGCATGCTGAGCAGTTTTGTGTACATTTCAGTCACATAGGGCATTCTTATATCTTGTCCCTAAAGTCTGTAGCCTATATTGTTGAAGACTGTAGGTTTCTATCTGCTAACTGTACAGCAAATCGTTGGGCCTAGTCCTCAATCTTTTCATTGCTATTATTGCTGCAGGCACTACTTCATAATATTGTAATTGAAAACAAATGACAATGCTTTAACAGTATTCATTTATCAAAAATTTCAACATATAATGGGTATAAAAATTAATTAGAAAGAATGAATAAGACCTAGTATTCAATAGCACAACAGTGTGACTGTAGTCAATAACTCAATAGTATATTTAAAAATAACTAAAACAGTGTAATTGTAATGTTTGTAAGAA
Source organism: Homo sapiens (assembly GCF_000001405.40). Taxonomy (NCBI): domain Eukaryota; kingdom Metazoa; phylum Chordata; class Mammalia; order Primates; family Hominidae; genus Homo; species Homo sapiens. Next base: position 157,239,768 of record NC_000002.12, read on the forward strand.
AAAGGATAAATGCCTGAGGGCATGGATACTCCATTCTCCATAATGTGATGATTTCACAGTGCATGCCTGTATCAAAACATCTCATGTACTTCACAAATATATACACCTGATGTGTACCTATAAAAATTAAAAATTGAAAAATTAAAAAGTAATTTCAGCATAAAGATAATAATAGCCATGGCTGTTAGTTGCTAACATTTTATAAGCATCTACTATATAGCAGACACCAAGTTAAGTGATTTTACCCTCTTCATCTCTTGTTTTCACAACTCTAACAAAATAGGCTTAAAGTCCCTAACTTGCATGTGAGGAAACTAAAGCTGAGTGAAGACGCTGGGGTGCCTTAGTCACATCACAAGAAAATAATGGGGTTGAGATTTGAGTTTGAGATTTGGTGGTCTCAAACTCTACTTTTTATTACACCAGACTACCTTCCTGTACAGAACTTTTTACAAATGTGGTTCTCTATTCAATGCTTTTGTGTCTTTGCTAACAAGGAATAAATGAGTGGTGGGTACTCATATTTTTTATGTGATTAAATCTTTAATACACAAAACACAAAAGAATTAAGGCAAGAGAAAATAACGCAGATCAAAAGAAAATAACCCAGATCATTACTGTATAAACTAATGTAACAGGAGCACTTTAGGCAAGTTAGTAGTAGCCTGAGTAGGCCAATCACACTGCCACAAAGGACTGTCAGCTTTGTTTTCTAGGTTGAGCTACCTCAAAGGCAAACAAACACAAATCGATAAATGAAATTCTTCGTAAAGTCGAATTCTGGTAACCCACCTATTGGTGTTGTGGGTGGGGGTATAAATGAGAGAAAGGCTGTAATTTAAAGTTTGTTTTTATGGACCCTGACTTTCTCAGATATTATTATGATTATTATTTTATAATCCCAATAGTATATTTCTGAGTCCTTAATAAACTGTACTTTTTAGAGAATTTTTAGGTTCACGGCAAAATTGAGTAGAAAATACAGAGTACCAATGTATTCCCTGTCCCCAAATCCTGCAGTGAGGTGGTAAGTTGAGCACTCATATTTTAACCCTCTTCCTGTTTAGAAACAAAAAAGTGCTGCTCTCTGCCAGCGCTCATTTAATTTTACATAAACATGCTCTTTGAGGCTGAAGCAAATCTGACTGATTTTCAATGTGAAACTAAAATATAAAAACTGTTCTTGGAGTTATTTCTAAACAGAACTAACATCAGAATCGTCTGAATCATCAGAATCATCTATTTCAGAAAACTCAGATTCATCAAATGAATCTTCGGCCAACAACCGTTCGTGAACAATGTTAACATCACACATAGGAATGCTACGTTTTCTAGGATTTGACATTTTCAGCAATCAAAAATTACTATATTTTGTAAATGGAAATACCACTACTAAAAACAGAATGCTGTAAATAGAATGATGTCTTTTGTGTCCAAAATTGATACATTAGAATGATGCAAAAACAATAAGTAAAGTGAGATATTTCAATGCAAAGTTGTCTTAGGGTAAACGCTGCAGCCACAAGCTCGCCAGCAAGTATTCTTGGGGCAAACGGAAAAAGGGTAAATAAGTTGTATCTCCTTCTTCTCCATGGGACTTTTCAGTGCTAATTCTAGTTCCCTAAAAACTTATTAAGACACATAGAAACTCTGAGATACTCAACATGTAATATGAATCCCAATATCCCATTCCCAGTCATTTCAGGAAAATCAAAATCATAGCTGACATTTGCTGAATATGCCTTATGCATCTGAGCTTTTCTAAGCACTTGACCCATATGAAGTACTTTAATCCTTAGAACAAATAGTGAAAAATGCATGAGTATACATATTTTAAAAAACTGTGAGATGTCTCCTGCCTTTCCATGTAATTTATGGCATCCAGCATATGCAGGTTACATGAGCCAGATGTTCATCAACGAATGTATCCACGAATGGCAGGAAAAGGTTTAACACTTCTCAATATGTATTAGTAGAAAAATTTAATAATCATATCATGGGGGAATCATATGGTTCTGTCCACATGTTGCATATGTACTTGCATTTCCCTCCAAATGAGTTGGTCAAATGGGAAAGAGAAAGCATTTAAACAGATGGGACAAAATCAATTGGAAATACTCTTCACCATACAAAGCACACACTATTATGAAGAATCTTAACTCTGTTTTCATAAAATAAATTAAAAATGAAAAGCAAACAAGCTAATGTTGGTGATTTTTTATAAAAGCAATTTCTATGGCATTACAATGTTTTAACAGATTCCATTTAATCAGATGTGCCTTTTAGAACTGACTTATGACAGAATGATCATTACAGTCTGTGATTATGTACTTGGATTGTGGCAAAATCTTGAAATGCTTATTAAATCAATCTTTTAAAAGATAAAATAATATTCAGTATCAATGTAGGATTAAGAATGGTCCGTTGTATGAAGCTTGAACCTTATCAAGCCCAAGGAATTAAAGAAAAAACTTTTTCAAAATTCCACAGCCTCCCACATATTGTAAATGCATGTATTGTGCCTACTTATTAAGCAAATACATGTGACAAAAATCCTAGGACTTACATTTTATTATTACAAATGCATCTGTCTGTGTGTCTGTGTGTGTGTGTATGTAGATTAGGGGAACGGTTGGGTATATAATCATGTGTCATTTAACAACAGAGATATGTCCTGAGGAATGCATCTTTAGGTAATTTTGTCATTGGGTGAATATCATACAGTGTATTTACATGAACTTAGATGGTATAGCCTACTACACACCTAGGCTATATGGCATAGCCTATTGCTCCTAGGCTACAATCCTATACAATATGTAACTATACTGAAAATTGTAGGCAATTGTAATACAATGATAAGTATTTGTGTATCTAAATATATCTAAAATCGAAATGATACCACAAAAAAAATTGTATAAAAGATAAAAAATGGTATACCTGCATGGGGCACTTGCCAGGAATGGAGCTTGCAGGACTGGAAGTTGTTCTGTGCCAGTAAGTGAGTGAATTATGAGTGAATATGGAGACCTAAGCTGTTGCTGTACACTACTATAGACTTTGTAGACACTGTACACTTAGGCTATGCCAAATTCATTTTAAAATTTCTTCAATAATTAACCTTAGCTTACTATAACTTTTTAACTTTATTAGTTTTTAAATTTTTTAACTTTTTGAACTTTTTGTAATAACACTTAGCTTAAAACATAAACACATTGTACAGCTGTACAAAAATATTTTCTTTCTTTATATACTTATTCTAAAGTCTTGTTTCTATTTTCAAAATTTTTTGTTTTACTTTACAAACATTTTGTTAAAAACTAAGACACAACACACACATGAGCCTAGGCTTACACAGAGCCAGGATCATCCATATCACCATCCTCCACAACCACGTCTTAACCCAGAGGAAGGTCTTCAGGGACAAGAACACACATGAAGCTTTTATCTCCTATGATAACAATGACTTCTTCTGGAATTCCTCCTGAAGGACCCACCTGAGACTGTTTTATAGTTAACTTTTGTTAATGAGTAGAAGTACACTCTAAAATGATGATAAAAACTATAGTATAGTAAATATGATAATAAATTATAGTAAATATAACTTTACTACAGTGAATACATAAACCAGAAACATAATCACTTATTATCATTATCAAGTATTATGTACTGTACATAATTACATGTGCTACAATTTTATATGACTGGCAGCACAGTAGGTTTGTTTACACCAGCATCCCCACAAACACATGAGTAATGCATTGAGCTGTGAAGTTAAGATGGCTGTAATATCACCAGGCAATAGAAATCTTTCAGCTTCATTATAATTTTATGGGACCATCGTCATATATGAGGTCTGTTCCTCACCAAAGTATAGTTATGTGGTATATGACTATATGTTTGCTTATGTGTGAGGAAGACAAAAAGAACAAGGCAAATTAATTTTATCTGCCAAAGCTTACGTGTGTTCATGTGATATCACAAAAGCTTCACAACATCAAGGGGTCCATAAGCTGCACTTTCTTAAGTACTGGTTCATTACTATCTAGTTCCCTAAAAAATCAGTTAAAGCATGTAGAGACTTTCATACACTCAGCACATAAGATGAGTCCAAGTAGTCCATTTCCAGCCATTTCAGAAAAATTAAAATCATAGATGACACTGTTGAATGTGTTTTATGTGTCTGTGCTTTTCTAAGCACTTGACTCATACTAATTCATTTAATTCTGACAGTAATGTGAGGTTGGTGTTCTTATTACCCTTCATATTACAGAAGAGAAAACAAACACCCAAAAAGCTTAAAGTATTTATCCAAGATCCCAAAGCTAAAAATGGCAGAACCAGGATTCAAACCCAGACAGTCTGTCTCCACAGCCTTTCCCTAGTGTTCCTCAATGGGGCCCTGTTATGTAGGGTAGTATAATACATGATTGGATGGCACTGACATGCATATTGCAGGACATAGAGCATTCCTCCCCTTTTGCCATTAATTACTACTAGCACCCACTAGGCATCGTGACAACAAGAAGTGGTACCTAACTTCCAGCATTTCCAAACATCTGAGGGTCTATTCACCTACTCACACATTCTCTCTGTTTCTATCCCACCCCTCCACACACACACAAACACATACACAATCCAGTATACATACATGCATTCACATACTCACACACAGCCAAAATTTGAAGTGAAAATTAAAAGTTAACTGAGTTCAAAGTTTTCCTTTCTCTATTCTTTTTTCTTCCTTGTTGCTTTCTTGACAAACATTGCCTTTACTCCATCCTTATATCTAGAGGGCATGGGGAGGAAGAAGAAAAGAAAAGGAAAAGATAATAGAAACACAAAAATTAAAGGTAAAGAGAAAAGGAGGAAGAATAGAAATCAAACAGAAGGCAAAAAAATAGATATCTATAGGAACTATTGAGATAGGAGTTTTCTGCTCCTAAGTCACTGAATGAAGTAAAAGCAATCAGTAAATCAAAACCATTATCTGACTTGCCTTGCCTCAAAACTCATTTATGTATTTCAGAGAACCACTGAATTTCAGAATGGAGCTGGTCCAGCTAATGCTGTAGTCCAAACCCCCACCTAATGGAAGAATACCCCCTACCGTTTCTGTGACAGATGGCCATTCATCCTCTGCCACATGTCATTTACAAGAGCAGGCATATCGTTAACTACTTTTAGAAGAAATACACGTGTCTTTTGTTTAGTACTAATTGTTAGAAAGTCATTCTCATTTAGAACAGAAATCTGCTATGCTCCAGTCTCAGTTCTCTCTTCTGGAACCATACGGAATGAGTTAAACCCTTCTTCCACAGGATATTCCTCTAAAATTTTGAAGTGGTTATTATGTTGCTCCTGAGTCTCCTCCTACCCAAAATAAACATATGCAAAACATATGATCTGCCCTCCAAAAGGTAGTATACCTGGTAGTGTATGGCCAATGTCCTCAAAAGGCCTGTTTCATTTCTTCCCGAGTAGTAAATTTTTTCTTACAGAGCTCAAAGTCAGCACCTCTGGTGTGTATTTGTGTGGGTATGCTCTGTGAACTCTACATATATACATATGTATAAATATGAATATGCACACACAAACGAAGCACACATGGAGTTTGTACATTTGTATATAAATATGTAGACACAAATGTGTATATCCATGTAAAATATGCACATTGCTCCTCTTTCCTTCTCTTTCAAGTGCTCCTTTCTTGTGTGTTTTCAGGCCAGCCCCAATACAACCAGAGCTCACCTATTTTTAGGTTTATTTCATCCCTCTGGAACTGAGTTGGGTGCTTTCAAGTTCTATGTACATTTTTTAGCTTAACCAGGAGTGGATGCTTAACAAACCCTTTTCTCCTGTGTGCCCAGCCCTGAGTATTAATCCTCAGCTTCCAAGAGTAAGAAAAACACTCAAGCACACGGCATCACAAGACCTGAATGCCTCTGAAAGTATGTGATAACAGCAACGAAGTTGAGATCCTGGAATAACCAAACCTGACATTAATCTGAACCCATTTTTCTTTTCCTCTCTTAGTTTGATTTCTAATTAGGTATTGCTTCTGCCTTTTTCTCTGTTTATCACTTACCCATTTCCTACCCTATTTTCAGAGGAGAGAAATAAAAACTTTTCTTTGATATTGAAGGAAATGTCCAAAGGGTCCTGAGTTCAAGTCTCTTTCGTTTCTCTAACTGTAGTCTGAGTTTCACACTTCACTGCCTTTGCAAGCCTCAGATGGAAAGGTTATTTCCAGGTTATGATAACATTATTGGATCCAAAGTCATTGTCATCATTTCATTCCACAGAAAGTTATTTTGCACTTTCCCCTGGGAGCAGGAATTGAATTGGTGGGGAGCAGGGCAGGGGGAGATCTGAAACAGCTTCCAGCTTTTTCAAAAAGATTTTCATTTCATCCCACTTCTTCACAGCACATGAAAAGAGCCCTCAAATGCCCTACATAGCACCTGCTGTCTGCTCCTCCCACAAGACTTCTTTTTCTACTCCTCTCTTCTTCCTTCTCTTTTCTTTGCTATAATGGAGGCCATAAAGAGGACAGGATCATTTCAGGGGGATGGATGAGAAGAGGAAGGAGAGTCAGGATCAGAGGACAGGACCCGTTCTGAGGGCATTCCCAGGGCAGCACCTGGGAGGCTGCAGGGCAGCAGTAAGTTGGATAGGGGTTGCTGCTCGGATGGAGGTTGTCAGGGCCAAGGGTAGGGGACCCAGCACTCATGTTGTTCTGCGTGACAACTTTGCTTAGGCCGAGCCCTACAGAAACTCGCTCAGGTCTTTGTTCTCTTAACTCAAGCTTTGCATATGAATCACTGAAACTTTTAAATGAGTGATTCAGAGAGCAGCTGAAGATTTAATTCAGTTTCTGCCAAAAGAGACCACGGAAGGATTTTTATATCATTACTAATAGATTTTCAAAGGGCAAAGTCCTAACATGCCTGCAGTTGTTAAAGAATGTCTCTTTCTACAAATAAAATCAACAACAAAAATCTCTAGTGCCTTCTTTTTATTCTCGCCTGTAGAATTTCTCCTAATGCTTTTAGATACGGCAATTCCACTTTCTAAAATCCTTTCATGATATCCCCTTCTTTCCACGTTTGTCAGAAATCATTACTCCATATCTGCTTCCCTGTCACCTTTTATCACTCTGTCTCAGGAATGCTGTGGGAGTGTCCACATGCCTTCTTTGTTCTACTGTCACTCATTGTGTTTTCTCCTTGCTTAGAGGCATTGGTTAAAATGCCAGCAGGACTCTCGAAGCTCTCTGAGAAGTCCTTACTCTTGTTCTGAGGTAGCACATTTCTTTCTCCTCTTAACAGCTGATTCCAAACTTTACCAAGTGCATCCAACCCCTACCCACTGTTAAATAAAATTTATAGGAAGTCATTGAGTTGGACTGAGCTCCTGAACTAGGCCCCAACCGACCAAATCAAAATGGAATCACTCGTGCTAAAGTTCCTTGGTACCAAACTAAAAAAGTTGCTTATTTCACCTTTCAGGAAATCAGGAGAGAAAGACCATTGCCAAGTATCCAAACAGGCCAGTTTTAGCTGGTAGAGTCAGGAAACATCCTTTTAACCCTGCAAGGAAAGTAACCTGAAGTAACCTGATGGTAACCCATCTGCTTTTTGTATTATGCTATATGTTTGGTCCTGCTTAGACTGTCCTATAAAAACGAACTGTTCTACCATGCCCATCAGAGCACCTTTTCTAAATTTGTGGAGGAGATACTGCCCCAATTCCTGTTAAATCTTTAAACTAAATTTGTTACAGTGTTGTCTTTTGACATCACTCACCCTCAACTCTTCACTGTTCACCATTAGTCTATCTCGTACTTCTCTGAGAAAATCAGAAGTCACCAGGCCCGAACTCTGAACTTTGCTTTCTTCCACTCATTTTTATCTGTCCTGGAACTGGAACAATTTCAAAACAAAAGGTGTCTCTAATCTTTTTTTACAATTAAATTATAAGCCTGTATTTGTAAACTCATTTCTTGTCTCCTCTGGTGACACACTTTTATCTGATTAGGCCGTATCCACTCTCTTTATAGTATCAAAGCCCTCACCGTCATTCGTAGAAAGAACCCCTGGCACAATCTTGACTCTAGACCTGGAGTCTGGAGCTCCTACCCAACTCTGCTCCAAAAATATCATATTTTATAAAGATTTTCTTCAAACAATACTGTAATTGAAGCCTATAGGCCTTCATTTTAAATGTTATACAACTCAATGATAACATAACAATTTGAATGTAGAGGCAATGGGACGAACTCTAATTTTGAGAGTGGCTTCCATTTAAACGTTTTAAAAGCATTGATGGGTACTTTGCACCTGGGGAACAGAGTAAGAAGGGCATCTGGCTGGGCCCATCCAGGGAGCACACAATGGCCTGCTCTCTTTAACAGCCTAAGGCAGCACTGCACAAACCAGAGAGTCTGCACTGACCTTGTGGAGACCAGAACTGCAGCTCCTTCTTAGGACCAAAGAAGTAGGGACCTCATTTCTTGAGGATCTACAAGCTGTAATAATGGCATCGTCCACTTTTTTCCTGCTTGGAATAGTAAGAAACTAAAACACTGCACTCGTTTTTTGGTCCAGGAATTGTCCTTATTCTTTCCTTAGGTTTTTGTTTTTTAAAAAACAGCTTTATTTAGGTATAATATATACACAATAAAGTGCACATTTCTAGGGTGTACAATTGAATACATTTTGATATTGTGTCCATACCTATGAAAGCATCACCAGGATGAAGACAGTAGACACACCTCCATCCTTAAAGGTTTCTTCATGTCCCTAAATGATAAGAAAACCAATCCATTAACAAATGGATCAAAAATTTGAAGACGTAATTCACCAAAGAATGTAGACAGTTGGCAAATAAGCACAGAAAAATCTGCTCAAAATTGTTAGTCATTAGGGAAATGTAAATTAAAACACAAATAGATACCACTATATACCCACAAAAATGACTACAATTAAAAAGTTAAGTGTTACTGAAAATGTGGGGAAGTGTCAGTGGGAATATGAAATGATACAAGCACTTTGGGGACATTTTGGCAGTTTCTTAAAAGTTAAACACACCTTAGGTTTAGAAACAGAGGGCATAGCTTGTATATTTGTGCCTTACGTGCACTTTAAGAGACTGTGTCTTTAATGAAGACCCACTCTATTAGTAGAAATGATCCCTCTTCCAGTCTTCCCTCTTGATCTAGAAAAATATCTTAAATAGACTAACATGTACAATTAAAGTTCAGATTTTATTCCATGTGTGATTAGACTGTTCAAAAGAAGGGCAATAAATATGTAGCACTTATGTTAATTGGTCTCCCAGCCTGCAGCTTGCTTACTACCAATTTATTCTTCATACACCCACCCGCTCTCTATCCAAAACCCTGAGAGTATCACACTCCAACTTTAAAAAGCTTCTAGCCCTTGAACAGTAAAAATCCAAAATCTTGAACAAATACAACAGAAGCTCAGCCAACAATCTTTACCTCGTTGCTTGCCAATCTACTGTAAAATCTAGTACTATCAAACAAATCTTAATTATCCATTCATATTATTCTCATGCCTTCCTCCCTCAATGTTTTGAGCCTGCTTTTACCTCTGCATAGACTGCTTTTCCTAAATTACCCTCTCCCTATTCATAAGAGGAATTCACACTCAGTCATCACCCCCAGGACACCTTTCCAAACACCCCTCCAAATAAGCTATTCCAGTTTTCTTATTTTAATATTAATATGCTTCTGCTGCTGAACCTGTGAGCCTCAATGTATGGTTGGTGGTCCAACTCTATCAGAATCATTATCTACTCCAGTTAAAATCCAGATTGCTAGGCCCTACAACCAACCTTGAAATCTCTGAGGGGAGAACGTCAGAGTCTATATTTTAACAACACTTCCTCATGAAATGTTTGATGGACACACATATAAATGAAAACAACTACACTAAATTATGGGCTTTGGCTTCTTTATTTTCCCAAAGCTTAGCACAGGGCCTAGTCTAGTATGTGGTCGGTACTCCATAAATATTTTTTAAATATGCACCTAGTTACAAAATCTTCATTTATTTCAAATACAACATATTTAAATTTGAACTTTTCTTTTCTCTCAAACTATCATTTTCCCCCTACCATTCCTGTTTAAGTTACTGAAGTTCTTACAGAGCCACCCTGAGCTATTTTCTCTTTTTATCCCCAAAGCTATAATTAACCAATACTAATAACTCAGTTAATTAAGATTATGAGTTGCCAGTTTTGGGCTCATTGACAATATGTCCTTCAGGAACCTGCTCACTTTCTCCATTTTAATGACTAGCACAGTTCTTTGTCCAAGGAAGATACTCAATTAATGTTTTGCTTTTAAATTTATTAAATTTTTCCTAATTAAACTAAAATATTTTTTAAGTAAAAATTGGCTAGGGACCTGTAAAGTAGTATAGCACAAATGTTGGCTTAGCCTCACTACTCAAAAATCAATGAAAACTGAGGTCTAAACACAATAAATTGTCTTTCAATAATAGGGTTCTTGTTTTTTTAAACTTAGGCTTAACCAATTATGATTTATCACTAATACAGGCAACCCTTTTCAAGAACAAATGTGTAAAGGGTATACTGATTCTCTTGGTCTTAGGAAATAAGGTCATTTGTTAGTCAGCTTCCAAATTTTATTTAAAAAGAGACATACACCAATGTTTAATGACTGCCAGAAGTTGTAACTATTCATCTTCATTGGAAGAATTAGTTAAAATGGAATAATATTTCCATTTGTATTTTTACTCTACCTGTTGATATTGCAATAATGCCTGCCTTTTAGTATATGATTTTAAAACTTTTCTTTCCTTTTATGGATTTGTTTCACAGGATGTTATTATCCAGTTGATTACAACTTGTCTCTTCTCTAAAAAAGAGAAAGAGAGAATTTGGAAAGAAAAAAATCACATTAAAATCCGAAAAAAACAGTAATTAGTATTTACTTGGTTTTCCCATTTAAATTTTCTAATTAGTATCTTCATCCTGTATTGTCTGAAGTCGCAATGAGTTGAAATTAATTATCCATGTGGATATCCAATTTTTCCAACACCATTTATTGAATAAACTACCTTTTCCACTTTATGCATTCTTGGCTGTTTTGTCAAAGAACAACTGATTGTAAACTTGTGGATTTATTTCCGGGCTCTCTGTTCTGTGCCATTGGTCTATGTGGCTGATTTTATGGCAGTATCATATACTTTTTATTGACACAGAGTCTTGCTCTGTCACCCAACCTGGAGAACAGCAGTACAAACTCGGTTCACTGCAACCTCGACCTCTTGAGCTCAAGCTATCCTCCCACCTCTGCCTCCCAAGTAGCTAGGACCATAGAGGTGCACCACGATGCCCTGCTAATTTTTTTATTTTTTGTAGAGATGGGGGTCTCATAATGTTGCCCAGGCTTGTCTCAAGACAGTAGTATACTATTTTGATTGCTATAACTTGGTAGCATATTTTTGAAGTCAGGTACTATGATGCCTCTAGCTTCTTCTTTCTCAAGATTTTTTTGACTATTCGATATCTTTTATGGTTCCATACAAATTTTAGGATTTTTTTTCTATGTCTGTGAAAAACGCCAGAATTTTGATAGACATTTTATTGAATTTATAGATGACTTTGGTTTGTATGAACATTTTAAGAATACTAATTATTTCAATCTGTGAACACAGTATATATTTCCATTTGTTTATGTCTTCCATTTCTTTCATCAATATTTTATAGTTTTCAGTACACAGAGATTTCACCTTCTTAGTTAAAAATGCTTTCATCTCCTTGGTTAAAAAATATTTATTCCTAAGTACTTTTATGCTATTGTAAATAGGCTTGTTTGCTTAATTTCTTTGTGGTTTAAAATCAACTCAATGTTGATTAAAGACCTAAACAGAAGACCTAAAAGTGTAAAACTACTGAAAGTAAACACAGGGAAAAATCTTGACATTGGTCTGAGTGGTGATTATTTGGAACTCCGAAAGCACAGATAACAAAAACAAAAATAGACAAATGACACTGCAGGAAACTAAAAAGTTTCTGCACAGCCAAGAAAACAATCAACAGAGTGAAAAGACAACCTATGGATGACAGACTATATTTGCAAACCATACATCCAATAAGGAGTTAATATCTCAAATATATAACCATGTTTATTGCGCTCCTACTGATTGACAAAGAGCTCAACTCAATATCAAGAAAGCAACTGGATTTAAAAATAGGGAAAAAAAATGAGTAGACCTTTTTCAAAAGAAGACATACAAATGGCCAACAGGCATATTTTTAAAATGCTTAACATCACTAATCAGTAAGGAAGTGCAAATCAAAACCACAATAAGATATCACCTCATACATTTTGGAATGGCTATGATGAAAAAGATATAAGATAACAAGTGTTGGTAAGGATATGGAGAAAGGGGAACACTTGTACACTGATGGTGGGAATGTAAATTAGTACAACCATTATCGAAAACAGTGTGGAGTTTCCTCAAAAAAACTAAAAAATAGAATTACCATATGACCCAGCAATCACACTTCTGGCTATATATCCAGAGGAAATTAAATCAGCACCTTGAAGAGATAGCTGCAGTCTCATGTTCGTTGCACCATTACGCATAATAGCCTAGATATGGAATTCACCTAAGTGTCCATCAACAGATGAATGAATAAAGAAAGTGCAACATACATACATATATATCACACACACACACACACACACACACACACACACACACAAGAATGTTATTTTGCCTCAAAAAAGAAGAAAATCCTATCATTTGCAACACTGTGGATGAACCTGGAGGACGTTACACTAAGTGAAATAAGCCAGGCATAGAAAGACAAATACTGCATGATCTCATTCATATGCGGAAGCTAAAAAATTGAACTCATAGAAGTAGAGAGTAGAATGGTGGTTACTGCGGGTTGGGGGATGGAGAAAGTTGGAAGGTATTGGTCAAAGAATACAAAGTTTCAGTTACGCAGGATTAGTAAGTTCTGGAGAGCTAATGTACAGCCTGATGACCATAGTTGATAATAATATATTGTATACTTGAAACTTGCTAAGAGAGTAGATCTTAAATGTTCTCACCACACACAAAAAAAGATAATTATGTGAGATAATGGAGATCAGCTGCATTGAGGCAATCATACCACAATGTATAAGGCTATCCAAAGTCATGTTGTACACCTTAAATATTTAATATATGTATCATTTTATTAGTCAATTATAGCTCAGTAAAACTGGGGAAAAAGAAATTCAGTGATGCATCCATGGATAATCATTATTCTCTGTAAAATATACATTTAAATTAATTTTCCTTTTACATCTTTCTTTTTACTTAGGAGTGAGTAGTTGAGTAAATATCATAAAATAAAACAGATATTAGTTACTTAGGATATACTCACATAGTCAAGAAATCTTCAAATACCCAGATAAAGTAACTGTAGATGCAAAGCCAGAGAGCTGGAACCGGTGTTTCTAAGATTCTGTACTTCCATCAGGGAGATTTAAGGCTAGATATAAAACAGTGTTTACTGAGCTCCTACTTGATTAACAATGAGGATGATTCAAAGACATTTGCCATGAGAATATAACACAAATATACTTTTCACTCTAACTTTATGCAGATCTGTTTTGCTGAACAGTTTTTGATCTAGTCTGAGAAAATTAAATGTTGAGGATTAAATGAGATACCGTGAAGTGACTAGTGGTAGGCCCTCAGTAAATTCCCAATGAAAGGTTGCTATTAATATGATTATCCTGACAACAACCAAATAGAGTAGAGGGCAAGTCCTCCTACTATTATGCTCGTTTTACAGAAGAAGAAACTAAAATCTGTTTTTAAATGTTTAGTACAAGCTGGAGTCAGACTGATAATTGGAATAACCCCTCCAAATGTCTCCCAAGGATAATTCGTAACTCCAGATTTTCAGATGGATATCATCTCCAACTAAGTATGTACAGATTCTTGAGAAATTTGACCAGCCAAAGGTACCTGCATTCTACGACTTGGGATGACAAGCCAGGCTCCCTAACTGTGGGGTACCTCAAATAACCAACCCACTTACGTATTTAGTTTCCTGCTGGTAACATGGAAATTAATACAACTAAAATTTTAGAAGCACCGTCATTTACCAATATACAAATGTCATGTGTTGGGCAATATGTGTGTTGATGAAAAGGTAGAATTTCCTAATATCCTTTTTTTTCTATTCCTTTTACCTATGCAATTCATTGATCTGAGATGTGAAACAGCATGTGTGTCGGAAAAGAGAAAAAAAAGGAGAAAGATGTACAGCTATGAGGGCCACAGAAATTATTACTGAGTGCCTGAAGACACATAGTGTTGAATTAGTGGTATGGCTTATAACCAACTTCTACCATCATCACAGATTATCATAAACTCACAAGGGAAAAGACCAAGAAGAGGCTGGGAAGAGAACCTTACACAAGCTTTTCCATGTGTGACACATCCATAGTCATATGGCTATTAGTGGCCAAGTCAGTACTTTAGACCAGGTCTGACAACAAATCTACTCCTCCATTTCTAGGATATTTAATCAATGTTTCCTTACTCTCCTACCCACTCTTCACATTTCATTCTGAATTGTATGTCAAATAGACCGAAGACTAAGCCAGAGTTAATGTGTTGCTTTACCCATGATAGATAAGCCAAGATTCCCTTTTAATTTTCTTAACATGTTGCTCTCCTGTTGCAAGTAATTTGTGTTTTGATTCGCAAGGACAAACCAGAGAGGGATAAAAAGAAATCAGTACTCTTTGATAAAATTTATATGGAAACAAGAATATATTTCAAGCAGTGTTTTAAACTGCCAAGCATAGAATATAACAAGTGTTGACTTTCCTAAAAGACATTTGAGTAATTCCAACTGCCATTTGGGGTGGGATGGTGGCTGGACAAGATTGAATCATGCAGAGTAAAATAATTTTAAAGTATTCTATTTTCATGTTTAAAACAATATTGTAATGCAAACCATTTATCCATGATGCTAAAAAAAATTCTCACTTTATTTTCGAATGTGGATGCTAAAGATGTGTGCTATGTTTTTTGCTGGTGGCGTTCTTTTTTTATTATTATTATTATTATACTGGTGGCGTTCTACTGAGGGGAGTTTTAAGGTTGTTAGGGGCAGAGACAATGTCACCTACTTCATGTTTTGGGCATGTAGGGAGTTCTCAGTGAACAATGGTCTTGTTAAATCTATAATTAGAGGAAATAAGAATGGCAAGAATAAAATAAAATACTCAGATTTGTTTCTTCCCCATTGCCAGAATCATGTTAGTCACTAGTTTTCTACTTGTTTTTTTGGGAAGAGCTGGTACATTGCCTCCCACATGCATCCGACACTCCTATTACAGCAAAGTATTAGCAACAATATGAATGGCTAACATTTAAAGAGTACCTTCAATATAACAATAACTTTAACCATTTTTAAATATTCTCACATTAATCTGCAAAGCAGAATTTTTTTTTATTGCTCAGTAACCACATAAAATTAACTAGCCTGCAAGATCATACAGCTAGAGAGCAGTATTGTGTGATATTGAAGCACACGGACTACAGTCGTGTATTCAAGACCCAACCCCTCCAATCTCTACCAGAAGTTGCTTTACCTCTCTAAGGTTTCATTTGCTGACTACAAAATACATATTGTAATTTACTCCTTCACATTAGATTCTTGTGAGGATTGAGTGAGATAGTCAATGGAAAGAACTTAGCAAAGTGCTTGAGATATATATATGAATTTGGAATCTCTCCTTCCCCTCCCAAGTCATTGGGAACATAAGTTTACCTCAAAGCATGGAAGCTAGACCCTCCCCACACTAGAGTAATGAACAGCAGTGTTGTCCACAAATCACTCAGAGTTCCTCAGAGAGAAGGACAGTGGTCCCGAGAAGTGCTTCTCAAACTCTATGGACAATCTTTACAACTGGCAATGTCAAAATGTGTATTCTGATTTAGTTGTTATGGGAATGCATAGATTTTATTAGACTGTACTTTAGACAGGGAAGGAATGTCACACAAGTTGTAGACTGTATTGGCCAGGATTTTTCAGAGAAACAGAACCAATAGGATTCATAGAGGTAGATAAGTGAGTTGCAGTTTATTACAGGAATTGGCTCATGTGGTTATGGAGACTGAGAAACCTCAGTCCAGGCCACCTGCAAGCTGGAGAACCAGGAAAGCCAGTAACATGGCACATTCTGAGTCCAAAGGCCTGAGAACCAGGGAAGCCAATAACATCACTCTCAGTCTGAGGTCAAAAGCCTGAGAACCTAGTGAGGGATGTGGAGGTTGTGGGGGCAGACTGGTACAAGCCCCAGAGGCCAAAGCCAGAGAATCTAAAGTTCTAGTCCAAAGGCAGAAGAAGAAAGATGTCCCAGCTCACTAACAGAGACAGAATCCACCTTTCCTCTGCCTTTTTTTCTATCTGGGCCCTCAACCAATTAGTGGTGCCTGCCCACATTGGGTGAGGGCATCTCCTCCCCACTCAGTGCACTGAGTCAAATGCCAATCTCTTCTGGAAACACCCTCACAGATATACCTAAAAATAATGCTTTACTGGTTCTCTGGGTGTTCCTTAGCCCAGTCAAGTAGACACCTAAAATTAAATGTCTCATAGGCAATGTTCAAAAACCAAAAACAAACAAACAAAAAATTGAGACTTTTTTTCTAGACCAGTGTTTCTCAACTTTAGCTGCACATTTGAAAGACCTGGGAAGCTTTGTAAAAAAAAAAAAAAAAAAAAAAATATATATATATATATATATATATATATATATATATATATATATTTAATACAATATCAGCCCAAATGTCATCTCCACCTCCTCTCTCATCAATTGACCAGAGTTTTGGGGATCTTGTTTCAAGTGGTTCTAATGAAAAGCCTGTGGCGGAACTGCTACCCTACCAGTCAACCAGCATCACTCAAAATCTGGTCCAAGTCCTGGTGTGGTCCTGAAACTGTTGCTTGCTGGTTTAAGACGAGATAAGTACTGAAACTGAGAGTAAGTGTATCTTAATCTGTTCAGGCTACTATAGAAGAATAACATAGACTAAGTGACTCATAAACAACAGAAACTTATTTCTCACAGTTCTAGAGACTGAGAAGTCAGAAATCAAGGCACCAGCAGATTCGTTGACTGGTGAAGGCCCATTTCCTGGTTCATAGATGGCACCTTCTCATTATGTCTTCACTTTGTGGAATGGCAAGGCAATAGGGCCTCTTTTTTAAGGGTGCTGATCCCATTCATGAGGGCTCTATCCTTATAATGAAATCACCTTCAAAAGCCCTACCTCCTAATACTATCACATTTATGATTAGGTTTCAACATATGAATTTTGGGTGGACATAAACATTCAGACCATAACAAAGTGTTTAGAAACTTTTATAGCAGTATGACAAATTAAGTTTATTTGTAATCAAATGTAATAATAAAAACAGATGGATTAGTGAAAAAAAAATAGTTGGCTTACAAAGAAATACATTGAAACCCCTTGAATGAATGATCTAAATAATTAAACATATACATCTCTGGAAGTGAGGATATACCAGGCCCCTTCTTTAAGCTGTTATGTCTTAAAGCTGAAATGTTAACTTCAGTGATAAATTCCTCAGGCAGAGCATTGGCACCTGGCTACAACAGGGTTAATGAGCAGGAGTAGGGTAGGTGGGGTCACAAACCAGGAACACATGCCCTCCAAGTTAGATAGCTTTTTTTCCTCTTTAATTGCCGTTTAAACACACATGCTCTCACATAACACAGAAGGTGAGAGCTGAATGAAGTTTTCTGGGTAATGGCATGAAATGTTTTCCTTATGAGAAGTGGTGTTGAGTTACAGCGTGCAGACGGAGAACGGGGAGGAGAGAAACGGCAGTCTCAATCTGGCCCCCACCTTTTCTTGGGCTTGTAGGAAGGTGGACATGGGCTCCCGGAGACAAGACAAGTGATATGTTGAACTGTTCGGTGGCTGGAATCAACTGCTCCTGGAGTGACCTAAGGCCAGTGTTTATCAGAACTTAGCCAGGGCCAGCCAAGCAGGCACAGATGCTCTGCTATGAAATGCCACGCAGGCAGAGACTGACAAGCGGTAGGAACTGAGCTTTCCCCTTGGACTGCTGCTTCCTGCTGTGTTCAGGGGAGGGGGTCACTTTCTGGCAACTCTGCTGCTGCTGCTGCTGCTGCTGCTACTTCAGCTTCCTCTCCACTCAAGGTAAGCAGGCTAAGGGAGGGCAGGCTGCTAGGGAAAGCTTTGTACCATGAACAGGATCCGAAAGTTTTTCCGAGGAAGTGGGCGAGTCTTGGCATTTATCTTTGTAGCTTCTGTCATCTGGCTCCTCTTTGACATGGCAGCTCTCCGCCTCTCATTCAGTGAGATCAACACTCGGGTCATCAAGGAAGACATTGTGAGGAGGGAGCGGATAGGATTCAGAGTTCAGCCAGACCAAGGAAAAATTTTTTACAGCAGCATAAAAGAGATGAAACCTCCCCTAAGGGGACATGGGAAAGGGGCATGGGGCAAAGAGAATGTTAGAAAAACTGAGGAGAGTGTGCTCAAGGTTGAGGTGGACTTGGACCAAACCCAGAGGGAAAGAAAAATGCAGAATGCCCTGGGAAGGGGCAAGGTTGTGCCGTTGTGGCATCCTGCACATCTGCAGACCCTCCCTGTGACTCCTAACAAGCAGAAGACAGACGGGAGAGGCACCAAACCTGAAGCCTCCTCTCACCAGGGGACACCAAAGCAAACGACAGCTCAGGGGGCTCCAAAGACCTCATTCATAGCAGCAAAAGGAACTCAGGTAGTCAAAATATCAGTACACATGGGACGTGTCAGTTTAAAACAGGAGCCCCGGAAGAGTCATAGTCCCAGCAGTGACACATCAAAACTAGCAGCTGAAAGGGACTTGAATGTGACCATCAGTCTTAGTACTGATAGACCAAAGCAGCGATCACAGGCAGTAGCAAACGAGAGGGCACACCCTGCCAGCACAGCAGTGCCGAAGTCTGGGGAAGCCATGGCCTTAAACAAAACTAAGACTCAGAGCAAAGAAGTCAATGCAAATAAACACAAAGCCAATACGAGTCTTCCTTTTCCTAAGTTCACTGTCAATTCAAATCGCTTAAGGAAGCAATCTATTAATGAGACACCTTTGGGAAGTTTGTCAAAGGATGATGGAGCTAGAGGGGCTCATGGGAAGAAACTCAATTTCTCTGAAAGCCATCTTGTGATTATAACCAAAGAGGAAGAGCAAAAGGCAGACCCCAAAGAGGTCTCTAATTCTAAAACCAAAACAATATTTCCTAAAGTATTGGGTAAAAGCCAAAGTAAACACATTTCCAGGAATAGAAGTGAGATGTCTTCCTCTTCACTTGCTCCACATAGAGTGCCACTGTCCCAAACTAACCATGCTTTAACTGGAGGGCTAGAGCCAGCAAAAATCAACATAACTGCCAAAGCCCCCTCTACAGAATACAACCAGAGTCATATAAAAGCCCTTTTACCTGAAGACAGTGGAACGCACCAGGTGTTAAGAATTGATGTGACACTTTCTCCAAGGGACCCCAAAGCTCCAGGGCAGTTTGGGCGTCCTGTAGTTGTCCCCCATGGAAAGGAGAAGGAGGCAGAAAGAAGATGGAAAGAAGGAAACTTCAATGTCTACCTTAGCGATTTGATCCCAGTGGATAGAGCCATTGAAGACACCAGACCTGCTGGGTAAGACCTATTTCTCTTCTCTTTCCTCAACCCCAAGTGCTTTGGCTGTTATGTAAAGAGGATTTATTGCTAGATAATTCTGTGTGATTTTTGGTCACCTAGAGAATTAAAGAAACATTAATCATTGGATATCATTCAAATATTTCACCAGCTACAGAGACAAAAATTCTCTTATTAGCAGTTGCAGAGTTCTTGTTCTCTGAGACTTTGGTCCCTACCATTAGCTCATGTTCAATTTTCTTCCCTCTGTTGAAAACCTATTAAAATGATTAGATGAACTCAGTTCATAATAACGTGTATATAAATGGTAGAGCTTAAAGTGTAATTCCATTAGAATAGTGACAATGAAGTGAATTCCCAATTTTGGAACTTTTCATTATTAGCAAGTTTGTCAGGAATATATTTGGGAAAGAAGCACACAGAAGGACTCTTCTAGGCCTCCCTGGAATCATATCTTAACCAGCAGAATTCTGCCTAATCATAAGTAATGATAAGCAGGATAGCAAGAGAAGTGACTTTACTCCCTAAAATTTAATCTCCTTTATAGGTGGAGATGGTAGATATTTCAGGAGATCAGTTACATAGGAATCATAATGTTGGAAAAAGTCAATCAGTCCATGACCAGCAAACACCTACAGGAGGTATAAAAAGCATAATAATAATCACTTATATTTGTAGACATTCACTATTTACAAAGAGCCTGCATACACATAGATGAACTCCATATGAGCCCTGCAAAGGAGGAGGCAGTCATTATGGTTCAAATTAACAAGCTGGCGAGGGCGCTCAGAAGTTACAACACTTTCTCAAGGTAATGCAGTTCTAAAGCTGCCCAATGGGCCTTCAGTAACCAGTCCTTCAAAAAGTTAAATTCCTATAACTATATCACCAGATGTGGATCAAAACATAGATATTTAATCTGATTCAAATATAATTGGGTTCCTGGCATTTTTTTTCTTGGCCCACTGATAAGTGAAGGTACTCAACAGCCGTATGTTCAATATCTGTTAACTCAGTTCCCTAAGTCAAACAATATTTGCCAGGAAGTTGGATTGGGGAATGTCAAGATTGAGACTTAGCACATGTGGCATGTAAACAATGGCCTTGTTTGGCTTCTGTAGAAAATTCTTCTTTGTGATCTAGGTAGTCAGCATTACATTTTAGTCAGTGTTACTAGGAGGAAGGCAGATACAGGAGAAGCTTTATCCACATTAGAAAGAAGAGTCTCTTCATTGTGATGTCGGCTACAACCAGGTCGTTTTCCATCTCTTAGCCATCAGCAAACAGCTATCAGCCATGCACTGCTTATACCAAGCACTGTGCCATTCACGCTTCTCACCCTGGTGATAATCACAGTCTTGAGGAGAATGCAGACATACTCAAAGATGAGGAAACTGAGGCCCTGGGATGCTAGATTGCCTGTGGTCACAAAGCTAGTCATTGTAGAGAAATGATTAAAATTCATGCTCAAAATTATTCTGCACTCTCTTCCATCTCTTGCCAATCTCCCCTCAAAAAGGATCCTAAAAATTGTGTTGGCCCAGCTCTAATCTAAAGTCCTGTGTATCACAGGATTACACATGCCAGCTTTGAACACAAAGTGCAAGGAAATGAAGTAGCCGTTAAAGCAGTTTCATTTTAACATGCCCTTATTGACCTGGCAGGCTGCTAGGGAGTCTGGGGAGGAATTAGACACTGCACAGAAGCACAAGCTCCAGTTCCAAACCAGAGAAAAGGCACATGCGTGGCGGGGGTGGGGGTGCTCAAAGCAAGTAATAACGATGTTATCACTAGTGTGGCTCATTGAAAGCTCGGGGACTCCCAGTGCTTCTTAGTTTCTATACTTTGTTCTGTAGAAGTTAAGCATTGCAGCCCAGGAAAGTTACAGTCAGGCTCTGTCTTCTGAAGGAGGTTGTCCCAACTGTAGGAAAAATTGACACATGTGCTTGAGAGGATGAGTCAGAGAGCATGTGGCCAGGCCTCCTCCCTCTTATCACATAACCCACCTTGGCTAAATATAGGTGTGTCTCAAGCTGCCTGGCGGATGCTACGCTCCACTCAGGGGTCTACCACCAGGGATCCTGGACCTGGGGCCTCCCAAAGTATTTTTCAGTCCTTTTGTAGTCCTCTTCTTTGAAAGAGGATAAATCATTTTTTGTTCTTTTACCCAAACACCTTGACTATAAATATGTGTAAATTATGTATTCATATAGATAAAGGTTAAAGAAAATACAATCAAAAAACATTTGATTCATCAGTTTGGCAAGATTTGGAGTGTTTTTTGTTTTTGTTTTTTTAAATTTGGCTTTATTTATTTTCAGCCTGGCTCAAAAAGCGTTTGAGGTAGCTGCTTACAGGAATGCATGCAATAAGATTTTTTAAGATAATAAGTTTTCGAAGTCAGCATAAGGGGAAATTGTTATAAAATAGAATAAGAAAATGAGTACATGTGTGTGAAAGAAAGAGAGAGAGAAATAACTGTAAGAATACAGGAGGGCTAGCTTAAAATTAGCTGGAGTAGCATCCTACTGCAACCTTTAAATTTTAAGAGTTTTGGAGAATATCTTCCTTTTTGGCCTATTCATTTCCCCAAAATCCACTGTTATAGATGAATTCACACATAACTGTCATATCACAACTGCTCATTGATACAGAATGAACCAAAAAATGTAAAAAAAAAAAAAAAAAAGCGCACAGATTTGGTATAATCATTTAAATTCAACTTCACCCAGTGAAGATAATAACTAGTCGGTAGTTAACATCATCTTAAAGATGAATGAGCTGATGTGCTAGGGTGAGGTTACCATTAAGAAGTAGAGGACAGGCATGGTAGCTCAAGCCTGTAATCTCAGCACTTTGGGAGGACATGGTTAGAGGATCCCTTGAGCCCAGGAGTTTGAGATCAGCCTGGGCAATATAGTGAGACCTCATCATTACAAAAAAATTTAAAAATTACCCAAGGGTGGTGGTGCATGCCTGTAGTCTCAGCCACTCAGGAAGCTGAGGTGGGAGGATCACTTGAGCCTGAGCGGTCGAGGTTGCAGTGAACCAAGATTGTGCCACTAGCCTGGGTGACAGAATAAGACCTTGTCTCAGAAAACAACAACAACAACAACAACAACAACAATAAAAAGGTAGAGGAGACAGGCAGGGATTTCCAGGACAACTTCTCTTACTCTAGTTCTAAAATCAGATTCTCTTTTCCAAACCTGCTTTTTCACTCCGTTTTCTCTGGAGTCCCAAAGGACCATTGCTAAAATGTTAAGATTCAATTTCACAACTCTTTTTTTTTTTTTTTTTTTTTTTTTTTGAGATGGAGTCTCGCTCTGTCACCCAGGCTGAGCGCAGTGGTGCGATCTCGGCTCACTGCAAACTCCGCCTCCGGGGTTCACACCATTCTCCTGCCTCAGCCTCCCGAGTAGCTGGGACTACAGGCACCCGCCACCATGCCCAGCTAATTTTTTGTATTTTTAGTAGAGACGGGGTTTCACCGTGTTAGCCAGGATGGTCTCGATCTCCTGACCTCATGATCTGCCCGCCTTGGCCTCCCAAAATGCTGGGATTGCAGGCGTGAGCCACCGCATCCGGCCCACACCTCTTTTCTAAAGCACAAGAACTCCTTTCTGTTCTCAGGGTTACTCACACTGTCCTTTTCTGTCTGCCCATGTTTCTCCCCTTTGTGGTATAGCAATAGCACCCTGCACATGACATTTTCTCCAAGCTGGGCCCTTAGCATAAGAAAAGCTAATCTCTTTGCTCTTCTCCACCCTTTACAGTTGTAACCATCCACTGAGGTTTTCATTCACTGGTCCCTTCCCACAGCCTCCCTCCATCCTCACCATTCTCTTGCACACATTCTAATTCAATGTTGCTCAGAATCCAACTGTGGCTTCCTTCCACCTGGACCATGAGGTAGCTGTGACCTCTAAATTGCAATTACTCTTAGTGTACACAGGCATCCTAGTTACTGAAACACTGTTTATTCTGTGTTCTTCATTAACTGAATCCTTGAACGTCTGTTTTTCCTTCCTAGTGAAATTATAAGCTTCTGAAGGAAACTTTGTCTTTAGCTTTATTTTGTACTCCTTTAGCACTGATCACAGTGCTGTACATTCAGAAGCAACAGGTTTACACAGTATGAATTTACAATTTGTTTCTCTGAAATGATTTTTGAAAATTGATACTACTTTAAAAATAATCAAAAGGTAGCAATTCAAATGAAACCTGCAGCAAGTCTGTTTATAAATTAATAATGACTTCTTAATTTTTCATTATGAATATATAGAAGATATTAAAATCTGATTTAAGGCAAATACATTCTGTTTAACACTATAATCTATTCATTAATTTGTGTTTATCCCTTATTTTATATTTTTGTTATTGTTTTGGTTCTTAATTTTAATGTTTTGGCTTTCAAGAGAGGAAAGCCTATTTTATTTACAAGAATGTTTTACGTCAGTATGTAAAATACAACTTCATTGTTGCCTAGAAATTTTGCCTATAAAATTTGCTTGAAATAAAATGCTTTTTTGACAGTTAAAGTTCCATATTTAATCTTTTTTTAATTAAAAGCTAATCCTTTCAGTTCTTGCTCCTAATGATTGAAGTTTGTTTCTGTCAGCAACAATCAACACACATACACACACACACACACACACACACACACACGTACACACAGGTTTTGCTAAAATGTGATCCTATGCAGGGCAGTTCTACTTGGAGAAGTCTGTCTTTTGGCCTGAAGCTATAGTTAAGATGGAACTCCAAAAATGAACTTATTTTAAGAGTGCACTTCCTGAATCTGAATTTAGAGAAAAATGACTCAAAGGAATTTTTGCTGCCAGCATTTAGTTTTTAAAGTACAATAAGAATTCTGGCGTGCTTGTCTACCACTGCTGTGTCCTCATAACGTTACTCAACTGCTTAATTTAATGCTTTGCTTTCCCTACAAAACTCTGGCAAGCCCCTCAATAAAGCAATTAAAATGGTCTTTATTCTCTTAGCCCAGAGCCAGGACTGTCAACCAATAATTTGATTCCTTCCTACACAGCTAAAGAAAGGTTTTTTTTTGGCACATTTGAAAAGCAAAAGATAGCACCATGCATTTGCCACAAACCAATCTAAATTACTGAGGGGAAAGAAAAACTTTCTGGAACCTTAATTTTGATCCTAGTAGGGTCAAAAACTATAACGAATGAGTTACTGGAGGAGGAAGAGGAGGAGGGGGAGGAGACAGAAGAGAGAAAATAAAGTGATCAGGTATCCTCCCAAACTTTGAGCTTCTAAAAGTTTATCAGGCTGAGAGAAAAAAAGAAACTTTAAAGTTAAATTAAATTTAAATTTTTAATTTTTACATGGGACACAAATCTTAATTGATGAAATGAACGTGATTTTGTGACTAATAGTGATTGGAGAACATTAATTAAAATTGATTGGAGAAGCTATGAGATCTCCTTGAGAAACCAATTGGAGGCAGGGAAAAAAAAACCTCATGAGATGAATTCAAAAGGATTTACTTCCTGCTTTCACCTCTATGGGTAAGCAATGCAGTGGTGCCTTTTGAATAGTGTGTATGTGTTCATTTGTGTGTGCACGTGCATGCATTTGTGAGCATTTGTGTTTGTGTGTTAGAGCACAGTACTCTTTTTCACTCAAAAGTCATGTAGGAGAGCAGGACATAAAAAGGAAAACTTGTTAAAAGGGTTCAGACTAGGCTGTAACATAATGAAGGTGAAATATGGCCAAAGGACAATGAACTGGGCCTTTGAATACTTTTATTTATCCCACTCTCCTTATAACAAAGGGAATAACAAAGACAACAAAGATTAGAGGAGAAGAATGGAAAGCACAATTCTGCTACTAGTTCAAATTCTGCTACTAGTTTCTTTCTAAAAAGAAAACAGCTAAACAGTGCCTAATTAATAGAAAACAGAAATGTTAAAGTGAATTCCTGACTTTTCCTCCTAAATACTGTGAAAGCCCTAGAAACACTCCTGGGAGAGAGTAGTTAGTATATGCAGGAATTTGAAAGAAGTATACTTTTTCATATACGGAACACAAGGCCCAGTTTAACCATCAGCATAATATATCAAACTTTTGCTGTAATATTGCCCTGGTACTCTTGGCCCTGAAAATAACTTCCTATTGGGCTTTTCTGGCTGATCCAATCAGAACAGAGCCTCTCAAGAGAGAAACAACTTTTTTGCTCAAGGTTCAGAAAATTCAGGGAAAATAGCAATGTTTAGAAGCTGTATTTTGCTGTTTGCTTTCGAAATGAAAGGAGCTTTTTAGAGTCTCCTGGAAAAACAGCTATATTATACCAAACTCAAGTACCTCCTCAACTGGCGTTGCTTCTAAAATGTTGATAATATGGACATGTGTGAGAAGCAGCAATATGAGGAAACAGTGTTTACAAAGGCTTCACAACTTGCCTTCTCATTTAATCCTTAAAACAATTCCTCAAGGTAGATACTATCATCATCCCAGCTTTACCTATAGAAAAACTGAGACAGAGGAAGCTGAGGTTTCAGATAATAGCAGATATTTCAGACAGTGGCAGTTCATTTCATTGCACGTGATATTTGCTCATTGCCTATCAATCAGGAGCGGTGCGCCATGCCAGGCAGTTGAGGCCTTTCATCCTTCAGGCATATTATTTCATCTGATCCTTGTGGCCATGCCAGATTAGCAAAGTGTTACCTCTCTTTATTAACAGATGAGGGGGGAAAAAAGAGCAAATGGTAAAGTAATTTGCCCAAGGCCTCACAGCTCACAAGTGCCAATGTTGGGACCCAACCTCTAGTTTTCTGACTCTTCCTCACTCAGTAATAATTCCACTGCACCAGTCTGGTTCCCTCTCCACCTCCAGCAACTCTCCCCACGTAGTGACCATCATCACCTGCAAGTCTCCTTAGCTTGCCAAGGCCCTGTGCTAAAGGGGAATCCCTCCATTGCTCAGCTTCACACACAAAGAAAATGC
Source organism: Homo sapiens (assembly GCF_000001405.40). Lineage (NCBI taxonomy): Eukaryota > Metazoa > Chordata > Mammalia > Primates > Hominidae > Homo > Homo sapiens. Next base: position 157,266,516 of record NC_000002.12, read on the forward strand.
TTAGTTTTGTTTCAGTCAGTGATGTGTGTGTATGCATATATGTATGCATGTAGACTTATGTGTGTGTGTTTGTGTGTGTGTTTGTATCTAAGCAATCCTCACAGCAACCCTATGAGATATTAACTTTCATATGTTTTACAGTTGAGAAGAGTGAGACTGTAAAAGAATAAATGATTTATCCATTGTCCCAGCAAACTAATAGCAAATTTGGGATTCAAAAGAAAATTTCCCAATTTTTAATTCTAGTGTTCTTTCCACAGGTGACAGCTTTTCCTTCCTTTGTTTCCTTATAGTCATATGACATTGGCAGAAATTAAAACACCTCTCTTCCTTATACATGGGTAAGAGATGCATGATGGGAATTAAGTTTGCATGACATGTACCTCATCAGAGAAAAAAATTATAGGAAAGCATTTCCTATATAGCACTAAGCAAAGGTGATTCTTTAAAACTTGGCCATAACCACAGCCCTGCAGTGAACAAATCTCTCTGGGCTGCTACTGCAAAGTATGGCATCAGAGCATGGTCATTGACTTCAAGGCGTATACAGCAAAATGTGATGCCGAAACACAGGGGACTGTTGGGAAAAAGGAGATAAAAAGCTAAACCTGTCCTGGGAGAGAACAAAAATGTTTGAGCTGCAACCTGAAAGAGTAGAGAGTCAGAGAAATGGAGAAAGCAGTAAAAAGGATGATCCATTGAGAAATCGAGGGAAATCTGACATGGGTTGCAGGAGAGCAATGAGGACGTAAATGAGGCCACAGAAGTAAGTAGAGTCCAGATCACTCAGGACCTTCAGGTTCTTCCAAGGGCCAGTGGGAAACCGTTAAATGATTTAAGACCATAGAAATAACAATTTAATTTGCCTTTTCTCAGGGGACTTATGACCCAAAGGAAAGCACTTACAGGTAAATGCTAAAGTTGCATAGAAAACCACAGAATGTTAATACTAGGTGAAGATTTGAAAGTTTTCTAATCTAGTCCTTTATGTTACAGACAATGTTCCAGGAGAAAAATGACTTGCCCAAGGTCATACACAGCAGGAAAGACAGAACATCCCCACCTAGTACTATTTCTGCCACATCACACCACCTCCTCCTCTTCTCCCTGCCGTCCCAATTTCACTGTGACAGCTTCCTGCTCAAAACAGACTATTGTTGAAGTGGTGAATGTTTATGCTGGTGGCTTATATTTCTAAGCCTGAGTCCTGTCACTTTGATGACTTTACATTTACCATGGCAACCACAGCCGCAGCTGGCTAAGAACTTTGGAGTAGAAGTGATGAGTGTGACTTAAATTTTCTGAATCAGTAGCCAGGTGATTTTGACTGAATGTCATGGATAGTCTACCCTAGAAAGAACAAAACATGAAAATACAGTTTTTATATCACTGTACCTTCTTATCAGTGAGAGGGAAAGCAGCCCCAACAATTCTAAGGTCTGGGAGAAAAGAATAAAATCCCAGGCAGAGCTCTTCAGCTGTGTGCTCAATTCTCCTCCTGATGTTCCTGAGACATCAGTGCTTGGGGAGTGAAGGCCCCTGAAGGCTCACATGAAGGCAGTAGTTGAATTGCAAATAGAAGTTAAGAAAATATTCTCCTTGACCTTCTGTTCAAACCTGTGAAGGCTGAGACTTGACCCACATAGTACATCTTGACTGTCTCGGAATAAAATGAAAAATTCATAGAAATGAGAGAATGTTATCATTCCCTCAATCTTATGATTTAAAACCTTCTCTATTTGATAGGCTACATTCAAATCAGGTTAGTGGCTCAGCATTCAGCACACAGAAGCCAGGAGGGTGGGACGCATCACTTTCTGGGTCTCTCGATAAATGGTTGAGCACTTGATAGATTCAGATTAAAGGACTGCTTCAGAAAAAGGCAGTGTGCTCCCTCAAAATGTGTGTATTTGCATTATGGGTAATCGTAGGTTCTCACATGAGTTTTTCAGCATGAAGCTCACAAAATATTTTTACATCCATTATCTCATCAAATCTTCACCACTGTTCTGTGATGAAGGCATTGTAATCTTCATCCTAAAAGTGAGGAAACTAAGGTTCTAGGGGCCTAACTGACTTGCCCATGGCCATAGGGCCAATAAATGCTAGAATGAACTAAAAACTTAGTCTCTTGTCATCTTTCTCAAGTCCAGAGTCTTTCTGTCCACCACAGTAGTATGTCAGCTAAGTGCAGGATAGTGAAACTCCCCACATTAGAGGCCCCATTTGTTTTTAGAACTTGGATTGGCTGCAGTAATCTAAGCCTAGATTCCCCCCCAAGACAAAGAGATTGGATTAATTTTTTAAGTATAGCATGGGACCAGTAGACTCTAAATACCTAATTTGTATAATAAATAGGCATATAGAATATAAATGTGATTTCTTAGCCTCAAAAAAGTTACAAACCTAGAAATATCTGGCATTCAAATTAGACTTTAGCAGCAATTTCTCCTCCCATGATATAGGCAGAAATTAAGGAAAAACTGAAATAAAGGAAACTTGCTTGAATTAGGTTGGTGTAGGATAACTTGAAATGGTTTTTACAACCTATGCCAACTAGATGACATAGTGTCTGCCCAGAATATTCTCCATTCTCCTCAAGCCCCTACCCTATTACATTAGCAAGTAACCTTTCTTCCAGTATGAAAGACTAGAGTAAGAGTTTAAAATGCTGAAAGCTTTGCGGGGGTTTCCCACTGTTCCTTTGAACAAAACAAGCACACTAGTTTTGCTAGATACCCGGAAACATGTTTAATCTGTTTAGTAATGCAGGAGAACAGGTCTCTGTAAATGTCAGAGTGCCTTGACATGTCAGTCACCCCAAATCAAGGCACACCCTGAAACTTTGTATTGGAAATCTCAGGCATCTCTTTTGGGTCCCTCTTTCCCATCCTGTAATATTGCTTTTACCAGGCACTAATATGATCTGTACCATATAATCTTCCACAGAATTTCTTCATTGTAATTCTTTAAACACATCTAAGATATATATTTGTCAACAATTGGCAGAGGTACTACTTATTTGCTGGGATATTAGCATCTAGTGGAATCTCTCATGATCTGCCCATGTAGGGTACTAATAGTGAAATTAAGGCACCATGACATAATCGGGGGAATAGAGGATTAGATATTTGGTGATTAGAGGTGTCTTCCCCAAATCTCTCAAATTTCTGAGAATTTTTCTTACCTCCAATTTTAGACTGTCTAGCACTTTTTAGAACTTCCTTCTAAAAAGGACAAAAACTCTACTAATTTAAAATATAGGAAGAGTCATTTGCATGAGCCTGCTTAGTTAACTCCTCCTGATACAATTCCTTTTGTCACTGGATGTTTCTCAGACCAACCAAATTTTAACCATAAAGCAACTCTCAGGACTTCACAGCCGGGCTTGTTGGTTTATGCCGAATTTGTGTAATTGATCCTTTCTTTTCAGAACTGATTTGATTTTTTTTTCAGCACCAAATACCATTAAAAAAAATGTAACTGTGAAATGTGAATTTCTCATTAATTTATATTATAAAGTTAGAGATGAGGAAGTCATAGGCTGTAGCTGTTTTCTTCTGTACCCTCCCTTTCACTCAGGCTATTAAACTCCCCTTAGCTTTACTTCCTCTTTCCCTGACCCAGAGCCCATGCCGGAACATTCAACCACCTTACACCAGTCCCCTCAAACCTCACTACCCATTCTCTTTCTACCTCATGTGCTCTGATATCCCTTAGACTCATATTAATCCAGCAATTTGCTTTATCTCTTCTTACACGCAGGCTGGCAGGCACTGGTGGAGCAAATCATATATTGAAATTTCATAAAATTTTGGCATCTCCAGTTTCAGGAAAGTGCTCACTGCCCCTCTGAAATCCTAGCTAGCTGGCCAGCATTCTCTCCCATTGCCCATAGTATCTGTCCAAAATATTCTCCATTCTCCTCAAGCCCCTAGCCTATTACATTAACAGATAACCCTTCCTCCAGTATGAGCTATGAATATTTTCAACTTCTCATCCCATGTGCATAAATATATTTGTATACGTTACCACCTTTTTGTACTTTCTATCTCAAAGGGAAATATTTCTTCCACTATTTAAGCTTTAAGTTCCATCTCATCTCCATCCATTCATTCATGCATTCAATACATATTTATCAAATATTTATTGTGTAACTGTGCTGGAAGCTTGTGGTACTGTAGTAAGCAAGGCAGATTTGTCCTACCCTCAGAAAATTTTGGATGCAGAAGATAAGGAAATAAGATTGATAGATGAATGCTGTGACAGAAACACAATAATAGAGAATAATAAAAGAATAGTTAATTTTGAGAGGGTAGGCCAGGTGCAGTGGCTCACGCCTGTAAACCCAGCACTTTGGGAGGCTGAGGCGGGTGGATCACAAGGTCAGGAGATCGAGACCATCCTGGCTAATATGGTGAAACCCCGTCTCTACTAAAAATACACAAAAATTAGCCAGGCGTGGTGGCAGGTGCCTGTAGTCCCAGCTACTCAGGAGGCTGAAGTAGGAGAATGGCGTGAACCCGGGAGGCGGAGCCTGCAGTGAGCAGTGATCACGCCACTCCACTCCAGCCCAGACTCTGTCTCAAAAAAAAAAAAAATGTGAAAGCGTTGTCAGAGACGGCATCTCTATGAAGGGAATATTTAAGATAGGAACTAAAGGAATAGAAGCAGCCAGCTGCGAAGACATGGGAAGGGTAGCAAAAATGCTAGAAGTTAAGCAAATAACAAAAGCTGGAGTGTTCTTCAGGGAACTGAAAGAAGGCCAAGGTGGAGTGTGTGAGGGGAGAGTGGAATGACAGGCAGTTGGAAAGTTGAGCAGGGGTCCTATACACTAAAGAATTTGGATTTTTTTCCTTTTCACTTTGTCCCATAGAAATTGACTGAGGATTTTAAACAGAAGAGTGGTGTTGATCTGACAAACTGTGGAAGTAGTGTCCCTTTAGGAGACTCCAGCAATAATCCTGGAGAAAGAGAGTGGATGCTCAAGAGCTAGGGGAGGCAACTGTGGAGGTATAAAGATGTTATAGCTGAGATATCTGTTGGCAACACACAGAATAGAAGTTGATGGATTGATTGTATTTATGGTCAGGAAGAGGGTGAAGTCTAGATGAGAATCCATATTTCTGCAGCAAGGTGGGTGGCGATGCCATTATGAGGGAAATGCAGAGGAGCTGGTTGGGTTGAGTGGGGTGAAGTCAAGGTTTCTGTTTCAGACACATTATGAGTGAGATGCCTGTGAGACATGCAGAGAAGATGTTCAGAAATTGTTTGGATATAAGTTAAGTCTGCAATTCAGATGGGAAATCTGACCTGTATATAAACTATGAAGATATTATCACACTTAAAACTGTGAGCATGATGGGCTCATACAATCATATCACACATAGAAGAAAACAAAGCCCCAGACCCAGCTCTGAGAATCTTGTGTTTCTTAAGAGGAAAGGAAAGCTAAGAAGGAAACTGAAGGTGAAAAGCCAGTGAATGATGGGTGAAAACTAGGAGGGTGTAGTGTCTCATGGGACAAAAAATTAAAAAATAGAGAGTGGCCAAAGGAAACTAGACTTGTTAATTGCATCAACTGCCATTGTAAGGTGGGTTAATATAAAGAGACCTTGCTTCATTGATAATCCTATCAATTACTGATTTTTTTTTCAACTCTCAGCTCTATCTGTACCTACTCTGATGCTCATAAATATGATTCTGTCCATGTCTACTCAACAGAGGAAGGGAGAACAGGGATGACAAATTTTCCTGGTATCCCACCTATCTACCCTCCTATTTCTTTCTTTTCTAGGTTTTCTCCCAAAATTGTCCACAAAATACTATCCTTTCCCTCATTTACCTTTTACTCCTTTTTTAAATAATTTCAACATTTTAGATTCAGGAAGTACATGTACAGGTTTGTTACAGGGTATATTGCATGCTGCTGAGGTTTAGGACACAAATGATTCTGTCACCCAGGTACTGAGCATAGTACTCAACAGTTAGTTTTTCAACTGTTACCCCTCCTTCCTTACCCTCTCTAGTAGTCCCCAGTGTCTATCATTGCCATCTTTATGTCTATGAGTACCCAATGCTTAGCTCCCACCTATAAGTGAGAACACGTGATATTTGGTTTTCTGGTCCTGTGTTAATTTGCTAAGGATAATGTCCTCCAGCTGCATTCATGTTGCTGCTAAGGAAATGATTTTGTTATTTTTTATGGCTTCATAGGATTCCATGATATATATGTATCACATTTTCTTTATCCAATCCACCATTGAGGGGCACCTAGGTTGATTACATGTCTTTGCTATTGTGAATAGTGCTGAATTGTTTTGGTAGAATGACTTATTTTCATTTGGATATATACCTAGTAATTGGATTGCTTGCTCAAATGGTAGTTCTGTGTTAAGTTCTTTGAGATACCTCCAAACTGCCTTCTACAGTGGCTAAACTAATTGGTAGGAACTACATTCCTACCGACAGTATGGAAGTGTATAAGCATTCTCTTTTCTCCACAGCCTTGACAGCATCTGTTGTTTTTTTACTTTTTAATAACTGCCATTCTAACTGGTATGAGATGGTGTCTCATTGTTCATTTACCTTTTACTTTGCAGTTCATTGTGCTCTAGCCCCACCAATTCTCTCGTTGGGAAACTTTAGTCTCATCACTCTGGTCTTTAATGGTCATCACAAGAGATTCTGAGAATTAGAATCTTATTTTGGAGATGTTCCCTTTTTTGCCTTATGAAAAACATTTCAGAGTCTAAAGTTTGTCCAGTTCCAAAATTGTCCTCTAATTGTTGGAATTGTTGGTAATTATGCAACCAAATAGACCAATTTTTTAGTACTTCTTGGAAATCCCTCAATTTATATTCTTTCTTCTTTTTTTCTAATTATCTTTATTTTCTAAAATAGAGTTTCAATATGATAGTTCATAATTTGGTATCACCAATTAACACTTTCGTGGACTTCAATGTGCAAATTCCTCAAACTTAAAAGAAGCTTCAAATTTAGGGAAAAAAAAACAGCATGACTAACAATTCTGTAAATTCAAAATAAACCTACATTTTGTTGAGGGATAGGGAAGCCATTTTAAATTTTTTATTTGAAAACAGCATATTTCTTGCTTTTTTTTTTTTTTTTTTTTTTTTTTTTTGAGACAGATTTTTGCTCTTGTTGCCCAGGCTGGAGTGCAATGGCACAATCTCAGCTCACCGCAACCTCCGCCTCTGGGGTTCAAGCAATTCTCCTACCTCAGCCTTCCAGGTAGCTGGGATTACAAGTACCCGCCACCATGCCAGGGTAATTTTTTGTATTTTTTTTATTATACTTTAATAAATGTTAATAATATACTTTAAACCTGCCCAATGTGCAGGTTTGATACATAGGTATACATGTGCCATGTTGGTTTGCTGCACCCATCAACTCGTCATTTACATTAGGTATTTCTCCTAATGCTATCCCTCCTCCAGCCCCCCACCCCCTAAAAGGCCCCAGTGTGTGATGTTCCCCACCTTGTGTCCAAGTGTTCTCATTGTTCAATTCCCACCTATGAGTGAAAACATGTGGTGTTTGGTTTTCTGTCCTTGTGATAGTTTGCTGAGAATGATGGTTTTCAGCTTCATCCATGTACCTACAAAGGACATGAACTCATCATTTAGGGCTGCATAGTATTCCATGGTGTATATGTGCCATGTTTTCTTAATCCATTCTATCATTGATGGACATTTAGGTTGGTTCCAAGTCTTTACAATCATTAATAGTGCCGCAATAAACAAACGTGTACATGTGTCTTTATAGTAGCAGGATTTATAATCCTTTGGGTATATACCCAGTAATGGGATCACTGGTATTTCTATGGGAATGGTATTTCTAGTTCTAGATCCCTGAGGAATCGCCAGACTGTCTTCCACAATGGTTGAACTAGTTTACAGTCCCACCAACAGTGTAAAAGCCTTCCTATTTCTCCACATCCTCTCCAGCATCTGTTGTTTCCTGACTTTTTAATGATCACCATTCTAACTGGTGTGAGATGGTATCTCTTGTGGTTTTGATTTGCATTTCTCTGATGACCAGTGATGATGAGTATTTCTTCATGTGTCTGTTGGCTGCATAAATGTCTTCTTTTGAGAAGCGTCTGTTGATATTCTTTGCCCACTTTTTGATGGGGTTGTTTGTTTTTTTTCTTGTACATTTGTTTGAGTTCTTTGTAGATTCTGGATATTAGCCCTTTGTCAGATGGGTAGATTGCAAAAATTTTCTCCCATTCTGTAGGCTGCCTGTTCACTCTGATGGTAGTTTCTTTTGCCATGCAGAAGCTCTTTAGTTTAATTAGATCCCATTTGTCTGTTTTGGCTTTTGTTGCCATTGCTTTTGGTGTTTTAGTCATTAAGTCCTTGCCCATGCCTATGTCCTGAATGGTATTGCCTAGATTTACTTCTAGGGTTTTTACGGTTTTAGGTCTAACGTTTAAGTCTTTAATCCATCTTGAATTAATTTTTGTATAAAGTGTAAGGAAGGGATCCAGTTTCAGCTTTCTACATATGGCTAGCCAGTTTTCCCAGCACCATTTATTAAATAGGGTCCTTTCTCCATTTCTTGTTTTTGTCAGGTTTGTCGAAGATCAGATGGTTGTAGATGTGTGGTGTTATTTCTGAGGCCTCTGTTCTGTTCCATTCGTCCATATATCTGTTTTGGTACCAGTACCATGCTGTTTTGGTTACTGCGGCCTTGTAGTATAGTTTGAAGTCAGGTAGCGTGATGCCGCCAGCTTTGTTCTTTTCGCTTGGGATTGTCTTGGCAATGCAGGCTCTTTTTTTGGTTCCATATGAACTTTAAAGGAGTTTTTTCCAATTCTGTGAAGAAAGTCATTGGTAGCTTGATAGGGATGGCACTGAATCTATAAATTACTATGGGCAGTATGGCCATTTTCACTATATTGATTCTTCCTATCCATGAGCATGGAATATTCTTCGATTTGTTTGTGTCCTATTTCATTGAGCAGTGGTTTGTATTTCTCCTTGAAGAGGTCCTCCACATCCCTTGTAAGTTGGATTCCTAGGTATTTTATTCTCATTGTGGCAATTGTGAATCGGAGTTCACTAATGATTTGGCTTTCTGTTTGTCTGCTATTCGTGTATAGGAATGCTTGTGATTTCTGCACATTGATTTTGTATCCTGAGACTTTGCTGAATTTGCTGGTCAGCTTAAGGAGATTTTGGGCTGAAACAATGGAGTTTTTTAAATATACAATCATGTCATCTGCAAACAGGGACAATTTGACTTCTTCTTTTCCTAATTGAATACCCTTTATTTCTTTCTCTTGCCAGATTGCCCTGGCCATTTCAACACTATGTTGAATAGGAGTGGTGAGAGGGGCAACTTGTCTTGTGCCAGTTTTCAAAGGGAATGATTCCAGTTTTTGCCCATTCAGTATGATATTAAGCTGTGGGTTTGTCATAAATAGCTCTTATTATTTTGAGATATGTTCCATCAAAGCCTAGTTTATTGAGAGTTTTTAGCATGAAGGGCTGTTGAATTTTGTCAAAGGCCTTTTCTGCATCTATTCAGATAATCATGTGGTTTTTGTCATTGGTTCTGTTTATGTGACGGATTACATTTATTGATTTGTGTATGTTGAACTAGCCTTTCATCCCAGGGATGAAACCAACTTGATCATGGTGGATAAGCTTTTTGATGTGCCTCTGGATTCAATTTGCCAGTATTTTATTGAGGATTTTCACATTGATGTTCATCAGGGATATTGGTCTAAAATTCTCTTTTTTTGTTGTTGTGTTTCTGCCAGGTTTTGGTATCAGGATGATGCTGGCCTCATAAAATGAGTTAGGGAGGATTCCTGCTTTTTGTATTGATTGGAATAGTTTCAGAAGGAATGGTACCAGCTTCTCTTTGTACCTCTGGTAGAATTCGGCTGTGAATCCATCTGGTCCTGGACTTTTTTTGACTGGTAGGTTATTAATTATTGCCTCAATTTCAGAGCCTGTTATTGGTCTATTCAGGGATTTAACTTCTTCCTGGTTTAGTCTTGGGAGGGTATATGTGTCCAGGAATTTATCCATTTCTTCTAGATTTTCTAGTTTATTTGCATAGAGGTGTTTATAGTATTCTCTGATGGTAGTTTGTATTTCTGTGGGATCAGTGATGATATCCCCTTTATCATTTTTTATTGCATCTATTTGATTCTTCTCTCTTTTCTTATTAGTCTTGTTAGCGGTCTATCAATTTTGTTGATCTTTTCAAAAAACTAGCTCCTGGATTCACTGATTTTTTGAAGGGTTTTTTGTGTCTCTATCTCCTTCAGTTCTGCTCTGATCTTAGTTATTTCTTGCCTTCTGCTAGCTTTTGAATGTGTAAGCTCTTGCTTGTCTAGTTCTTTTAATTTGTGATGTTAGGGTGTCAATTTTAGATCTTTCCTGCTTTCTTTTGTGGGCATTTAGTGCTATAAATTTCCCTCTACACACTGCTTTAAATGTGTCCCAGAGATTCTGGTATGTTGTGTCTTTGTTCTCGTTGGTTTCAAAGAACATCTTTATTTCTGCCTTCATTTCGTTATTTACTCAGTGGTCATTCAGGAGCAGGTTGTTCAGTCTCCATGTAGTTGTGCAGTTTTGAGTAAATTTCTTAATCCTGAGTTCTAATTTGATTGCACTGTGTTCTGAGAGACAGTTTGTTGTGATTTCTGTTATTTTACATTTGCTGAGGAATGCTTTACTTCCAATTATGTGATCAATTTTAGAATAAGTGCGATGTGGTGCTAAGAAGAATATATATTGTTGATTTGGGGTGGAGAGTTCTGTAGATGTCTATTAGGTCTGCTTGGTGCAGAGCTGAGTTCAAGTCCTGGATATCCCTGTTAACCTTCTGTCTCATTGATCTGTCTAATATTGACAGTGGGGCATTAAAGTCTCCCATTATTATTGTGTGGGAGTCTAAGTCTCTTTGTAGATCTCTAAGGATTTGCTTTATGAATCTGGGTGCTCCTGTATTGGGTGCATATATATTTAGGATAGTTAGCTCTTCTTGTTCAACTGATCCCTTTACCATTATGTAATGGCCTTCTTTGTCTCTTTTGATCTTTGTTGGTTTGAAGTCTGTTTTATCAGAGACTAAGATTGCAACCCCTGTTCTTTTTTTGCTTTCCATTTGCCTGGTAGATCCTCCTCCATCCCTTTATTTTGAGCCTATGTGTGTCTCTGCACATGAGATGGGTCTCCTGAATACAGCACACTGATGCGTCTTGACTGTTTATCCAATTTGCCAGACTGTGTCTTTTAATTAGGGCATTTAGCCCATTTACATTTAAGATTGATATTGTTATGTTTGAATTTGATCCTTTCATTATGATGTTAGCTGGTTAGTTTGCCCATTAATTGATGCAGTTTCTTCATAGCATCGATGGTCTTTACAATTTGGTCTGTTTTTGCAGTGGCTGGTACCAGTTGTTTCTTTCCATGTTTAGTGCTTCCTTCAGGAGCTCTTGTAAGGCAGGCCTGGTGGTGACAAAATCTCTCAGCATTTGCTTGTCTATAAAGGATTTTATTTTTCCTTCACTCATGAAGCTTAGTTTGGCTGGATATGAAATTCTGGGTTGAAAGTTCTTTTCTTTAAGAATGTTGAATTTTGGCCCTCACTCTCGTCTGGCTTGTAGAGTTTCTGCCGAGAGATCCACCATTAGTCTGATCGGCTTCCCTTTGTGGGTAAGCCAACCTTTCTATCTGGCTGTCCTTAACATTTTTCCCTTCATTTCAACTTTGGTGAATCTGAAAATTATGTGTCTTGGAGTTGCTCTTCTCATGGAGTATCTTTGTGGTGTTCTCTGTATTTCCTGAATTTGAATGTTGGCTAGGTTGGGGACATTCTCCTGGATAATATCCTGAAGTGTGTTTTCCAACTTGGTTCCATTCTCCCCATCACTTTCAGGTACACTAATCAAACATAGATTTGGTCTTTTCACATAGTCCCATATTTCTTGGAGGCTTTGTTCATTTCTTTTTCCTCTTTTTCCTCTAAACTTGTCTTCTCACCCCATTTCATTAATTTGATCTTCAATCACTGATACCCTTTCTTCCACTTGATTAAATCGGCTATTGAAGCTTGTGCATGCATCACGAAGTTCTCTTGCCATGGTTTTCAGCTCCATCAGGCCATTTCAGGTCTTCTCTACACTGTTTATTCTAGTTAGCCATTCGTCTAGTGTTTTTTCAAGGTTTTTAGCTTCCTTTTGATGGGTTTAAACATGCTCCTTTAGCTCAGAGAAGTTTGTTATTACCGACCTTCTGAAGCCTACTTCTATCAATTTGTCAAAGTCATTCTCCATCCAGCTTTGTTCCATCGCTGGCTAGGAGCTGCAATCCTTTGGAGGAGAAGAGGTGCTCTGGTTTTTAGGATTTTCAGCTTTTCTGCCCTGGTTTCTCCCCATCTTTGTGGTTTTATCTACCTTTGGTCTTTGATGCTGGTGACCTACAGATGGGGTTTTGATGTAGATGTCCTTTTTGTTGATGTTGATGCTATTCCTTTCTGTTTGTTAGTTTTCCTTCTAACAGTCAGGACCCTCAGCTGCAGATCTGTTGGAGTTTGCTGGAGGTCCACTCCAGACCCTGTTTACCTGGGTATCACCAGTGGAGGCTGCAGAACAGCAAATATTGCTGCCTGATCCTTCCTCTGCCTGAAGCTTCGTCCCAGAGGGGCACCCGCCTATATGAGGTGTCTGTCAGCCCCTACTGGGAGGTGTCTCCCAGTTAGGCTACACAGGGGTCAGGGACCCACTTGAGGAGGCAGTCTGTCCATTCTCAGAGCTCAAACGCCGTGCTGGGAGAACCACTGCTCTTTTCAGAGCGGTCAGACAGGGACATTTAAATCTGCAGAAGTTGTCTGCTGCCTTTTGTTCAGCTATGCCCTACTCACAGAGGTGGAGTCTACAGAGGCAGTAGGCCTTGCTGAGCTGCGGTGGGCTCCACCCAGTTTGAGCTGCTTTGTTTACCTACTCAAGCCTCAGCAATGGTGGACGTCCCTCCCCGAGCCAGGCTGCCGCCTCCCAGTTTGATCTCAGACTGCTGTGCTAGCAGTGAGCAAGGTTCCATGGGTGTGGGACCTGCCAAGCCAGGCACAGGAAAGAATCTCTGGGTCTGCCAGTTGCTGAGACTGTGGGAAAAGCACAGTATTTGGGCAGAAGTGTCCCATTTTTTCAGGTGCAATCTGTCACAGCTTCCCTTGGCTAAGAAAGGGAAATCCCCAGACCTTTTGCGCTTCCTGGGTGAGGTGATGCCCCAACCTGCTTTGGCTCACCCTCTGTGGGCTGCACCCACTGTCCAACCACTCTCAATGAGATGAACCAGGTACCTCAGTTGGAAATGCAGAAATAACCCGTCTTCTGTGTCAATCACGCTGGGAGCTGCAGATCGGAGCTGTTCCTATTTGGCCATCTTGGAACAGACCTCAATTTTTTGTATTTTTTAGTAGAGATGGGGTTTCTCCATGTTCGTCAGGCTGGTCTCGAACTCCTGACCTCAGATGATCCACCCACCTTGGCCTCCCAAAGCACTGGCATTACAGGCATGAGCTACCTCACCCAGCCTATTTCTTGCCTTAACTCATTAAGCCCTTGTGTCAGGCTAAAAGACATGGTTCTCCAAAAATATATTTACTTCCTAATTCTCAGAACCTGTGATTATTACCTCACCTGGAAAAACAGTGAATATTACCTTCTGAAGCAAGAGATGTGATGAAGGATCTTGAGAGGAGACATTTACCCTGAATTACCCAGATAAGCCCCAAATGCCCTAAATCACATGTATCCTTATAAAAGAGAGCCAGGCAGAGGTTTCACCCAGAGAGACACAGAGGAGAAAGTGATGTGAAGACAGAGAGAGAGATTTGAGTGATTCAACAAGTCAAAGACTGCCAGCAGAAGCTGAAAGAGGCAAGGAACAGAATGTCCCCTACAACATATGGAGGGACTGAGGTCCTACTGACATCTTGGTTTTAGAATTCTGGACCCCAGAAATGTGACAGAATATGTTACCAAGTTTGTGGTAATTTGTCATGGCAGTCAGAAGAAACTAATATAAATTTTGGTATCAAGGAGTGAGGTGCTGCTATAACAAGTACCCAAAAATACAGAAGTATCATCCAAGGAATAGCCAAGTGATATGGTTTGGATGTTTGTCCCCTTCAAATCTCATGTTGAAATGTGACCTCCAATGTTGGAGGTGAGACTTGGTGGGAGGTACTGGATCACGGAGGCAGATCTATAATGGATGACTTAGTGCCATCCCCTTGGTGATATGTGTGTTCTCCCTCAGTTCATATAAGATTTGGTTGGTTAAAAGTGTCAGAGACCTCACCTTACTGTCTCTTGCTTGCTCTGTCATGTAACATGCCTGCTCCCACTTCGTCTTCTGCCATGGGTAAAAGCTCCCTGAGGCCTCACCAAGAGCTGAGCAGATGGCAGAGCCATGCTTCCTGTACAGCCTGCAGAACCGTGAGCCAATTAAACCTCTTTTCTTTACAAATTAGCTAGTCTCAGGTATTTCTTTCTTTCTTTCTTTCTTTTAGATGAAGTCTCACTCTGTCACCCAGGCTGGAGTACAGCAGTGCGATCTCAGCTCACTGCACACTACAACCTCCACCTCCAGGGTTCAAGCGATTCTCCCTGCCTCAGCCTCCCAAGTAGCTGGGATTACAGGCACCCGCAACGATGCCCAGCTAATTTTTGTATTTTCAGTACAGACTGGATTTCACCATGTTGGCCAGGCTGGTCTTGAACTCCTGACCTCAAGTGATCCACCCACCCCGGCCTCCCAGAGTGCTGGGATTACAGGTGCCCAGCCAGGTGGATTTCTTTGTAGCAACACAAAAATGGCCTAATACACCAAGGAATTCGCTAATAGGTAGAGGCCGGAAGAATTCTGTGAAGCATCATAGAAAAAGCCTAGAATGCCCTGAAGTCACTGTTGGTAGCAATATGAATATCAAGGATGCTGTTGGTGAGGGCTCAGAAGGAAGTGAGCGGCACAGTAGAGAAAGCTCCTATCAAATTGCGCCATGGCATTCCCGCCTGGGTGACAGAGCAAGACTCTATTTCAGAAAAAAAGAAAGAAAGAAAGAAAGCTTCTATCAATCATCTTTGAAAATATGTATGCTATCTTGAGCAGAATGTTGGCAAAAATATGAGCATTGTAAGTACTTCTGGTGCAGGCTTAGAAGGAAATATAGAGCACATGATTGAGAAATGGAAGAAAATGATCCGTGTTACATAGTGGCAGTGAGCTTGGCTTAACTGTGTCCTATAGTCATGTGAAAATTAGCAGAACTTGCCAATGATGAAATCGGATATTTAGCTGAGGAGAGTACCAAGCAAAATGTTGAAGGTGCATACTGATATCTTCTTTCTGTTCAGAGTACAAATGTGAGAGAAAATAGATACATTCAGGAAGGAACTGTTAAGCAGAATTTTCAGTAATTTGTTATGGTGGCCAAAGTAAACTGATAAAGCTCTTAAGTGAAGAGAGGAATATCTTCTCATATTATTCAGAAGTGCTAATGCATGGATCCTTAGTGTAGACTAATATTAGTTTAGACAGTCTGATATTTTAAGTTAGCATTAGATACCTGATCACTACATGAAGATAGTGAATCAAAATGTGTTATTTTAATTCTCTGTCACTTGAACATTTAGGACATGCTCCTATCAGCTGTCAATTTATTTTTTTTAATATTAGCCTCAAATAATAAGAATAAATTAACTTTATCTTGAGCTCAAGTTCTTAAACTCACCAATCAATGATTTGTGAGTCATTCTTTTGTTTGTTGGTGGGTTGGTTTCTTTGTGTTTTCTTTTATTTGTTTGTATTTTAAGACATGGATTCTTGGGCCCTCAGCAAACCTTGTAAATTGATTTTCTGGGGCTGAGGATTGGATATTTATGTTTTTCTAAGGCTTTGTCAATTATTATGATAAACAACCATCTAGGAAACCATTGAAATTATGAAGCACAGCTGGATTTGTCTACCATTTCTTAAGTACCCCCTATGTGTCAGATATATATTAGATGAGTTTTACATAATGTTTATATGTAATCTTATAGGTACATGTTTAATTTCAGCTTTGTAGTTGGCAAATTGAGGTTCAAAGAAGTAGTAAAGCTGTTCCAAATCAGTAATTAGAAAAACTGATATTTGAGCACATATCTATTTCCAAAGCCCATTCTACAAAAAAAACCAGCAGTAAAGTAAAAACATTATTTGTTCATATTTCCTTATATATCCTATCTAGGTGGATGATGTGGGTAAGTCATTTAACTTCCCAAGATTTGAAGAAGTGTATAATAATATGTATCTCAAGCAGTTGTTATGAAGACTGAATTCAATTATGTACAGAATAGCACTTTGGCAACACTAGAGTGTCATGCAAATGTGATTTGCTTTACTATCGTTTTTGCTCTTACCTATTTCTTATTTATGGAATAAGTAAAGTATAACCATGTTATTTGGCAGAAGTGCCAGCTCTCACAAAATGTCGCATCTACTGCCAGCTGCTTCTATTCTTGTGGATCTAAGGCTTCCTCAATGGTTACTTTTGGAGCCAGACTGGATCAGTGTTCGAGTCCCAGCTCTGCCATTTACTAACTGCAGAATCATGGACTAGTCTTTCCATGATTTTGATTATTCACCAATAAAAAGGGAAAGAGATGCTGGTAATTTGAGGTCGACATTGAAATAATATAGAATGCTTATAATATTTATGATCATCATTAATTATCACATTACTGACAGTAGCTGTGTTAGTAAGATGGCAAATACATTTTGTGAGGTTCCACTGGGCACTGCTTATGAAGAGTGGCACAGGCAGGGGGTGAAAGAATGCCAGCAGTGAGGCAGTGTATTCTGCAGGGCATGGGAAAAAACCCAGGCCAGTTGCAACCCACCTGAATACTAACTCCCACTGTAGCCTGGATTGCATTCCTATGCCAGCAAAATGGTTTTTCAACTGTGGCTATTCTGTAGCAGAGTATCAGCAAGGAAGCCCCGGATACGGAAGCTAAAAAGAGTTTAATTATTTGGCACATATATATTATGCCATAAGTACATACACAAGCAGAATGGGAGAAAAGAATAAATCCCATGGCAGTTGGCAGACAGCCAGTTGGAAAGGCAATCATAAACCACTTGGGAACATTAAATAAGTCAGAATGCTATCTTCTAGCATATAATCTAGTAATGATAGCAATAACTACCATTTCATAAATTCCTGTGCCAGGAACCCTGCTAGGCTTTGTATGTACATTATCACTAGGCTACAAAACTCTATTGAATAAGAACCATTTATTACCTCATTCTGCAGATGAGGAAACTGAGGCACAGAGAAGTTAAAGAAGGCATTAATGGTTAAAGACCTGAGAAATATTGGCCATGAGATTTGAAATAGAGTCTAACTACCTGTAAACCCTGTCCTTTCCACTGCAGTGTGATGTCTGCATGGGACATTCTCATGTCTTGCATTTCTAGTCCTTTTATAACAACCACGGTTACGGGTAATTCTTCTGCTTTTTTATTTTGCATGTACCCCTCCCCAAAAAAAGGCACATGATAAATAATAAAATCATCATTGGTATATATAAATAGATGATAGATAGACCAGACAGATCGATGACAGATTAAGTGTGTGTGTATATGCACACCATCGCACTCTGTGACTTTTAAAACTATCTTGTGGATCTCCTTAGCACATCTCTTGTGCTCTGCTTATATTCTGGCCCAGATGTGCAGAGCAGCTAGTTCACAATAACCTCCCAACCACCAGTGTCATCATGTGCTTTGTGGATGAAGTGTGGTCCACTCTCCTGAGATCTGTTCACAGTGTCATCAATCGCTCTCCTCCACACCTCATCAAGGAGATTCTGCTGGTAGATGACTTCAGCACCAAAGGTAAGAAAACCACTCAGGCTATCTCTTGAAATTTCAAAGTTTGGCAGAAGCAAAGTTTAGTAGCAGTTTGGATGGCAAAATTATAGGATAATTTGATGAAGCATAAACATCGTACAAATGCTTTGTTTTACGTGGAGCCTCAGAGACATAAGTCTAAGCATCTATGGACGTTAAAAGTCATCTGGAGCTCTGTTCAGTTAGTTGTCTCAGTTGTAACTCTGCTACCATGTTGGAATGATCTAACTATGGCTCCTTGGAGATGGGCACTTAGAAGTAGTGGAGTTTAGATGTCCTCTACAATTGCACAAATCCCTTTTAATGGAATCACAATTAACGGGAGGCCTTGCCTACTGGTAATAACTAGAGTTACAGTTAGACTCTATGGAAGGCAAAGAAATTAAGATCTTATGGCTTCTTCCTTGAGAGCAAGGCATATGATGTGTTCAGTTAAGTGTTAAGAAGACAAATTGCCAATAGGACAAGAGAGATGAGGTGATTCCAACAAAGTTCAAAACCAGAATCCACCATAGCCTTTATGTTCATTTTTGCTTATTACAGTGAAGAATCTCACTCTTTGGGTTGTCAAATAACCTGTGTATGTAGGTGGTCTGACAGCCACATTACAAATTCCCAAATGGAACCCATTTTTCAGAAAAGTTTAGAAAATAGCAAAGACTTGGCAATGCTAATGGAACAGCTTACCCTTGAGCTGTGACCACAGCAACATGGGAAGTTTCTTTAGCTTCAGAGTTTCTGCCATAATCACACTGAGCTCAAGAAGCTGTGGGATGATAGAGAAAAACTGGCTGAAAAACATAAAATGTGGCCTTGGAAGCATAAACAGGAATAGTACCCAATTAGTAAGTAGATAGGAGTCCCTTTATGAGGGGCAGGTCCAGATTCTGTGGGACCTGAAGCTTATTCAGTTTTCAGGGTCCTGTCTAAGAAAAACTTTCTTAGAAAGTTTTCTGGAAGCCATTCCAACCTAGGATAGCTGTCAATAGCTTGATTACACACAGAAATGACTGTAAGTCACATAAACATAGCTCATAAAGCCCCCGGAAAACTGTTCCTTTAGCTGGATCCCTCCATGGCCATCTAATAAGAGAGAAAAGGTGTAATGGAAGGGGATGTCAGAGTAGAGAATGAAAGGGTCTTATTTGCACACATTGTTTAGCCTCTTCCTTGGGTCATGGAAGGGGCTTTTGCAAGAGGTGGGGCTGAGAGTAGAGGCAGAATTGTGCAGAAGCCTGAGCTACATATATTTTAAGGCAAATCTGCCCCCACCTTGACAAATACTCAGAAAGGTGTGCCCTCCACTACATCACCTTACAACACTGAAAACAAACATTTGGGGTTTGAAAAATCAGACAGCTTTGAATACTGAAACCAGATAGAATCCTTCCAAGAAAATGACATCAGAAAATAAAATTATGACCCAAGGAATAAAATTCAGTGATGATGGTAATGTCATAGTTTTTGGCATTTGACTTTGGGGAGCACTTCTGATACTATCCGGACTTACTTAATTCAAGTATTTCCTGGTTTATCTTTACTCTGATGTAGACTATCTAAAAGATAATTTGGATAAATACATGTCCCAGTTTCCAAAAGTTCGGATTCTTCGCCTCAAAGAGAGACATGGCTTAATAAGGGCCAGGCTGGCAGGAGCACAGAATGCAACAGGTAAGAAGTTACTCATTTTTTTGTTTGTTACATTTTTATTTTAATTTAAAATGTTTCTCAAACATACAGCAAATGTGAAAGACCAGCACAATGATGCCTATATATGCATCACTTAGTTCCATCAATTTTAAACAGTTTTTATAATATGTGCTTTATCATAAACACACATAGACACCTATTGTATATACTTTTTTCCTGAACCTTTGAAAAAGAAGTTACAGACATCATCATACTGCACCCCTAAGTACTTCAGTGGGCAGCTCTGAAGAACAGAAGCATTCTCTTAAATAAGCACAGCTTTCATAACTAAATATAATACCTACTATATGCTCTTTTCAAGTTTTCTCATTGTTCCCAAAATGTTTTTGTTTTTGTTTTTGTTTTTTTGAGACAGAGTCTCGCTCTGTCACCCAGGCTGGAGTGCACTGGTGCCATCTCAGCTCACCACAACCTCCGCCTCCCTCGTTCACACCGTTCTCCTGCCTCAGCCTCCCAAGTAGCTGGGATTACAGGCACCCACCACCATGCCCGGCTAATTTTTTGTATTTTTAATAGAGACGGGGTTTCACTGTGTTAGCCAGGATGGTCTCGACTCCTGAACTCGTGATCCGCCCGCCTCGGCCTCCCAAAGTGCTGGGATTACAGGCCTCAAAATGTTTTTTTAAATTCGGGAACTAATTAAGTTTCATACTCTGCATTTGATACTTTGGTCTTCTTAGTCTGAAAAGTCAACTCCTCACACACTTTGTTTAAATACCAGTGTGTGTGTGTGTGTGTGTGTGTGTGTGTGTGTGTGTGTGTGTATTTTAAGTTCATGCCATTTGTTTGGTACCAGTGACCATGTTCTGAAATTTTTGATTTCCTCTTGTTACCTGCAGGATAAATGTTTTTGGAGTGAAAATATTATATAGAATGCTACTACATAGGTGATAGAAATGGTATACATCTCATCAAGAGGCATATAATATAACATAATATCACCAGTATTGTTGATACTAACTTTGTTAGTTAAGATGTTGACAGCTAAACCTTTACTTTGGGATTAAGAAGTAATTTGTGGAATGACACATTGATCCATGAAAATATTCTGTTTTTCTTACAATGTTTTACCCAATGGTTTTTAGTATCCATTGATCATCCTTGCTTAAATCAATTATTACACTGAGGACTGAAAATTTGCTTTTCTATAATTCATTCTTTTTTATTTAGCTGGCATTCATGTGTAAGGAGAAAATCTCTATCTCTCCCTCTCCTGCTTTCTAACTCTTCCTCCCTTTCCCCTCAATCTCCCTCTCCCCTCCCTCTCATCCCCTCATCGATATGGATTTATGGCTCAGAAATTAAATGTGTATTATATCACCATTATTCTTGTTGGTGTTCAAATTGTCCCAAATTTGACCACTAGGAGCTTCTTCAAGCCTGTGCCCTTTTGACCTGACCCATCAATATTTCAAGATTTCGTAATGTTTTAATTCTATAATCCTCACCCCTCTCTTCTCTGACCCATGTCTATTCTTCCTATGGTTCTTTCTGCCTTCCCCAAAGGCCGTATGCCTTCTTTTCCTCTCCCCTTTTTAGTGTGCAGGTGTTGGTGAGTGAATGAGAAGTGAATCTATTTTATGAGTATTCTAAAAACAACATCAAACATTTGGGTTCATGTTCATACATTTCTATGGAAGGATCTGTGCCCTGTAATACTAGCTGATTTATATGCTAGGTGCCATTCTGAATACTTTGTGTATTAACTGATTGAATCCTCACAATAACTCTATGAGATGAGTACAATCACATCCTCATTCTACATATGAGAATATAGAGGCACAGTGAGGCTGTGCCTTATGCAAGCTCCCCCATCTAGCCAGTGGTAAATCCAAAGCTGGCACCTGAATGCCCTGACCCCAGAGTCCGTCCTCTTATCAACTACACCTTGAGGCCTCTAGACATTTAGCCACCACTCTGGCCCTGTAAGCCCTGCTTTTACAGGTCTCCACCAGCTTAAATTCAAGCATGTTCTGATGGGAAGTTTTCTGCTTACCTGAGTTTAATTTTCTCATAACTGGACCCCATATTTGAAGCTCTTCTCATTTCATTGGTTTGCTAACAAATGTCTTCTCTTTGTAGAGGAAATTTTAAGTAAGCAACAAATACATCACACCAAAATTGGCATTGCAGTGACAGTTAAGATTCTTGATGAGAGACTGCATTCAGAAAAATTTAATGGCATTCCATGCTTAATTTCCTTTGGAAAGTAATTATCTATAAATGACGTAAAAATAGGATACTCAAGAACTAGTTTAAATAGGTAATTTTTGAGCTGAGGTCTGGGTGAAGAATATTCCCAAGCAAATGGAACAAGAAGTACAAATGTCCTAATGAAGAAATGAGCTTGGCATATTCAAGGTAAAGAAATAAGTTCATTTTGACTCATGGGTGCTGACCATGGGGAGAGTCATAAAAGATTCATTTGGGGAGAAAGAAAAAAGCAAATTTTTCTAAAGTTTTGTGCATCACTTAAAGATTGTAGGCATTATTCTCAGTATAAGGTGAAGCCAATGAAGAATATTAAATAGGAACGAAACTGTCTGATGTACATTTTGAAAGCTCATTCTGGCCACTGTGTAGAGAATGGATATTAGGAAGATGAAAAAGGAAGTAGGGAGGCCAGTTAGGAGGCTACTATAGTTGTCCAAGTACCAGGGAGGTGCCAGGGTAAATGGGAGAAATGGTCAGCTTCATCATAGATTGTGCACATGGAACGTATAGGACTTGCCGTCAGATAAGATGTGAAGAGAATAAGAATGACACCAATCAGAAACAAACCCTAGGACTGGTATCTGAACAACTTGGTGGGTGGTAGGCTCAAAACTGGAGGAGCAGGTTTGGAATTGCAGTTGAGTTTTGATTTTGTCCATATAAATTTGAGATGAAAATGAGATATTCATGCACAGAAAGTAGAATACAGAACCAAATATGGGTTACTTATTTAAAAATTTTCTCTCTGCCTGCACGGAGCACAGAGTATGCTAGTAACGGCCTCCAACACAGTCCAAACTATTAGACAACATGGGTGGAGTGTCTTAGAAGGGGTGTTATGAGCTTGATTAAAGCAGTTGCAACTGCTTGCTCAAGTGCTTGCAGTTAACATCCATAATGTAATTTATTTGAATTTAGCAAATCTGAATGTAAATTCAGATTCATTAACAGCCTTGAGAATATTAGCTCAGTAACTGTCAAACCATTTTGACAATGGCTTGTGTAGAAATAAATGTTTCATCACAACTCAGTACATGTGTAATCACACATATAACTACAGTAGACATTTTATCAAATAACATGTGGAATAGATTCTAATACCTTCTTTTCTATGTTATTTATGTTTTAGATCCTAGCCAATCTCAATAAATTGATTTAGTGATTGATTCACTAAGGGAATCTACAGCTCTCAGTTTGAAAAACCCCAGCTAGGTGTATCTTAATTGCTTGCCACTGCCTAGTAGAGTGATGCTTCCCAAACTATCTGAAAAGGAATTTTTTTCCCCTAATTTCCAATTTTTTATTGACCTACCCCTTTGTAAATTATAATCAATATTAATTACCCAAAAAGGAAAGTAGATATATAAAACACAAACCCATTTTTATTACATACAAAATATATATGGCTGGGTGGTGGCTCACTCCTGTAATCCCAACACTTTGGGAGGCCAAGGCAGGCAGATCACCTGAAGTCAGGAGTTCGAGACCAGCCTGCCCAACATGGCAAAACCCTGTCTCTACTAAAAATACAAAAAAATTAGCTGGGAGTGGTGGCAGGTGCCTGTAATCCCAGCTACTCAGGAGGCTGAGGCAGAGAATCTCTTGAACCCGGGAGGCGGAGGTTGCAGTGAGCCAAGATCACACCACTGCACTCCAGCCTGGGCAACAAGAGCAAAATTCTGTCTCAAAAAAAAAAAATGTATATATATATATATATATATATATACATACACAAACACATATATACATATATATGCATATGTATCTACATGTATATAAAAACAGTAAATAAATAATAAATTTATAAATTTGACAAATTGCTATAAAGTTTCAAAATATTTGTTCTCAATTTCTATTGCTATCACCCTGTAGACAGCAGGGTCTGTGGCCTACACTTGGAGCAGCATTAGTGGAGCTTGGGTGCCTGAGAGTTTGGAAAGAAGAAAGGTTTGTCTCGATGTATCCTTGCCCAAGGATACATCCAATGCTGGGAAGTACACCTGTCCCCTGTGGGGAATTCAAGGCAATGCAGGATCAGTTTTAGCAGAGAATGTAATTCAGAGACTGGCATTGAGCAGAGATGGCAGGCGTGGTGGGTCCTCTCAAACTCCCCTGGGTGTGCCACAGCTCTCAAGAGTAGAGATAAGTAAGAGACTAAGGGCCTCCTGAAGAGTTCCTGTAAATTAGAGATCAGCAAAGACAGCAGACAAAAATTTTCTCTAGGATGCCTCGCCAAACAAGGAGTTTAAAGATAAGAATCTGAGTCCAGAATCTGACAGGCCTTGATGCTACTGTTCCCTAAAATTTGCCCTTTAGGACTCAAAGAAAAGGGAAGTAACAGGCAAGGGTGAGATCCAGAGATCCAAAGACATGCAGAAATAGAAGTCAGATGGCCTATTTTGGTCCCAGGGTATTAGGAGGCTCTCTGAAGTTCTGCAAGAGGCTCTCTGAAAGTCTGCAATCATCTACAAAATAATAAGGGGCCAAGCAGTGATCGGCCTTACCATTAGCAATGTCTACTATGCATTCAGTTTCCAGGGCATGTTAGTTCTTCATCTGAATCTAATTCAGGCAAAAAGATTAGGTCCAATCAGTTGCTTGCTGTGAATGAGGAGGTTGAGAGGCCCAAGTAGGATTTTAAAATTGACAGGTAGGCCGGGGCAATGGATCTCTAAGAATTGCCCACTATATGAAGCCAACAGAATTAAAAAGATAGAGTAAATGAGATATCAGGGAAGAAGTAGATCACCCATATCCCTTCCTAGTATGGAACAGACCAAGTGATTTACTGCCCTGCCAAGAGGAGTTACAGTCAGGCAGTAGAGAGTCAAAGTAAATATTAGGTTTTCATTTCCTTCATGACATGGCATTTGGCAAAATTCCTGACATTTCTATGAGCATTCTAAATAATCACTTGGCTAACTTTAAGTAACTGGACAAGTGACATCTAACTCCTAGCAAACTCCAAGGTCTCCTAAAAAGCAACAGTAGACATCTGTCTGCAAACTTTTATAACTTGTATCTGCTGCAGGTAAAAATTTTTTCCTTAGCATTACTTAGGAGGCATTATGTAAAATTAAACGGCACGCCAAGCCAACATCCCTCAAGGAATCCTAGACATAACCATCTAGCATTAACTGGTACAGCAGCAATATTCCAGGCTGGTACACTGGATATAAGTGGGGGTCCATGCTCAACAAGGACCCAAAATTTTTGGCACATTGAACAGTTTTATGTTACCACCCACCCCCCCCCAGATTTTTAAGTTACAAATGAAACCCATCTGTAAACAATCCAGTATTATTGGGACCTATCCTTAGAAAACAGAAAATCCTAACAGGTAGCAATCAAGGTTGGACTAAAATTTTATATTCTTTAACCCGCCTCTCCCTATATCCCCTCTCTCCTACCCTTTCCAAATCTAGTGCTCTGTAGCACTATAGGGTCACTATAGTTAACAATAGTTTATTATATATTTTCAAGTAGCTATCAGAGAGGATTTTGAATGTTCCCAATACAGATAAATGATAAATGTTTGAGGTGATTGATATGCTAATTACCCTGATTTGATCACTACACACTTTATGTATCAAATATCACTATGTACCCCATAAATATATACAATTATTATGTGTCATTTAAAAATTTTAAGTGATTGGGTTGATTATTCTGACAGTAAATTATACTAGCAATTTTTAAAGAATTTAGATATCAGGTAGCTCTTAGAAATATCTTCATAGGGCAAAGCTCAAAAAAGTTAAGTAACTTATCTAACCTGGCTAGGAAAAGCAGAGCTCGGATTGAAGGCTGTTGTATGTAACTTTAATGCTATGCTTATTTCACTGTGCCTCTCCCCTCTCTGAATCAGGAACAGTGCGTACAATGTCCATAGACAATAACCACGCCAATCAGAAATCCCACCAAGAGTCAGCTACGCAGAGAGCTCCCTGTTTTCTCACCTAACATAGTCCTAGGATCTTATTTTAAAACAAAGTGTCTGAAAGTAGAGCAATAGCATGCATGCACAGGAGGATTCTCCTCTTCCCCAAAATAAAACAATATAAAATTCCAGACTATGTTTTGAGCAGATGCTGCTTCCCTTAGGTCCTGGCAGCAAATGAATGAGAATTTTCATAGGGATCTGGGCCAGGTGGGAAGTGAATGCAGGTTTGGGGACCCATCCTGCTGCCACTGGGGACTGAGAAAGATAATCCAGGCCCCTTTGACTTCATAAGGCTGCTATGGGGATAGGGACAGGTGGCGTAGTAAAGAATGCTCTTTAAACTCTAGGTCTGAATGGACCACAAGTAGAAATCGTATTATTATTTTTTTTTTTTGAGACACAGTCTTGCTGTGTCACCAGGCTGGAGTGCAGTGCCGTGATCTCTGCTCACTGCAACCTCCGCCTCCTGGGTTCAAGTGATTCTCCTGCCTAGGCCTCCTGAATAGCTGGGGCTACAGGCACACACACACGCCCGATTGATTTTTGTATTTTTAGTAGAGATGGGGTTTCACCATGTTGGCCAGGATGGCCTTGATCTCTCAGCCTCATGATCCTACCACCTCAGCCTCCCAAAGTGCTGAGATTATAGGCGTGAGCCACCACACCCGGCCAGGAATCTTTTTCTACTACATTGTATACCACTAGCCAAGTGGACTTTAGCAGGCCACGCTTCATACACCTACATGACTCTGTGAGTCTTCCCATGACAGGGGAGACAGCTGTCCCAAAGGTGCCATCCCCAAAGGACACCCTTAGGAGATGGCTTAGTCCTTTTGGGCTGCTATAACAAAATGCCTTAGACTAGATCATTTATAAATAGCATATATTTATTGATCACAGTTTTGGAGGCTGGGAAGTCCAAGATCAAGGCACTAGCAGATTCGGTGTCTAGTGACAGCTCACTGTCTGCTTCAAAGGCGGCACCTTGTTACTGTGACCTTACATGGTGGAAGGGCAAAAGGAGCTCACAAACACTCTCCAGCCTCTTTCATATGAGCACTAATCCTACTTAAGAAGACTCCACCCTCATGATCTTATCACAAAGGCCCCACCTCCTAATACTGTCATCTTAGGGTTAGGTTTCAAAATATGAATTTTGGATTGACACGTACATTCAGACCATGCAGGGGACAATACCCTGTCATTGTCAAACAAGCATTAATGCCCTGAAAATAGGACCCTTCCAGCCTGGTCAGGAGATGAAACTGCTATCTCCAAGAACAGAAGACTACATGGAGCGGGTTTGCTTCTCACAGATGGTTTCACTAAACAGAATCCTCAAGAACACTCCACACCAATACCTTGCCCTCATGCAAAAATGCCATTGTTAACCAAGTAATTAATACGATGCTAAATTCTATTAATTGAGAGGTAGTTTGCAGATTTCAGTGATAATGATCTGTCATCTAGATAACTATCCTCATCTTGTTCTCTAAGCCTTCTCATACCCAAAGCTCTGCCTCCTTCTAGCATTTTTTAAAGAATGTAATCTATGGAATGAGCTACTTATTTTCTAATATCACATTGCTGTTTGTTAGCTGTGCAACCATAGAAAAGTTACCTAGGGTCTTTGTTCTTTAGTTTCCTTGTCTCTTAAGTGGGAATAAAAATTAGTTCTATACTGCAGGGTTGTTGTAAAGACTACATAAAACATGCATGAAGAATGTTTAGAACAGAGACTGGCATAGAACAAGCACTTAGATGATGGTTGCTCTTACAGGTATGTCAAGAGCTGAGCTGAGCACCCAGGTATCAAAGTAGTCAATTAAAATGATAAACCAAAATGAAAGCAGTAGTCAAGCCTTAATCCCTTACTGCAACAGTATCAACAGGAGGCTGAACAGGAGAAGGCACTGGCTCCTCCTATGTTCCATTTTTCCCCCTGGAATGTTGCTGAGTGATGGATCAGAGCAGAACAGAGCAGACAAGAGGGGCATCTCACTGCCTGCCCAAGGAACCCAGCACAAAAGGCTCCTTCTGTTATGTGGCCCTGGGATCCAGAGTAAGAAAGCGAAAGGCTAGGAGTGGGAAAGCACTGAATAGTGAGTCAGAGTCGAGCAAAGTGTCTTCAAGACCCATTCCATCTCCAATAAAGTGGTCCTGGCAGAGGTTTTGGCCTGAATGGAGGCACCTGAGTTAGGAATGCAGACAGGCAGAAGAGCAAGTGCTGCAGCCGAGTGGAGGGTCTGAGACCTGGACCGCAACTCCCTTTAGAGACTTCAACACACTGGCTGGGCACCAAGTCTGAGTGAGAAAGCAGGTTTCCCCCATGAGCCCCAGTAGGTAGAGCCTTTGTATTACCTGTGGTTGGGCCTGAAAGATCACACATAGGATGTGGACCAGGAGCTTATTTCCTGGGTTGTTACACTCTCTCACACACACATCACATCACACCACACACACACACACACACACACACACACACACACACACTTCACTTGTATAAGATCCTCTGGAGCAATGTAGATGCTACTGAGGTTTCAATGGAGAGAGAGAGAGAGAGTGTTACTTCACACAACTAACAGGGAAATAAAAGAGTTCTTAATACTACTTCTGGCCTCCAAGTTTCTTTTCCTTTTTTTTTTCCTCCTCTAAGTCTTTTTAAAAATTGTATAAAATACATAGAATATAAAAATGTACCATCTTAACCATTTTTAAGTGTGCAGGCCCATAGTGTTACATACGTTCACATTGGTGTGCAGTCTCCACGACTCTTTTTACCTTGCAAAAATAAAACTCCATACCCATTAATCAGTAACCTCCCATTCCCCACTCCTGTCTCCTATAACTCTTTTCATTACCTCCTAGCCTTGCTGGTTTGTCCACTTTAATTTCTTTCATCCCTATTGTGTGAAGTAATTTTTCCTCTTCATCATTCCTAAGGCCAAACTTGTCATCTCAGTCTGTCTGCTTCTTAAAAACAAAGTCCCAAATCCTGCACCCCCAGAGTTAATGGGCACACTCTCTCAGAGGGGACTTCAGCAACTACATTTAATACCAAGTATTCTTTTCAGATTCTTTTGCCCATTCTAAATGGCTTATCAATTTTTTCCAAACATAAATTATGTTTGCACCACAGGACTCCTAGGAGCAAAGTTTCTCTCATTTCAGTATGAAATGAAATTATAGTGACCACGAATTCAGAAAAAAAAAAAAAGGTCACTGCATTTATAGCCACATTTCTGGAGCAATCATCAATACCTTTGAACATGAAGTACACACATTCAATATATCGTATTTTCTAAGTTTTTTGTGTGTGTTTGGCCCTCTAGGTGATGTGTTGACATTTTTAGATTCTCATGTGGAATGTAACGTTGGTTGGTTGGAACCTCTTCTGGAAAGAGTTTATTTAAGTAGAAAGAAAGTGGCCTGTCCAGTAATCGAAGTCATCAATGATAAGGATATGAGGTAATATTTACACATTCCACAAGATACTTTCAAGCACATCTTTAATCACAAGCAGCAGAAAGTGCTGAGTATATGCCTAATATGTGTGTTTTTTCAAAATCCAAGACATATACAGTTTATCTACTTAAATAAATGGAAAAACATGGTCGATATCTTGGGATCAGAGTCTGCTGATGCAATAATCTATCTGGTCACTACAAATTCTTAACTCTAAATACCAATAAATCCTAATACTCATGACCTAGTTTTTCCCCTTTATATTTAGCTGAACCCCAAATATTTATTTACCTCAAATTTAGTTCTTATTTCTGTGGGAAGCGTATATGTGCTTTTAAGTTGCTCTTGTATTTTTTTTCTTCAAAACTGGCTAGCATATTGTTATTATAAAAGTATAAGTTAAGCACAAATAAGCCAATCAGTTACTAATGCAAATTGTACTTGTAAACATTCTTGAACTATTATTAAAAGGTGGTGATCTAAACTCATCAAAAGCACTTGTTTCATTCATTTGATTACATCGTGAAGCCAAATCGATAAAGTATATAAAGATGTATATAATCCCAGATAACACTTTGTTTTTCATTTCCTGGATTAGTTACATGACAGTGGATAACTTTCAAAGAGGCATCTTTGTGTGGCCCATGAACTTTGGTTGGAGAACAATTCCTCCAGATGTCATTGCAAAAAACAGAATTAAAGAAACTGATACAATAAGGTAAGTGTGGGAAATTTAAGACTAGAAAGCAGTCATGTATCTTTTTGTAAAAGCATTAAAAAATTCTACAAAACAGCTGTATCTTGTTATTCTATAGAACATTAAGAATCACAGTTCTAGCCAATAGATTACCAAAGCAAACACAGTGTTCTTGAGAAATTCGTTCCCAAAACTCATTCTTCACTGGTCATTTGTACCCTACTCAGGCCTGAACACAGAAAAATTCACTAATGCTATCCTGTCCCCTAGGATTTGCAACCTAAGAAACACAAACTAGCAAAATGTGCTGCATACATACTATACAAACACATGTAATATTAAAGTAAACATAAGTGCAAATTAAAAGTAAATAATGGTAATAGAAATATCATTCTAATGATAGCAATGGTTAGGATTTTCTTTTACAGCCTAATCCTACCCCCTCCATGAGAAAAGTGCCAAATTCTATGAATAAATTTAAAAATTGATTCAGAAGCTGGATATGAATTCAAGTTTGGGCTTTTATTTCCAAGAAACTGCATTGAAGAACACAGCTTAGACTTGAAGCTGAAGTGGAGGCTTCCTATTACTTCTTCAGAATATAAGCCTGCAGCACAAGCATTAAGCCAGCCACAGGAAGAGCTGCAGGGGGCTTAAACTTTCCCTGTTGTAGTGACCACTTAAACAGACACAAGTAAGCCAGCCCCAACAGAAAGCCAAGCCCAGACCGTGCACCGAAGCGTGTTTTCCCCAAACTTACCCCTCAATCAGTCATACCCGCCTTCCTTGCCAGGTGTGATGCCTTCAGAATTATTCCACCAAGCAAAGAAGTGAAGGTTCTACCATTTATTGAGCACTCTGTGCCAGGCACCTAACTCTCTTCCTAACTCTAGGAGGGAGGTGGAAGAATTCACCTTAAAGAGATGGGGAAATTTAGACTTAAAAGCATTAAGTAATTTTCCCAGGAATACGCAGCTAATCAAAGAAGAATTTGAGACTCAAACCCAGAATTACCTGG
Organism: Homo sapiens; assembly: GCF_000001405.40. Classification (NCBI taxonomy): domain Eukaryota; kingdom Metazoa; phylum Chordata; class Mammalia; order Primates; family Hominidae; genus Homo; species Homo sapiens. The sequence goes on from NC_000002.12 coordinate 157,297,511, forward strand.
ATTTAACACTCTTATTCTGAACCTACACCTAAAGAACCTCTGCTCTTTCCATACTCTCATGTTGAGGGCCAATGTAGTGGTTGAGTTCAGACTATATTCAACATAATGTTAGGACGAGAATGCGTTCTGGATAGTCTAGTAGGAAAATTGGAGAGCAGAAAGAAAATGAACATAAATGGTGGCGGAGGGGAGAGAGGTGTGGGACAGGAATTATCTCCCCCTTGAGATCACTGTATACCCTAAGCACAAAGCAGGCTCTCCACAGAAACTACTTTAGCTGGCTGAGTGGTGACCACCATAGGAAGTGATTCCAGTCTTGGCTAACTGCTGACTAAAATGTAGTTTCTATCCTCCATGATCAATATTATTAGTGAAGGTTCTGGAGACAGTTTGAATCTCAACTGTACCACTGAGAAGTGGTATGAGCTTGAAAAGGTTACTTATCATCTTGAGCCTCTGTTTTTTTATTTTTACATAAAGACTCATAAAAGTAGCTGCTACTTCGATTGTTTTAAGAACTGAATCAGATAACATATAAAGTGCTTTGAAAGGTGCTTGCCATATAACACGCTGTCAGTAAAGTTTGTGTGTGGTTGTGAGGCAGGAGAATAGGGTCTGGAGGCAAGAAGCTTAAGGCCAATTCATGCCGACTTCCTAAAGCTGAATCAAGGAAAAACACCAAGGTCTGGGGGCAGGGAATCTAAGGCCAATTCCTGCTGACTTCCCAAACCTGGATCAAAAGGAAAACACCTGGGTCTAGGGGCAGGGGATCTAAGGCCGATTAACACCCACTTCCTAAAGCTAAACCAGAAGGAAAACCCCATTTCCCCACACCCGAGTAACAAAGGATCAACGGCTACTCTCCCTACAGCCCTCCCCTTCCACCACATCTCAGAAGGAAAGGGAGAGTCTCTGCCTTGGACTGGCCAAGCAGGGACCTTCCCTTCATCTGCACAGGGCGCCAATTCACCGCAGCCTTTCATTAGCCAACCAAATCCTCCATCCAGATAAGGGGCAGCTGGTAGGGACCTCGAAAGGAGTACTTGAAACCCAGAAAACTTGGTAACCCGGCCCTTGAACCGTTTGCTCCGGCCCACTCCCACCCTGTGGAGCGCTTTCCCGCTTTAACGAATCCCTGCTTGTGCCGCTTCGTTCATGTGTTTCGTTCCTTTGTTAGTGTGTTTTGTTCAACTCTTTGTTCAAAATACCCAGAACCTGGACAACTCACTCTCACGGCCTTCCTTCCAGTAACGGCTGAGAGGCAGTACAGTGGAGTGAGTGGCACAGCGTCCCCTCAGACTGCCCAGAGCAAACCCAAGGTGTCTACTGTCCTTGGGAAAGTTTCTTACCTTCTCCGTGTTGCCAATTCCTGAGCGCTTGCTTGGAGGTTCTAGTAGAGAGCGCAGCTACTCATATACCCTTGACGGAAGACCGGAAGACCGGAAGACCGGAAGACCAGAAGACCGGAAGACCGGCCCTCCTCTATCAGGGATGGTCGTCCTCTTCCACAGAGCGCGCAGCTTTCGGGAGGGACGCACATGGAGCGGTGAGGGGGGAAGGAGACAGCCGCCTAGCCAGCTAGATCAGCCGAATCAACCCTGGCAATCAATGGGCTGACAGATGTTGCAGCCAGATCGCCCTCACATCCAGTGTTGCAGATTCTTAATAATTGCACACACAAGATTTTTTGTGAAGTCTGGGCTGGAATATATATATAATACTTACAATAGTGCCTGATACTCCCTTAGCCCTGAATAAGTGTTAAAAATAACATTCCTGGACAGTTTGTGTCACAGTATAAAGGACAAATAATACTAGTTCCAGGATGCATCTTTGCTGAACCTAATCTAGCTCTGCCACCATGATCCAGGGATCGCATCACTTAAGCCCTATTTGTGACTCCATCCCAGGGCTTCCCTGCATCAGGTAGCTATTCTGAAAAGCCTCCTACCTCCCGTACAGATGTACAGAGGAACAACTCTAAAAGTCGAGCTTTCATGAGATGCAAGTTTAAAAAACAAACTTTTCTTTTTGTAGGTGCCCTGTCATGGCTGGTGGATTGTTTTCTATTGACAAAAGTTACTTTTTTGAACTTGGAACATACGACCCTGGCCTTGATGTTTGGGGTGGGGAAAATATGGAGCTCTCATTCAAGGTATTACCAGGTGTTTCCCAACTTTTCTTTACGATAATGAGTTAATCAATTTTAAATGGTTTGATTTTACTACCATAATCAGGTATGTGACTGCCACTGAGAGGAAATTTCACAGAAATTTTAGGGTCTCTGGATTAATTTTTTCATATCTCAGATTGAATTTGGAAGAATCAATTGCTGTCATAAAATTTATTAGCATTCCCTAATATTTCACAACACCATTTCTGCTTATAAATATGGGGGAAATGACTTTCTGCCACTCAGAGTAAATGCTGTGGGAGTCATACGTGCTACAAAATAACTCTCCTGGAACATCTGTCTAGAATGTTGGAAGGAATAGACTCAATCTGTAATGGATCATCTTAGAGAACACAAATGACAGAAGTACATTAAAATACCTCTAAAGCAGGTCACCAACAGGTCAGGTGTGCCTTATAGTACAGCTCCTTTGGGCACTTTATACAATCTATTATACAATCATTGATTAACTTCTGAGAAAGCCTTGGCAACAGCAGTAGTAGAGAGTGTCCAAAAAGTAATTGCTTTCCTATTGGGTGGGTGTTCTGTATGTATGTAAAAGGGTGTAATTTTGGAGCTGCTGATCATGAAGGATGGTTTTGAGTTGTGTTCCACAAGCCTTTTGGTTCTTCCCAAAAATGAGAGTAGAGGAACGTGAACAAATGGACATCTATACTTCTTTCCCTGATTCAATCAAAACAAGAACTCATGTTTTACAAAATGGGATTCTGTGAAGATTTATTTACAAATTAAAAAAAACTTACATTGAAAGTTAGGAAAGAAAAAATTACATTTTACTAATCCTAAAATGATCCACAGCAATACACAAAATTAAATAAGCCTGTTGAGTTTGATTTTCTATTGCAAAAGTGTTTTTGAAGTTGAGTATTACTTCAGGTAGGGGGAAACAAGGTGGTTTCTTGTCATTGTTAAGTGCCGATGATTTGTGGATAATCATTTGATAATTGATGCTTATCATCAAATTCTTCCAGGTGTGGATGTGTGGTGGTGAAATTGAGATCATTCCCTGCTCCCGAGTGGGCCATATATTCAGAAATGACAATCCATATTCCTTCCCCAAAGACCGGATGAAGACAGTGGAGCGGAACTTGGTGCGGGTTGCCGAGGTCTGGCTGGATGAGTATAAGGAGCTGTTCTATGGCCACGGAGACCACCTCATCGACCAAGGGCTAGATGTTGGCAACCTCACCCAGCAAAGGGAGCTGCGAAAGAAACTGAAGTGCAAAAGTTTCAAATGGTACTTGGAGAATGTCTTTCCTGACTTAAGGGCTCCCATTGTGAGAGCTAGTGGTGTGGTAAGTTCAAGTGGCAATTTAAAATCTTACTCCATAAAAACAAAACACAAAATCTCTTTCAAAAATGTGTGGAAAGAATGAGTAATTACATTATAAATAAACACCAAGTATGAGCAAAGATGGGACAAAGCATGGCTGAGAATTAAATATAGGTAAACTTGAGGAAGGCTACCAAGTGGTCATGTTCATTGATTAACTCAACAGATATCTATTGAGTATCCGTAGATCTGGGAGTATTTCAGACTTGGATTACAGGGTGATGAATGAAGTAGACTTGGTTCCTTCCTTGTGGAGCTTAATTTGGGTAGAGAAGAAAGATTATAAACAAATAAGCAAGTCAAGTGTAAATACAAAATATAATAGCTCTCATTTAGGGAACAGGCCACAGTTGATGACTCCTCAGTTAGAGTGGCTGAGAAATCCTCTCTGAGAAGGAGACTTTGTAACTCAGGCCTAAAACACTAAGTGTCAGTCAGCCAAGCTCTAAAGAAGAGTGCTAGGCAGAGGGTAAAGGTCACGTAAAGCCCTAAGACAGGTGAGTGTTCTCCATCCAAGCACTGGAAAGAAGACGAATGTTGTCAGGGTGTGAAGGAGGGAAGAATGGCACCAGATGAAGGTGAAGAGGAAGGAAGGAGCCAGATCACACAGGTCCTTGTAAGCAAAGTAAGGATTTTATTTCTTTCCTTCCTTCTTTCCTGCCTTGCTTCCTTCTTTCTTCTGAAAGCAGTGGGAAGTTATTGAGCAGAGTTAAGCAAGGGGGTGATAAGATTTAATTGGGGTTTGTAAAGATTTCAAAGAGGAACTTAAAATAACAGAAAATATCAGAGAATAGCAGATAACATTCCAGGGCATGAAGGATGGTATCCAAAGGGAAGAAGCTAAGCCAGATAAGGTAGCCAGAGTACAAGGCTGAGAAAACATCAAGAAAGAGGAGAAGCTGGGGAAAAGCCATTTCAAACCCCTTCTAGGAGTGAAGCTGCATTTGAAGAGGATGGTAAGACACGTGGGTTTAGATATGATTAGTCAAGCCTTCAGCTGGGGTTCTTAGACAGTCATGCTTATTTCTAATCTTTTATTTCTAATTTAATTTGACTTATAACTAACCCCAGTGTTTTTGTTTTATTTCAGCTTCCTTTTTCTTCATCCAAGAAATTCTTTAAAAATGTGACCATTAGTTATCCCGCCCTTTTAGGCCAAATTTTTTCAGTTCTTCTTGAGAGTGGATTATACCATGCTTTCTGTCTGGAAAATCTCCTGATAGCAAAAACTTACTATAATATTCCCCCTTGAAAGTATTCGGGAAATCCAGGAAAGCTATGAAAGACAAGAAACTAGTCTTAAAAAAATGGTTCTGTTTTTTACAAAATTCAACTGATAAATAAGTTTATGTGACCTGTTTTTAGATAACGCACTGTATTATAAAATTGCCATTTTTATGGGTCCAAATAGAATGGCAGCTACTTTAAGTGGCTCAACCTGGTAACTTATCAGACATTTTGGATTTATATACACTGTTCAAATAACAACATGTCAAATATAACTGTAAAATAAATTTACAATTTTTAATTTCAACCGCTGAGCAGAAAAAAAAAAAAGAAAGGAATTTCCACTATTCTAATATTTCCCATTCCAGCAACGCAGAATCTCAGTCAGAGTAATAATAAGCTTTAACCACCAGAGGGCACTAGAAAACTACCTTTGGGCTCCGCTGTTGCGCTAACCTGAGTGAGTTCCTATGAAATTTCTGGAGAGCTCTCCTAATGAAACAGCCTTCTGCTGATGCCTCCGCTATACTATATCAAAATGCACCAAGTATTTTAAAAAGTGATTTTAACAAATTCCTTCTATTTTCCTTTGTTGTCTTCCTTAAACAAATTTCAGTGAAGATGTAGTTTGCTCCCTTCTGAAGCAAACCAGCAGGGAGCGTTATTAACATTTTTAAAAAATTAGGACCTTTCTCCAGGTAATTTACAACAAATTAAGTAGATCATTATTTTAGATAGACAATCGTGGAAAGTTCCAAGAAAATAAACTCCACAACTTCTTTTTGTTACTTGCTTCGTTTCCCTTCTTTCAACCTCCACTACGGAATTTAGATCCAGTGAAAGTTTTGTGTTTTGTAATAAGAACAAACATTTTCTTATCGAACCAACAATATTTGAAGCTAATAATCTCACCAATAATGTATTTTTCACTGGATTAAACTGCTGGCAAACAGTCTATAGCTCCGTTTCCCTTTTTTCAACCTCCACAAGCAGAAATTTAAATCCAGTGAAAGTTTTGGTTTTTTGTAATAAGAAGAAATATTTTCTTATTGAAACGACAACATTTGAAGCTAATGAAAGAATCTCACCAATAATGTATTTTTACACTGGATTAAACCGCTGGCAAATAGCCTAATGTTTAACAATTCTGTCATAAATTGTGCGGAATGTCTACTTCCTAAATTGGAAAATGAAATAATACAACATGGATAATTTAAAATTCATACACTGCCTATTTTTTTTAAAGATTAAAATGGTTTACAGTAAAAACATGGATCAATTATTTTTAAATAAAAAGGAAAATTCTGAAAACAACTAATAATGAAATGAAGAATAACAATTCCAAAACACTTCAGAGATGATGTCTATATGAAGAAAAGTATTAGGTTGGTGTAAAAGTACCTTCCATGGCAAAAACCTCAATTAAATAGTTTCCTCAGTAATTTCTAAGAAAAAGGAAAAAAAAATCTTCAGGTCAAATGAGGGAGGGACATGTAAGGGACAGAAAAGTTTTATCTTTCCTTCCAATGCTTTTCGGTTCTTGGAAGGATTATACAAAATAGACACAAATAGTTAAACAGGGGGTTCCCAAACACTGTCCTGACCAATGTTACTTGTGCTGTCTCAGGGTTCCATGGTCAAGCACATTTGAGAAACATTTGTACAACATTCTGACAGCAAGCTGAACATTAACACCCTGAAGATTTTGAGAAGTTCTGGAGTAGAACCACCTGTTCGGCTCTGTGGAAACCAGAATTTTCCAAATTTGTTTGAAGATAGAATATTTCTGCATGATCCACAAATACAGGAGCTTACATAATATTTATCTCTGCTTCAGTACAGAGAGCAATTGCAGCATGCTTTCCTTCCTTTAAGCCCCGAGATTATTCTACCTTCATGTCTTTCTATTCACCTTCCTCTCTGAAGTTCAGGGGTGGGACTGTGGGGGCATTGAATCCTTCTGTGCCTTGTGATGCCCACATTTACTAACAGTGAGCTGTCTCCTCCCATATTTGTCATTTTAAATTGCTAATAGAGCTTTCTCTGAGGATTTTTGATAGAGATTCCATCCTTCCATAGTTGCTTTGTTTCTGCCTGTGCCAGGCACCTCAGAAGTAATTAACAACCTGGTACTATTTTTAATGTTTGTTTCTATGCCTTGAAAGTCTGTGATGGTTCCTATCCAAGGCAGGTGGTGTAAATATTCATCTCAAATCCAAATGAAGCCTGGTGTAAAGTTTCAGATTCTCAGGGACAATCCAGCTTCCTTGTTTTCTCCCTTTGCTAATGGGCAAATTGTTTTTCCCAGTGCAGCATTCAACTGAAGATCTGTTTTTCCGCTGTTATGTGGAAGACCTGAATTCCAGATTTTTGGTTTACACATACCTCTGTTTTTCTTCCATCCATATGAGGGAACAAGTCTTTCTTGCCAACCTTTGCAAGTTTCCCTGTAGCCTTTAATTTTTTCCGCATATTCTGATCCCTGAAGATGTCCCTTACTTTCTTGTTCACTAAGCTAAGCATGTAAAATTGAGGACCAATGTACTGAGCCCCCTTTTATGAAGTCTGGCAATTCTGTGAGCATCCAGTCTGCATCAGTGCAGCACCCTGAGTTAGAGCTCTTTGTTAGGCATCATAGAACAGGAAGGACACAAATAGTGTCCCTGGCAACAAAGACTTCAGCTCCTCCCAGCTCAGGAGGCTTTCCCAGGACATGTCCTATAGATTCGGCTCTGCACAGCTGTTCGAGAAATCTGAAAACCCTAAGTTGCACTGTTAACCCATCATCTTGTTAGCCCTGCCCAGGATGTCAAAGGGGGAAAGGAAATCAACATTTTTCTGCATTAAATGGTGACTTAAAGAAAGCTACCTCCATATTTGACCCTGTAAATCCATTAAAAACCTGGGGGCCTGCCAGAAAGTGCCTTTATGCTTGGCTCTGTATTAGCTTTCGTGACTTTCCTATAATGAATTGTAGCTTGCTTGGGTCATTAAGAAGATTCTGACAGGGAATCAGCTGGAATCTGCTGTTCTTTGAAGGACTCAATTTATCTATGATTCAGTGCTTAAGCAGTCAAAAGGCTTGAAGGGGTCAGTCAGGGAACATAGCTCATAACTCTTATAGGTGCATTGACTTTTAGTATATGCATTAGATAAACTTAAGACAAGAAAATAATTACTTTTCTTGCCACCTTTGCTCATTTGTTATTTAGCATTCCAGGCAAGGGTTAATTAAAAGCTTCTGTGTGTTGGCTCTATGGCTGATCACAGGCCAAAATTAACAGATTGAAGCTGTACTATTACAAGATTACATTATGTCTCTGTTAGAGATAGCAACCAATAAAACTGGATAGTGCTAAGTAATGCTAAGCTATTAACTTTTAACCTTATTATAGTTTTATATTCTGTATTTTCTAAATGTGTCTGAATGTCTTGTTTTACTTTAAAATATTTTGTAATTCCTGTTTCGTATTTTGCTTTTTAGCTTATTAATGTGGCTTTGGGTAAATGCATTTCCATTGAAAACACTACAGTCATTCTGGAAGACTGCGATGGGAGCAAAGAGGTATGCTAAACTGTTTTCTATCTCATGGTAGCTGATAGGTGCAGGGTATGACACATTCATTGCTCAACTGAGAAATTCATCTTTGCCCAACAGAAAAATAATTTTCTAAATTTCTTTGTAAAAAGAGAGTCCACCACTAAACACAAAGACAGTGACTAAGGGAATAAAGGTGTGGGTCCTGCAGTCAACTCACTGGGTCCAGAATGAATCCAGTCCTGGCACCATCATTTGCAAAAGCGTGTTAACGTCTGCAGATTCCTTAACCTTTGGGTAAATGGTAGTGATAATCATGCCTACTTTTAGAACTGGTGTGAGGCTGGAGTTAGGTAATACATATGAAGCATGTAGAACAATACCTAATGCTTACTGCTCTGTAAATGTTTGCTGTAATAATAATAAAGATAAAAATGTAAAAAATGCATAACATAGATAAAGATACTAAAGAGACAACATATTTCTAAATAATCATTCTAAGGAAGCAGTCTTATTGTCTGATTCCATTCTTCTTTCCCCTCATTTTCCCGCATTTTAAGGGAGTAATGGAAATAACCAAATCCATGATCCATGGTAGAAACTCCTATAGGAAAACTCCCCAAACTCAGAGCGCAATGGTTAGTAGAGGGAGTCGGGCCAGGAAGCAGGGAATAGAGACTCCTTCCACAGTGCTGGAGGTGAGCTCTGAGTGATTACACTTCCCTCTCTAACATACATTCCTTAACAGTTCTGTGTTTGTGGAAACAGTTATTGGTTTGAGTGGCAAATAGGACTCAGAGGAAAATGGATTCATGAATAGAAATCAGTTCCCAAAATTGCAGATTGTTCTTTGGTACAGAGATTATTTTGCAATGGTAATCTAGGCTTGTTAAGTCTTACATCTTTGCTTTGACTTCAAGATACTGTTTATATTTTTTGGTGCATCCCATCTCTACCTCTTAACTCAGAGCTACTACTAGAAGAAAAGGTATCTCTGTTGCTATATTTAGCTGTGAATTGTAAACCTGAAGCCAAGGCCACTCTTTTTTAATTAGGAAAGAAAGGAGTCAAAGGGAAGTGAAGAAGTGTTAAAACTCATTAAAAGAAATAAATTTCACTTACTAACAAAGAGGAAATAAAGTCATAAATTGTAAAAACAAAACCACAATTATTTCACATTATATGAAAGGAAAGTATTAAATAATGCATTTTTTTTTTTTTAGGAATCATCATAGCAGGGAGTTTTTGTGCCAGAGTAACCAGCATTTTATCTGAAAACCCAAATTCTATTCTTGATGACCATTGAGTCTTTCTCAATTGGATGCTGAGAGGCAAAAGTATAAATTATGCAGGCTTCGACTTCCACAAAGCCCCAGCTCCCTTTTAGTCTTTGTTGCTCATTTTTAGCTTCTGCCTCTTGTGGTTTGCTTGGGTAATAAAAAGTAAAGAAATGTGGAGGAAGTTAACTCATTTTCAGCAGAATTAATGAGGCTTAATACCAAGCCAGTGACTACAACATTCATCCAAAAAGGCTCAGAAAGAATAAGACCCTTAGATTGAATCATCAAGCTCTATCCCTTACCTTACCTAAAAAGTTTCCTTAGTTATTAACCTTTAAAGCAGTTGAAACGTATTTTTTCAAGGTAATATCTAGCTTCTCTTAGTAGCACATAACTTCCTTATATTATGCCATACTTCCATGCTTCCTACATGTTAATGTTCACGTGAATCACCTGGGGAGTTTGTTACACTGCAGATTCTGAATCAGTAGGTCGGTGATGTGGCTGAGACTCCGCACTTCTAAGTAGCTCCCAGCTGATGCGGATGTTGGTCCAAGGACCACCCTTCCAATGGCAAGGTCCAACACAATGACTTTGATCTAACCTGATAATCAAAGTTAAACTTCACTTACAATACAAATGATTCATTAGGTAAAGGCATTTAGATAGATTTTACCAGAAGCCTATTTTTTTCAAATATGTTTATATTAGTACAAAACGATAAATTTCCCACAGACCCAGAGCATTAGAGTAAATTGACCGGGTAGACAATAGTAGGTTGTAAACAACTGAAGAAAAATGTTTCAGAATTAAAAACATGGTTTCATTACCTGAATTGGTACTTATTTTAGACACTGGCAATTTCTCCAAGAGCAGTTTCTATGAACTGGGGGATGCCAACCTGGTAGCAACCTGATGATTCCTCATGCTAGTAGCAAAGAAGGACTTCCACCTTTCCTACAATCGGACAAAGCCTTTATGATGGTTTTATACAAGGAAGCATAAAATCTCCACCCAAGAAATTTAGGGCTATGACTGGTATCTCCCTGTAGCCACCCGTGGCTTAGAACCTTAATCATGTGGTAGACTGAACATTCCAATTCTTTAAGCACCAGGCTTGTCGGGATTCAGAACACTGAAATGACATCCATATGCAGACAGAATTAATTGCACTGAATAATTTTTATTATTGTAACTAACATTTATTGAAGGCTTATTGTGTGCTAAACACTTGACAGTCATTACCCCAACCCTCTGAGATAGATACAATCGCTATCCAACTTAAAAATAATTAGAAAAATAAGATTAGACAGGGTAAATAATATGCCCATACTATCAGAATTACAAATGATAATACCAGGACTTGAATATAAAATGTCAGATCATAGTTCCTATATTCTTAACTGTTGCTAACAAAAATGTTTGACAAAGCCCCTGCCTGTGTTTGCTGCCTGAAGTGACCTCTTTATTCATTTCCCCCACAGCTTCAACAATTTAATTACACCTGGTTAAGACTTATTAAATGTGGAGAATGGTGTATAGCCCCCATCCCTGATAAAGGAGCCGTAAGGCTGCACCCTTGTGATAACAGAAACAAAGGGCTAAAATGGCTGCATAAATCAACATCAGTCTTTCATCCAGAACTGGTAAGCAAAAGATTGGTACCTCTTCTTTACCACAAATTTGACTTTTGATCAAATAGGACATAAAATTCTCATTGTCACCTTCCTCAGTCAGAAGTTTTGTGTGTTTGTGACCATGGGATTATGTAAAAGTTCATTCACAGAGATGCATGGATATCTTTCGAAAGTTGACAAGTCCTTTTTTTTTTATTTTTCAAAATTTATTTCAAATGAGTTATTTTAAATAGAAATCACCAAGTTCTTCTAGTTGCATTGCTATCATTTGCTTCAGTCAATCAACAACACCGAAAGTCAGGCTTAAAGGCTAGAACTGGTCCCCACTGGTCATCAGTAATGCTTATAAGGAGAGGATATGGGCAACACAGGAAGCAGCATGTCTCCTACAAGTCCTGCACTTTAGAGTGAATCTGGTTCCTCATTCTGCCCCCTTTCCATAAGAGACTCTTCCCATCCCCTGTGGTACCCAGAAACCGGGGCTTCTAAGGGTCTGCTGGAGCCAACTCTCACCAGCTCGCTGGAGCCACTTGTGCACACCCTTGCCAGCTTTGCATTTAATCATACCACATTGGTAGCTGGAAACTGGCCATATTGGGAGTATTTATACCACAGAAATTGGAAGATGTTACTGGATCAGGGATACTTTTCTGAAGGTCCAGTTGTTCCATTTACCAGAACATTCCTGGTCTACTGTATTCATTCTCAAAGTCCTCTCCATTTGTCCCAATTACATTTTAACAGAATACGGAGTCATAAGCCTTGGTGTAGGAGCTTGGGATTGGCGAGAATAGTCTCAGAATTGCCTTCTTAAATTTTCTACAATCTCTCCAGCAGGTAGCCACCAAATCTACTGTCTACAGTAAATATTTGGGTATTTGGAGACTCTCAGTTTGTCCTGGGCTATCCCCAAAGTAAGCACCTTTGCTTCCTTTAGGTGCCTCCGTTCCTTTTAACAACACAATGACTATTCTTTTCTCAACATTTTTCTTCCTGCTCAGAGCCAAAACTGGGGCCTGAGTAATGTATTCTCCAACATTTCTCCCATTAGATCTTCTCTGTTGTATTTCAATTCTTTCTGAACAGTTTTTTCTCTTTAGTAATAATGGTTATTATTGAGTTATTCAGAAAGATTAGGAATTATTAGCATATATGCCACTAATTTTATTTTGCATAGTGTTAGGAAATCCATAAACATGCAGTGTAGTGAATAACTTACATCTTACCTTCTCCCTGTGCCAAAGTCAGGAGGGAGGGAAGGAGAAAGGGGGGGATGTGGTAAGGAGAGAGAGAGAGAGTGAGAGAGAGAGAATATGAATAAGAACGAGAACTAAAACACATTCTTCATCTCCAGAATTGAATCTTGGGAAAGAGTTCAAGCATAGCAGTTTCTCTTAAGCGGTAAGCTGATTTGGTAAAGGAGGTAATTTAGTTAAGATAGCAAAAATTAGAAAGCCTTTTCCCTACCTTGTTTGTACCTATGACTTTGGAACATTTTACACAGCTGCCTTCTGTCTTGGGTTTCCCTTTTGATGTTACCAAATGTCCTGGAGATGAATAGCTTGGTGATCAGCTTTCTTCTTTTTTCAGTTTTTCAGTAGTTTTCATGCTATTGCTACTAGGTCTCCCATTATATGTAAGTCTTAAACAACAAGAGAAGTATAAAATGAGACTTCCTTACAAATCCTTGACAATACTCAAGCATCGTATTTCCAAAATCCTGCAAGGGTGACAATACTTTTGTAGCAGCAATCTTTAAAATAAATTATTATGAAAGTCACCCCTGTTTGATAACTTTTTAAAGTTTAAAAACAACATGTGTAATTAAGATTGTCTTTGTCATAGTCATACGTAATTAAGAAAATTTATAGATGAAAAAATATATAAGCCATTAGTAAGGTCTATCTAATTTATCTACCATTTCTAGGATATTCACTAAATATTAAGCAATAATATAACTTTCTTTAATGCTGTTGACTTTTTCCTAATCTGGATTTTGGACATCAGTTATTATGAATTGTCAGAGATTATGGTAAGGAGCTCATAAATAAAATACATCACTTCCAGAATTTTGTAATCCAAACTCACAAAGACACCTACTTTAAAAATTAATTAACTTTTTGTTACGGTATGTATTCTTTCTTTACCATCAATGAAGTAGTTATCATCTATCAAATCCAATAAATGTCATCTGTAATGTTTTCTCTTTAAAGAGTATAGTTCTCAGCCATATCATCAAGAAATTTTTCTTTTGCCTCCTGAGGACTTAAAAGTCTTATAGCTTGGTGGAGGATGATTACTTAGTCTGAGACAGAGACAAATTTAATACTTTTCAAAGTCTGTGTTTATGTTAATAATTTAGTTCAGAAGAATTCTTAAAAATCAAAAATATAACTGCCTGTCCATTTTTTTAATTGATTTTCATTTCTTCATATTGCAGTTATCAAATTCAGCCTGTGGCTCATTCCCAGCTCTTCTTTCTCTCCAGGTGAATCACATTGTTTTTGAAAACAATCAGCAATTATTATGCTTGGAAGGAAATTTTTCTCAAAAGATCCTGAAAGTAGCTGCCTGTGACCCAGTGAAGCCATATCAAAAGTGGAAATTTGAAAAATATTATGAAGCCTGAAGTGTAACTGATGTTTTTATATAGTAAACCCATTAAATACTGTGAAAATAACACTGAACTTGGAAACTATATTTCTCAGCGGTAGTTTAAATTTTCAATTTTAATAACATTTGAATGGAAGATTTTTTATAAATCACAATATTTGGAATACCAAAAGATGACTCAGGAAAACAGTCCAACATTGGACTGAAGTCCTTCTTCGGAACTGGGTGGCCTTTGAATTGCCTGCTTTCCACCCTATGCTAGACCTCATCATGCAAATTTCCCTGTGAAAGCTAACAGGTAACTGGAAATGAAGACAGAAGGACTTGAGAAAGCATGAGGATATTCCCAATGACTATGTTTGGTAATAATCAGCTCTTCTGGCCCACAAGTAGGAATGATCAATGAGAACTTAACTTAGTCCTTTATTTGGGGATTTTTTCATCAAACAAAAATTTCTTGAGTTCTTATGGCTAGAAGACCTCAGATGCCCACAGCTGTCACGTTTGTGAAATCCCTCCAGACTACATGCATGCTTACCTAACAGTTTGAAATAGTATTGATCTACTGCTGGTAACCCTGCTTGATGGCAGCATTTTGATCTAAATTACATAATGGTTTTTCCCAATCTGAATCAGTGGAAAAAAATTTAAGTGAGGAAGAAGAGGCCTTCAAATGCTTATTTAATTCTAGGTATGAACACTATTTCAGTTCATTTTGTGCTTTTAAAACTACAGTTTTAAAGATTTATGATACCAATAACTTCCTAGATTCATGTGGATTTTTTTTAAGGCAATGAAAAAAGGCTGGATTATAACACACTGTAGTAATCAAAAATGCATTTAAGCATTGAATGCACTCTAGTGCAGGGCCAAGTAAGAGGAGTTGAAATGAGTAAAGCAGAAATAGAGCTGCTGAAAGTTTCTTTTATATAAAAATAATAAAATACTACTTTAGATATAGTAGCATTCACAGGGATGAAATATGCGAAAAATGGGTTCTAAAATATTTCAAAGGGAAAATGAAGTGAAGGAAACATCATGAAAGGGGAAAGGAATGAGGTAAACAAGTCTTAGGAAGAGAGTTAAGAAAAAATTCCGCTGGACTTGGCCAAAGAAAGAAGGGGATCTAGTATCTCTATGAAGGAAAAAAGAGTAAAGCCCTCAGTGTGAACCCAGTGAGAACACTGACAAATTTGGGAAAAGTTAAATACTGATTTCATCCAAATAAAGCCTCTAATCTTAAGCATACCAATACTTTGGCATACCAGAAGACACCTTAGAAATCAGGATAGCCTTTGCATTCATTTTGGTAAGAAAACTGATGCTGAGAGGATAAATTACCTAAAAATCTTAAAACCCAGGCAAGTTAGTCAAAGAATCAAGATTAGAATTCAGGTTTCCAGAGACAGGGCTCATTCTAATGCCTCAGGTCACTGGCCCGAACAAATCTGCTTCACAGAATTCCTTAGAAAGAGATACACAATTCTTTGCTGGGATTGGGTCCCTGGAGGACAACCATACTATATTCTTGTTAATATGTTTTTTCTTTTTTTAAATTTAAACTTTTGTTCAGTTGAGATGATTGTGAAACTAGGTATCTTTCATTCTGACTCCTAGTTTAACATTTAATTTTGACTCCCAATGAGTTACGTAAAAGCAAAACTATAACTAAGAATGGGAAAAAGAACTATTTCTGCACATTTGTAACATATTTAAGATGTTTTCTTCATATAATTGAAAACTGCAGATGAGTAAGAGAATGACTAGGAAATGAGATACAGTTATATGACACATAATGATGTTTTAGTCAACAATGAACCACATATTTGACATTGGTCCCAAAAGATTATATTAATAATATGGTATCTTTAGTGTGCTTTTCTATGTTTAGACACACAAATACTCACCATGATGTTACAATAGCCTACAGTGTTCAATACAGTAACATGCACAAGTTTGTAACCTAGGAGCAACAGGGATTCCATATAGCCTAGGTGTGTAGTAGGCTACCTACACCATCTAGGTTTGTGTAAGTACACTCTGATATTCACACAATGATGAAATTGCCTAATGACACATTTCTCAGAATGTATTTGTGTTATTAAATGATGCATGACTCTAATTCTTTTCAAAACAGAGCCATATGGGGCAAGGGGGATGGGGGGACGCAAGTCAGTTGTCAAAAGACTAATTGAGTTACTGACAAACTGAACATGCTAGGTGCCTCATGTAATTCTTCATGTAACTAAAAAATGTTGAGAGGTTTTTTTCCCCCGGGTATATAGGCTCTCTTTTTATCCGAAAATAGTTTCCACAAAGAAGTCAACTCTGTTCTGAAAAAAAATGAATTGCATTTTGAATACACTTATCTTTGGGTATATCAACTAAAGGAAGTTGGATTTTTTTCCTTAACAGAAACTTCTGCAGTCCTCTCAGTTCACATCCTTTCTGACTTTACCCTGACAAACTTATTATATAAAGCTATATTTAAATCTATATTGTCAATATAACAAAGGATTGTTTTTGAACATCACAAATTTGTTCTTGGATAGAATTTTATACATTGCTTTTCATCATATATTTGCTCAGTTACTCTAAGAAGCAAGGAACTGATCACTAGTTGGGAATCTATATGGGCCTAAACTTGAGTGTATTGATTTATTATTACATCTACTACCAACATTTTCTTAAGCATAGCCTTCTAAATTTTTTCAGGAGATTAGAATAAAGGTATACATGCTACTCGGTCTTCTGGTAATTCTAGTGATAAACCTTTGGATGAGACAGGTCCTAATCAGCACTGAATTCTTCAATAGGAGGCTGTGTTACAGGAGCTACAGATTTTTCCCTGGATTAGCTTAGGTCATTGCCTTTACTTTAAAAAAAAAAAAAAAAAGTCTATGCATCTTGTTACCTTGAATACAAGGGTGGTCTTGATAATATTTGACAGCACTAACCAACTTACCAAGCCATCTAAGTGCTTCTGAGACTTTTCAGTTTGCACAATTTCTTTCTCCTTTTCAACAGTTACCCAGCGCTTCTGCCCTACTCTCTTGTAAGCTGACACAGTTGTTGTTGGTACAATCTTGTTCTATCACCAGCATCAAATTTGCTTAATACTGCTTGTTGACATCCCCTCAGCTGTCATTCACAGCAAACCACCATGTGCCATGATCACAATGTATTATTAGCTTCGCCACACTAATTTGGAAACATTCTTTTAGATATTAAAACACCTTACTTCTAGTATTAGTTTGGGACTGCAGAGGGGCAAAGATACCATTTACAGTATATAGGAGTCCAATATTCCCAACCAACCTTGATTTCATGAATGGCTTGTAATTATTTCTAGCAGGCACTCATGCAATAGAATAAGATTGAAACATGCCAGAGAGTACCATCTTTCTTTGTTTTAACATCTCTGATTGAATTCCTATATTCAGAATACAAGAAAAAAAATTTACCAACCAGGCGCAGTGGCTCACACCTGTAATCCTAGCACTTTAGGAGGCCAAGGTGGGTGGATCATGAGGTCAGGAGTTCAAGACCAGCCTGGGCAACATGGTGAAACCCCGTCTCTACTAAAAATACAAAAATTAGCTGGGCATGGTGGTGGGCGCCTGTAATCCCAGCTACCTGGGAGGCTGAAGCAGGAGAATTGCTTGTACCCGGGAGGTGGAGGTTGCAGTGAGCTGAAATTGCGCCACTGCACTCCAGCCTAGACAACAGAGCAAGACTCTATCTCAAAAAATAATAATAATAATTTTTACCTCAGAAGAAAGCCCCAAAATCTTGGATTAAAACAAAAAAATGACATTGGGTGATGGGAAAAAAGAAAGGAACTAATTATCATTGAGTGTGTGTAGGTACTATTTGTGTAGGTGCTATATGTGTCCCATCTCACTGATGGGTACAACTCATCAAATGACTCTCATTCTCCCTGTTATATGAACAAGAAGGATAACTCCCACATACAGATGAGGAATTTGGTAAATTGCCCAAGGTCATCCCACAAGTAAGAGATAAAACCCAGTTTCCATTTTATCTGGCTCAAAAAAAATTTCTCTCACTATACCATGCTGCTATATAATTAATTTTCTTCTTTACAAAGGGCTGTCATCTCAGGTGGGTGCATTTAAAAGTTTCTTGGTCTCAGATTACTGATGCCACAGTATTGAGATGAGATTGAATTAAACCCCTTTGGCCTCTTTTGGATGTTGTATAAACAGAAAAAAGAAGCATGGTCTCTCTCTCTCTGTGGTAACCAATTGATGTGTAGGTATAAACATGGCTACCCCCACATGTTTTGCTGTGATCTATCTCTTTGACTTCATGCAGAACCTATTCTTTTTCATCTCCTGGACCAAATGTGAAAGAAAGAAGTGGACATGTGGAGGATTCTTTCTCTGTGAATAATATTGAAAAAGCTCCATTTTCTGGGGAAATACCCATGGTTCATTGTCTGATGCCAAGAAAGAATTCAGGACACAGACACACATGAGGAGTGGGTTTAGGAGTGGAAAGTTTAATAGATAAAGAAGAGAGTGAGAAAGCTTCCTCATGTTGAGAAAGACAGTTGCTCAAGAGAGGGTTTTCTGGGTTTGGGGCAAGATTTGATTGATTTCATACAGAGGCTTGAGGAGGCGGTGATTGATATACATAGGGCCCGGGGATTGGTTTAACCAGGTATACTACTTACATAGCCGGTGAAAAGACTGGCCCTCCCACCCTAACCTTTTATTATGCAAATGCATCTTCTACCTGGCTGTCACCATGACATTTGCACACGTGGCTTCACTTCACCAGTGCCATGTCACCCACACACCTGGTGACAAGGAAAAGGGAGCAGGAATCACCATATTGAATGTGCCTGGCTTCCAGGTACAGCTGCTAGCTTTACATATGGGAGCCTCTAGCTTGCATATCTATACTTGCAACTTGACTTTTCAGGCTGCTTTTTGTTAGAAAATAAGTGGCTTGGGGGCTGCTTTTTATTAAAGGAAAAATCCACCGAGAACTATTTTACCCTTTCTAATGGCCTAAAATAAATTTTTAATGACTCCTGTATTAATATTACCAACCCTTGATCCCTCCAACCTTTAATCAAAGCTAGCAGATTGCTCATCTTGAACAGAAATAAAAAGTTAAAAAGTTGGAGTCCTTTAAAACACAAACCATGACTTTTTATTCCTACTCATTGTGTAGGTTGTCACTACTGTGCTTTTGCAACAACTTTTGCATGGGTTACTCAATAGTTGCTACAAGACAAAATGCCTTACAATTAGAAAAAAAAATTAACCAGAGATATTGTACAAAATATTTATTTTTTGACAGTTTTGAATAAGCCATATAAAGTATTATATATCCCTAATGAAGCTTAATGGATAGTATTCCAGGTGTTGGTGGTGTCTGTATCTCAAAGAAAGAAAAAAATAACATCACACTAAACAGATTTAATGCCTCTGTTTTCAACCTAATGGAACAATAGTTATCATTTCAATTAGAGTCGCTTTGCAAGTTTATGTGAATCTTTGCTTTGTAAAAACACATACAAAACACAAGGGAAAATTCTCATTTTCCAGCAAATACAGCAACTTCTAATATGCTGTTTCTAATAATGAGTCACCATCAAATAAGTAATAAATATTTTTTTCAAAAACAAGAGCTTTCTGTTTTATTATTGATTGACAGATATTTACCAGTTTAAGGATATTGGTCATAAGCATCTATATAATAAACCCTTTATATTAGATGTTAAATTAAAATTTTTCATAGCATGAATAGATTTTTAAGTGACCACTCAAAAACATAGCAATTTTTGTAAATATACTGTATGTGTGTGTATATATATATATATATATATATATTTTTTTTTTTGATGCTTTGATCTGGAAGAAAGAAATATCAAGAGTTTCTATTCACAACATAAAGAAAATAAAATGTTTTTAGATATTTTTAACTCTTTCAGGTGTATAGCTTTGTCTGCATCTGGCCTTCTGCACAAAAGTATCTCAAGTGAACTTACACTCTGGATACCATTTTCCAAACTTGAAGGAGTAATCAAGTTCTTAATTATCAGGGTGCTTGTTATTTAGTTGAAGATTACACACATGTCTTCTGCTTCAAACAACTACCCCAAATTTGCTAGTTTTATACATATTAGCTTAAAAACAAGAGAAGCCAAAGATTAAGTAAGTGAATTGTGTTAAAGATTGCCTGAAAACATTTGCTAAGGGGAGAATAAAACTAAAACTGTGGAGTATAAAGGATGTTGGAATTAAACATTTTTAAGTACTTTTTCTTTTGCATCTGATCGACTGAAGTTATTATAAAGAAGGAATCAAGTATGTAACTTTAAATTCTAGGTAAACATCCAAATTACTTTCTAAATTCATTTCCAAAATTCTCCTGTGCTGGCAGTTAGCTACTAGAGATCATCATTTGATTTTGTAGTTTGCCATGTTCTGAGTGAGTTCAGCTGCTTACTACTACCCATGTCATTGTGTTTGTATTGATTGCCTGGCTCAGTTATCTCATGTTCTTCATGAACTATATACACATTTTCATTGTCTTTAAACAATACTGAGTTTTGAAGTTAAGTAGAATATTGTAGGGGTTATCAGAAACCCATATTCATTGTGGTATGTTTCTGTCTGATACTTTAATATTGGTAAATATAGTTTTTGACATTGCATTTTACAATCCTATTGTTTTTTAGAGTGATGAAAGTTCAAGTTTTAAGAGAAGTGGTTGCCTTTCTCATACTGTCAAACATATTTCTTCTTTATTATACTCTGGTGCTTTATCCTTCTCCATAATTCTCTATTATTACTTATTTTAAATGTTTTCCCTATCACATTGAAAAACTTAAATGTCCGTTCTCCATTTGAAAATATGCCAAAAGTATGATCCCATGTAAATATGCAGAAACGATTGCTATGAAAATGTCAGCATAGTTTAAATGTATTACTCTGATGATTACAGAGATTTCTTCAAGTTGTTCGTGTTAAGATGCATCTTAAACATGATCTCAGTTCCTTAAAAAATGATAAAAATTTTTCATGTATATTACATATCTACCTACCAGAAATCCTTTTTACAATTTTATATACAATCATTTTAAGACCTTTTTGAAATAAATAATGCAAATGAACTAAAATAAAGTGTTCTCTTGATTTCTGAAGAGGTATTCATTAATTATCATAGTAGCTGCTGATATACAAGGATTCTTTCTAAAGTTTAAAAGGCAGCTAAACAAAATAAAGTCTAGAGACCAGAAATAAAGACACAAACTTTTATTGAGAGTAAGTCAGACACAGCAGTTCTTTATTTAAATTGTGGATAGTTTGGTAGGTAGGGGGAGAGAGAGATGGTAGCAAATTCTGTGCCTTCAATGTAGCATTATATGAAAGGTAGATTTTATATTGGCAGAGAAATAGAGCTATTATTAGTTTCTATTTATCTAGCAACAGAGGAAAACAAAAAATCATGTAAGAAATACCAGCATTTGCACAATAAATTAATTCTCCCTCTTCCCTGGTACCAGAGTCCTTACCACCCCTGAACTTTGAATCACAAAAGCTCAAGTAAACCTTCATGTGTAGCTACCAGTTTGTGTTCTTAATCATGTTCCCCCTGAGTTTCAAATATGTTAAAAATCCCCCATGCAATCTGAATCAGACCTTTGTCTTTCCTAGGTTACAAAGACTCAAATGGCCAACCATCACCATTATGTTACCTGAGGTCACTTAACTCTGTGGCTTTCAACTCTGTGGCTTTCAACTCTGTGGCTTTCGTGTAAGATGGCGGTATAGGGCCATGGACACCAATGCCAAAGAATAGTTTCAGGGTTTTTTTGCAAAAACATTGTGTCATCCATGAACATGAAGCATTTACCAACTAAACATACCCTAAAATAGTTTCTGTTGACTAAATCTTTCATAGTTCATTCATTGTCTGGTGAGAGCACAGAGCTAAGAGGACCAGCGTTAGCATATATTAGAGTCCCTTAAGAGGTACTTGCTTTGCCGTGCCACATAACCATAGGTCACCCACCTCTAGTTCTACAGGAATCCATCATCTCTGTTGGAATAACTCAAAATACAGGCTCTTGATGGTAGGTTAAAAACATGGTCCTGTTATGTGATAGATAACACAATACTGTGTTTTGAAGTTAAGTCGAAAATTGTAGGGGTTATCAGTAACCTAGAAAAGAAAACAGCTTGTCCATGTAGAAAGATTAGAGGATCTAAATTAAATTGGAAATTGTCCTATTGCATCAATCTTCTCCCTAACTTTATCAATAAAGACCTGATTTCCCTCACTTTATTCTGGAAACTGATATTGTAACACATGAAATCCATAGGTTGTATAGAATGAGGGTAACAGAACTTTTATGTTATCTGTTTGAAAGAATGAAAGGAGCACTGTAATCCTGAATTCAAATTGGAGTCTTGTAAACAACTAAATAATAGTATGTGATACTATGGAAATATAATATATGACCCGGAAGGATTAAAGAAGTTGTCATTAGAATATGTGGGATTTATGTTACACATAAATAAGCAGTCATCTAAGAGGACTAACATGGAGTTTTTCACAAAATGAAAAAGAAAGAAACAAAGGGTTGAATAGTACAATGAAGACTGTATTACATTCAGACAATAAGGAATTGTCTTTTTATTTGCAGGGCAAAACAAAATCTTTATCTGTGGTGATAGAAAGTTCAGGGTAATATATATGGAAGCATGAAATGAAAAATTGTGGAACAAACTATCTAAGAATATAAATATAGTCTCTCTTTTCATAAATATTCAATACGTTATTTGACACATTGGTTTGAGTGAAGCTCCACAAGTACAATTTTAAGCATCTTGATTTGGGCTGAGGTCCAGTAAATTATATATTCCCAACAACTATCAGAGCTCTCCCACTAAAAATACATGCTCACGCTCTACTTTGAAAATATTCTAAGATAATTATTTCCATTTTCATAGTAACTAGTACAGTTATGACTAGCATTCTCTCAGGTTTCTAAGGAAAGAAAATTATTCTGAGATACTGTTAATAAGAGAAAATGTGGTAATAGAGAGGGGCATTTTCTTAAAATTGTGCTAAAGCTGTCATTTTTATTTTTAATGACTTTAACTGTGCTAGACAAGATTTTATTTTCAGCCACAGAAATAAAACTATCCAACATAACTCTTTAGTCTGCTGCCCACCAATCTTCTAGCCCCTCCCAGTGTCAACCTCACAATGGGTTTAATTCAGTTTGAAAGCATAAAGGCAACATTTAGCAAACAGAATTATCCTGACTGACAATTGCTCATCTCCCTCTGAGAGAAGATTCAGTGAATGGTAACACCTAGGAAGGAGGGCTATAGAATGTTTTCTCTGTAGATGCCAAGGAAAGCCACTTAACATATTGTTTGGTGATAATAGAAAAGGCACAGAATTTTGGAAGGCTTATTGCCAGAGTCTGCAAAATCAAGTTTAAAAGTAAGAGAGGTTTTAATACCAGACTTTCCATCACTCCAATGTACAGGAAGAAAGATACCAAAAGAAATACCAGAATCATTTCAAATAGTCCCCTCAAATAGTCTCATTTGATGACTACCTTTCCAAGCATTGCTACATTTATAGCCGAATTATGCCAGATTCCCCCAGGGGACTGACTGCTTAGTGCTTATCACACAATGCTATATTAGTGAAGTTTTAAAAGATAAATGCCCAAGAATTTATTTAAAGCTTTTTGATTTGAGGTTATCAGACTGAATTTTTATCTAGGGTTATTTCCACATTATTCTACAGTGAAAAAGAGAGTCAACTTCCACCTCCCTCCAAGTGATAACTCAAATAAGGCATAGAAATATGCACCCTGGGGCAATAGAATTAGCTTTTCCTTTAGTGGGCATGAGAATTTCTCAGTTCCAGTTAGTTTATAAATGCATCATAGACTCGAATTCATCAATTCTTTGCTTGGTATTTCCCTTTCTGATTTTCCGATAGGATATTGTATTGTATCTGGAATAAGCATTTCTGGAGATATCACTCTTCTTCCCTAAGGTTGGCTGCTCATCAGGTGTCACAGCTTGGGAACTGGCACTGCTCAGTGGGGAGTCCTCACTTGCATCACCTTCCTCTTTAAATTGAGAAACCTCTTCATGTTTTTTCTTAAATTCTATCACTCGAACTTCATCTTCATCATTATTGCAATTATCATCATCATCATCATCAATTTCTTCATCCCAAACCTTCTGCTCCTCATCATGTTTAGAATGTAACATGTCAGCTTGGCTAGGTTTTCGAAATCCCAGCCATTCAATTTCAGCTGCCTGGTGACCTTTGTTCTTCCTGTCCTCATCTTCTTCCTCTTTGAGAGGCTGCTCAGTAATCCTCTCCTTCTGTCTTCTTATTTCCTGGTTACTGCCACTCAGAGGAATCTTCTCCCACTGATGCCCTGTAGCAAAATCAATTGGTAGATGAGATGTGTAGAGATTCCAAAATACCCAGCCATTAGTCTGTTATTCTCCAAATAATTTTTCTTGCTAATCACTTCCCAACACATGTTTTATGGGATATGATTCTGTGGGTTACCAATATGTTTTGCACAAACAGGCTACACAGCCAAATTAATTTCAAAAACACTGCATTAAATACAGTTAAATAAGCATCTTCAGAATTTTTACAAGCCTTTGAAATGCTAACGAGTATTGTAAATCTGTAAGAAAGTCAACAACCTAACTTCATTTGTCTATGGAACTCTGTTGTGGACTACTGTATTTAGTGAGACTGGTGTTCCCTGAGACACACTTAAAAAAAAAAATTCTTGTCTAGCCAGTCACAACTGGATACGTGCACATGTAAAAGGAAATGTTTGGACTTATCTT
The DNA here is from genome assembly GCF_000001405.40 of Homo sapiens. NCBI lineage: Eukaryota > Metazoa > Chordata > Mammalia > Primates > Hominidae > Homo > Homo sapiens. Next base: position 157,322,222 of record NC_000002.12, read on the forward strand.
TTTCTCACACATACACACACACACGCACACACACACACACACACACACACACCTCAAGGAAAATTAGAAAAATACTTCAGAAAGAAAAAAATGCTCGTTTCCAATACTGAAAATGATGACTGTCCATGTCTGGTCACTTTTCAAACAGCTAGATCATACCAACATACCCTCAACAATATTTATTGAATATGGTAAGAATTAATTATAAGGAAGCTGAGGTTGTTCTCTGAGCCTTCAGCCCTGCAAGGCTTCTGTGGGAAGTTTCAGTCTGTGGTGTACACAACTCAGAAATCTGTCTGGGTTACACCCCTTGTCAGGCCTGAGTTCACCATTTTCTTTTGACACCGTGAGAGTCTATAAGTAAGGTGAGAGGCAATGTTCCTCTTTGTCTTTTTCCTCCACAATATTCTACTCTCTCCGAAAGATGTTCACAATTCCATTTTCATCCAAGGTGTTCAGTTCTCTTATTTTTTTGTTGTTTTCTCACTCTAGGGAATACATAGTAAACTTACAGAGATAGAAGTAAAGATGGGTGATCACCCTAATTTGTTACACACAGCTGCTATCAGGTCGCTAGTGTCCCGTCAATGTTCCTAACATTATCCATAAATACACATTAGAATGTTTGCCATAATCTTATGCTTTGTTTTATTTTGTTTTCCACAAGAACCAAAGTAAGTGATATTTTGTTTATATTCATGACTCAGCCATGAGATTGTCACATATAAAATTACTCCTTGAATTTAAATTATAGTTTTTCCTCAATATTTTTAGCATCTTTATATGTTTTAATCCAGTAACATTCTTTTTGAAGATTTTATAGCTGTTTGCCACTGTGAAGATAAAACACACCAAAATCTGTGCCTCTATTATGGAGGAAAAACATACTCCATCAAACAGGAAAGGATTCATTGAGGGAAAACTTAACCAGCGAGACCATCTAGCTGAAAACTACAGCCTGCTTTCATTCTCCATTTGATGAAAATGAAAGATCTAGACAACTGTTACCTGCAATGGACTCCTGATCAAACATTTGAAAGGGGCTCTAGATGATAGGAGGTTGAGATTCTGCCTCTGAGAACTTGTTACATTGGAAGCAGAATAATTAGGGCAAAGAGGTTATTAAGTTCATATTGTGAAGTCTTAAGTCTTAAAAATTATCTCTGGTAATGTGACAGCTTGACACTGTCTATTGCTTGCTACATATTTCCTTAAGTGTTGCTACACTGCTAAGCAGACATAGTATGAGAGGTGTTCAGGCAAAGGGAGCAGATGTAGGAAATAGCCAATCACATTCCTGTCCTCCTTGACATCTACTATTTTATGTGATGTTCTAATATTTCAACCAATAGTCTCTTCAATATTTTGCCTGTTAAAGTCCTAACAAAGCTAAATTGGTTAGGTTTAGCAAGCTGACTTCAATTTGACATAAGATGTGTATGGCTGCAAGAGAGGAAAGAAATGATTAATTAATAGATTTTATCCTACACTTTATTTGGGAACTGTTTAAATGTAGGTGTCTTAGAAAAATCTAAAGGATTTTGTGTCTCTTAGTCTATTAAGTTTATTTAAAATTTAACATAATCACTTCAATGTTCTTTTTATTCTTCCATTTTCTTAAAGAACACAATTAAAATTAACTTTATCACCCTGTCTTTCTTTGACATGAAATAGTTAACAATTTTGTATTTACATTAGAGGCCTATAAAGTAAATCATTTCGTGAGATTACTTTAAACTGTATGTTGGCCGGGCACAGTGGCTCACGCCTGTAACCCCAGCACTTTGGGAGGCCAAGGCAGGTGGATCAACTGAGGTCAGGAGTTCAAGACCAGCCTGGCCAACATGGTGAAACTCCGTCTCTACTAAAAATACACACACACACACACACACACACACAAAATAGCTGGGCGTGGTGTCAGGTGCCTGTAATCCCAGTTACTCAGGAAGCTGAGGCAGGAGAATCGCTTGAACCCTGGAGACAGAGGTTGCAGTCTGCCGAGATTGCACCATTGCACTCCAGCCTGGGCAACAAGAGTGACACTCCGTCTCAAAAAAAAAAAAAAAAGCTGTATGTTAATTGTAGACTTTTAGGAAAGACCCGTTTTTGAAACATTTACCTTTCACAAGGTGCACACACAGATTTGGACACACCAAATCAAAAAGTAGGGTTGACTCAGTGGACTAACTTAAGAGATAGACATCACGTTGGTATGCCAATCAGCTATGCCATTCCATGCAGCCTCAGCCTTGAACAGTCTGGAATGCTTTATAAGGTGGAACCCACAGATAAGTTAAGACTCTCTTATCTGCCTACAGCAGCTTTGAAAATTTGAAGTCATTGCCTGGATTGCTTTGTCAACCCCACGCTCATGCAACATTTCATGGAAAGACTGTCATCCATACTCAGTCAAACAATTTCTGTGTACAAAACTGTAGTTCTTGTTACCTTCTCTGAATGTCATTTCATCAGCACTAGTTTCTTGGAGAGAAAGATCTGTGATAGCCTTATGAACAATAAAGAGTTTCTCTTCTGGGTTTTCTAGGAAAAAAATATAAAATCAGTATTTTAACATTTAAAATATTTATTGTTCAACAGTTAATAAGTTATCAATTTAAACTCTAGGTAGAAGTCTTTAATTTTAAATCTGATCATTAAAATTTACTATTTCACTCTTTGGATTCATTCTTTATCAATTCAATTTATTTACTTAATGATCACTTTATTGATTGTAATCTCTCCTTTAATATTTATATAAGATATATATATAAGATATAGAACCATAAATTCAGAGAACTTCAGTTATATTTAGAAGGAAATTTTAACATTTTGAATTCTCTTTGTTCAAATAATATGGGGCTGTCCATAATCATAATAAATACAGTAGTTAACATTTAGCCAATACTTACCCTAGACTTGTAGTTATTATTATTATTCCGCCTTCTTCTAGTGAAAAAAACTCAGGCTTCGGGAGACAGAAAGTTGTCTGGGGTCACAGCTGTCAAATAGACCAGCCTGGATTTCACCAGAGGCAGAGGTTTAGTCCTTATACTATGCGTAGTAGAATAAAGGGCTACATTTTTGGGGTGTCCAGCTCATTTCGATAATAGTTTATCAAAAAAATCCAGGGTAAATTTATAAGTCAAAACAAGAAAATTAAGGAGAAGGGAAACACTTTACCTTTTAGCATTTTGTCCTCCATGGATGAGTTGAGCAGCATGTTCCCTTGTAATTTTCTTCTTTCCTCCTGACTTCCTTTGGTGAGTGCACCTTCCAGACTGGGTTCTACCCTGTAGTGTGGCAGGGGGCTGTCCACATCAGTCAATTCCTCACTGATTTTAGTGATTGTTTGTTGACCGTTTTCAGGTGGTTTATCCCCATTACACTCAGCCTGGGTAAATGTAGCCGGAACATCTGTCATGATGTGCGGTTGAATCCGATCTGGAGAGAGAGCTTTAGGGAAACTGAGTGAGTAGATCCTTGATAAGATACCTGCTCTTGCCTTCAAGTCCTATAGTTCCAACTCCTACTCTAAGAGCACAAATTATTCACTTTAGTACATAATAACAAGGTTCTTTTCCTAAAAGTATCCAGACAGAGATTAGAGCAAAAGCAAGAGGATTTGTCAGATCTGCCAGGAGCCATGAGCAAGAATCCAGCCAATCACCACCTTCTTTGTTGCTTGCCAGTTCCCTGGCAGAGTTAAAGGCATCCTTTTGATTTACATAAACAAACAATCTGAAGCAATCAGGCTTTTGTGTTGGCATGTAGAGAGGGACTTTCAGCTTGTCAGTCCCCCTCTGGGAACAGAGATTTTTGTCCCTTTTCATAATGGCCCATTGTAATTTTCCCTGTAACAGGAGCCACAATTGTCCCACAGCTTTAATCCAGAGAGAATGACCACCTTGAGGCATATTAGTTCTGTGTAACCAGCTTAACATTTCCAAACAGATTTTGTTCAAGTAAAACCTCAGCTATTTTGTAAAGGACAATGGCATTGTTTCTTATTTATTAAAAAATAAAACAGCTTATGGAAAAAACCTATAAACAGGACAACTTTACTGTAAATGGTTCTGGCTGCAGATTTGATGGTGTGCTTCCAGCAGGCTGGAGAAGGGACCTATGAAATAAACAAATTCTACCAACTTGCTAATACCAAAAGTTTTATAATTTCAGAGTAATTTACTTAGTCTATAGCTTCTTATCCTCTAGTTTATGTCTGCTGAAGCCCAGCCGATCCTTTAAAACCCTAATAAAATTATCGCCATGAAGGTTTCTCCTCCCCCAATCAGAATTACAATCCTTTCTATTCCATACTGATATTACACAATGCTGGTAAAATGTAGAGGACCAATGCAATCTGCCCTTGGGAGAAACAGGTGATTATGTTAAATGACTGCTACTGACCACCCCTTCCTTTTTAAATCTTTTTCTTTTTTGGATTTCTCATAGTACAAAATGGTTCCAGAGCCTTTGCCCACACAGCTCCTTCTATGTGAAATGCCCTTCTCTTCCTCAAGCCCAAGCCCTGGGCTGACCAGCTTCCCTAAGTTCTGTTTTTAAGCTTAAATATCATCTCCTTAACTACACTATCTCTAACCGCCAGGATTAGGACAGGACTCTGTTACACATTGTCTTTGCCCTTCAGAGTATTCTTCATGGTTGTAACTAAATAAGCAACTGCACAATTATCTCTGTAATGTCTGTTTCACCAACTGCAAACTAAGTTTCATCTGGCGAGGGGCCAGTTTAACTTGCTTACATGTGTCCCCAGCACTTAGCATCTGGCTTGGAATAGTAGCACGCAATAAAAATAATTATATATATACACATATATACACAAATAATTATATATATACACATACATAACAAGAATTATATTATATATATAATATATACAATAAATTTTATCCCCAAGAGAATAAATTTCAGATCATTTTTAAAGAGAAGAAGAATAGGTGTTGAAGAGTTGTAGTAAGCATATCACCTTTAAAAGTGTGTCTAGGGCTGAGCCCATTCAGGTCTATATCAGGGACAACACCTCACTCTTGTATAATCCCCTCTCCCTTGTCCTTGGAAGACATCTCTAATAGATCCTAGATCTCCCTCCCGCGTCATCACCAGCTGTTCTCTAGTCAGCACTCTAATTCTATGTTTGTTTGATTGTTTAACTGTTTTAACAAACGCTCATATCACACTTATTATGTGCAAGCTACTGTCCTAATTGACTCATAAATAGTAATACACTTACTCTTCATAACAGTCTTCTGAGGTAGGTGCTGTTGTTATCTCCATTTTATAGACTAGAAAAATGAAGTGCAGAGAGATTAAGGAGTTCAGCTAGTAAGGTCACAGAGCCAGCAAGCCTACTGATGAGAGTTTGCAGCACAGATGAAGCTAAGCGCCATCCCTGGCCTGTGTGCAGATGTTTCCTTGGACCAGAGATCCCACAGGGGTTCGGCATTAGCACCTTGGCAGTAGAGACAGTTGTGGCCAGGAGAGGGCAGCAGAGAGCCTAAGGCAGTCTCAAGACCTGCCCCAGAGACACCCTGCAGCTGCTGAGGATGATGTTCTGGGAGCGTCCTCCCAAGAAATTCAACTACAAGCTTACTGTTGAGAAGATATTGAGTGGAATCATATGGGAGAATGCAGAAACTAAGACCAAGCTTAGGAACAAATGGGGACATACTAGATTGTGAGATCCTTAGGGCAGGAAGTGGCACTAATTCAACCAAATGCCCTGCGATAAACACAGGAGTACAGAAATACATTAGCTCCAAAGGTCATGCCTCCAATCACTCCGTTCCCTCGGGGCTGCCAAGTACCTCAATCCAGGGACATAGCAAAGTTGAGACAGTTCAGATTCATTGTCTCTCCTACTCCTAGATTTCTATTACCCCATGGCAACGGGCACCTCATACCCATAGCCTAGCTTTTATGGGAATTCGTGTCTTTATTTTTGGATTGCCTTCTTTCTAAAACCATGCTGTGACATTTTTTATGGCCTTAAAATTATTTCAGTTTTGGAAAGATAGAGAAATGATCCAGAGTTCTGTCATCCTTGGCTAACCATGTGTTTACATTTATTTAAAAACATGCTTTTATGCTGCCCTAGGGAATAATGGAGGTCGGGTAAATGGTTTGTAACGTGTATTATTTTTTCCTACAAGTAGACGGCAACATGAGACACATTTAGCAACAAGATGAGTCTATCCAACTACTAGATAAAACATAGGCTATTTTGTTCATAAAGAGGTAAGTTGTCTCCCATTATTTGTAACAACCTATGACTTAGAAAGTATGTTAGAATTTGCACTATCATCCTTACTTCAAATACAATTGCAGAATGTTCACTGTATGAAACATGACTGTTTTATTTTATGTAGTTTACTGGATCTTGTGGCTTTTTCCTTAGAAGAATTTCGCTCTTGTCACCTAGGCTGGAGTACAGTGGCACAATCTCGGCTCACTGCAACCTCTGCCTCCCAGGTTCAAGAGATTCTCCTGCCTCAGCCTCCTGAGTAGCTGGGATTACAGGCATGCGCCTTGATGCCTGGCTAATTTTTGTATTTTTAGTAGCGGGGAGGATTTCTCCATGTTGGTCAGGCTGGTCTCGAACTCCTGGCCTCAGGTGATCCACCCGCCTTGGCCTCCCAAAGTGCTGGGATTACAGGCATAAAGCACTACACCTGGCCCCTAGTTATTATTCTTAATGCTAAAGGACATTGTACAAATGTAACCATTATTAAATCTAAAGCCAAAAAAAAGGTAATGAAAAGATTTTCATATAAGAATATAAAGAATCAAAATAAAATTATGTAAATATTCACTTTCCATTTGTCCAATACCAAATGCTTAATGTTAAGGCTATCTTAGGTCCAGAATCAGGATTTGGGGAAAAGTCATAAAATCTTGATCTTTAATCTTAATCATATGTGAAAAGCCAAGCCACAAGCTAATGTTATGGCTAAGAGATGGTCACAGAGCACTGAATAAAAACAAGAAATACATTTAAAAGAAAAATGTTGATCCTGGCAGCTTGAAGCCAATCTTAAACAAACATTGACTTACATAGTTGGGACAGGGGTATTGTTTCAATTAGGGTTGGAAGGGAAAGGCAGAACCACTAAGAGATGGAGCAATCCATCTATCAATCGATCAATTGATTGATCAATCAGAAGGGATTTGACTTTACACAATGGTGGGTGCCAGTGAAGCTGCCTCTATATGTCTGCTGTTGCATTTGATGCTGGAGCCTGAAGTCTGCAGGGCAGGAAGTTGGGAAGGGATGATGGATAGAAACTTAAAGGGGGAGAGCAAGAACAAACTGGGTTCCCAGGTATAAGCTGGACACACGGGGGCAAACTGAAACCCGCGTCGGCTCTCAGTGCCTCTGACCTTAGCGGTTGGAATGCCCTCCCAAAGAAGCCCGGCCCAGGATCATAGAAGCTGGAGGAAGATCCAGGGAGGTGGAACAGTTGCAGGCCCAGCTGCTGCCCATGCACCAGGTGAGGCAGCAGACGGGCAGCAGTGTGTGCCAGCTACAAAATAGCTGCTTCACTTCCGCCCCACCAAGCTCACAGAACAATGTTTACTTTGGCTCACGTTTCTTTTTCAGGAATCATTCAGGAAAGAAAATTCAGGGAAATTTAGTTTAGCCTAGTCAGACTGACATACAACAGTCACAATCCTACCAATAACCCATAGAATTTTCTATAAGGAATAGAGCAATGACCCAGGGAATGTGCAACCCTAAACAAGCCTGAAGAGACAGGATCATCCCAATTGGTTCACTTCAGGGATTAAAATTCCAAATTGAAGGGCCGTCCCAGCTAAAGTGAACTGTTACAGAAATACAGACTATCATAACACAACAAAATCAATCAACAGCCATATATTTTATTTCACAAAACAATAATTGCCTGCCACCTGGTATAAATCAGATTAAATTGATTATCGTGTGCCATGTTCATGCTTTCCTTTTACTTTTATGCCAAGAATGGAATAATGGCTGCCATTCTAATGATACAGTTTCCTGAAGTAAATAATGGTTTATCCCAGGAAACCAATACTGAAGTCTATGGGTAGCTCATGAGTATTAAGGGTTTAATGTAACAGAATTTCAAAATTTAACTGCATCTTACAAGAAGCATGCTTTTCAATGTTGGAGGCAGGGGAGGGGATAATTATCTGTTCTCCCTCTAAATATAAAATATTTCTTACACCTTAGGAAAGGTATATCTCTGTGGCTCTAGCATCTAGAGCCTGGCCTTCTAGTGATCCAGTGAATATCATTTTAAAGAAAAGCACTGGAAGAAACAGGCTGAGTATTTGGTGAGGATTAGAGAAGAGTGTGGCCCTGAACATAGGACCCTGTGGCCAACATGGGCTGAAGTGGAGGCTGGGAGGGAGAGTGCTGACAGTTAAGAGTCCCCTTCAAATAGAGGACAAATGAGCATTCTCATCAGTGACCCTCATAGGGTAAAGAGGAGAGATTCAGCCTGCTCCTGTGTGACCTTGGGCAAGTGTACAAATCAGGCATGTTTGGGTTAGAGATTACAGAAACCTAATTCAAAGAATCATAAACTGAATTCAATAGCTAATTTGACTGGTAAATTCAGAATTGGCTTTGTACTTGTTTGGATCCAAAGATTTAAACAAGGTCAGGCTCCATGGTTCACAACTGTAATCCCAACACTTTGGGAGGCCAAGGTGGGTGGATCACCTGAGGTCAGGAGTTCAAGACCAGCCTGGCCAACATGATAAAACCCCACCTCTACTAAAAATACAAAATTTAGCTGGGAGTGGTGGCACGTGCCTGTAATTCCAACTACTCAGGAGGCTGAGAGGGGAGAATAGCTTGAACCTGGGTGGTAGAGGTTGCAGTGAGCTGAGATTGTGTCACTGCACTCCAGCCTGGGCAACAGAGTGAGACTCCATCTCAAAACAAAACAAAAACAAAGATTTAAACAATGTACCAGGTAACCAGTCTCTTTTGATCACAAGGAAAGTGCATATTAGGAGGTACCTGGGTGGATCTGAGGGTCCCTAATGCCTCTAGCTGACTGTTGTGGGCTAAATGATGACCACCCTCAAAGATGTCCACATCCTAATCCCCAGAACCTGTGAATTGTTACCTTACCTGGTAAAAGCGACTTTGCAAATGGGATTAATTAAATTAAGGACGGGGAGATTATCCTGGATTATAGGATGGGATCCAATGTAATAATCACAAGAGTTCTAATAAGAGGGAGGCAGGAAAGTCAAAGAGAGTAGTAGAAAATGTGACACAGAAGCAAGACGTTGTAGTAATTCGAGAAGTGGTCATGTGCTAACAAATGTGAGCAGCCTCTGGAACAGGCGTGTCCAATCTTTTTGCTTCCCTGGGCCACACTGGAAGAAGGAGGATTGTCTTGGGGCACACATAAAATACACTAATGCTAGCTGATGAGTGAGAGAAAAATAATACACTAATGCTAGCTGATGAGTGAGAGAAAAAATTTTGTGTTTTAAGAAAGCTTATGAATCTGTGTTGGGTTACATTCAAAGCTGTCCTGGGCTGCATGCAGCCTGCAGGCAATGAGTTGGACAAGCTTTGCTCTAGAAACCAAAAAAGGCAAGGAAATGTTTTCCTCTGAAGCCTCTGTGTGGAGTGCAGCCCTGCCAACACCTTGATTTTAGACTTCTCACCTCCAGAACTGAATGGGGTGGTGCTGCTTTTAAGTCATGAAATCTGTGGTAATTTGTTACAGTAGTAATAAGAAAGTAATTACTAGTTTCCTGCTTCTCTGCCTTCATTTTCTTTTTCTTTTTCTTTTTTTTTTTTTTTTTTTTTTGAGACAGAGTGCTGTGGTGAGATCTCGGCTCACTGCAACCTTTGCCTCCCAGGTTCAAGAAGTTCTCCTGCCTCAGCCTGCTGAGTAGCTGAAATTACAGGTGCACACCACCACGCCCAGCTAATTTTTGTATTTTTAGTAGAGACAGGGTTTCACCATGTTGGTCAGGCTGGTCTCAAACTCCTGTCCTTGTGATCTGCCCGCCCCGGCCTCCTAAAGTGCTGGGATTACAGGCGTGAGCCACCTTGCCCGGCCTCTGCCTTCATTTTCGTGGACTGGCAAAGGCCAGAAAATTTAGCTTTTCCAACTTTTTACAGGATATGTATTTTTGAATCTCAAGTATCTTGGATTGCTTTATGTTCACTGAAAAAACCTCTCTTTGCAAGGTTGTATTTTCTCTCTCAGCTTTCTGACAGTCCAGGTTTGACTGAAACTTACTTGTAACAGTTTATAAAAGGTATAAGAAAATCACAAACCCTCCAGCATCCTGATATTTTTCTAACAAGTCTCTAAAATTTAACCTTCAGTAGGAAGTGGTTTGAATCAAGATTCCAGAAGACAGTTTATAGTAATTATGGTCAGCTTTCACAAATAGGGATGGGTGAATTTATACTGCTTCCCATTGCTCCTCTAATGAGCCAACCCATCCTTGGATCCATAATCTGCATCCCATCCTTGGTGTCCATTTTTTGTATGCAATGTTTCATTGGTTGACAGTGAAAGAGATTTAATCCAAAACAGATTAAACAGAAATGGGACTTAATCTGGCTTCTGAGAAGTTCTCTCTGTCTCTCTTTCTCTGCCTGTCTTTCTCTCTCACCGCTTTCATTGTTCTATTTTCTTTTATATTGGAGTTTTCTCAAGTAGATTCTCCCTAGGTCATGGCAAATATTCCTCTGGCAACCCTAAGCTTGCATTATCAAGATAACTAGTGGTGCAAAAGAAAGGAACCTTTCTTTCTCATTAATTTCAGCCCAAGTCCCTGGAATGGCCCTCACTGAGCTAGTTTGGGATATGAGCTAATCCCTGAGCCAGATGCTGTGACTACAAAGGAGAGAATATTCCAATTGTCCAGGTCTAGGACAGTGTCCACCACTGAGCAGAAAAATGGGCATAGAAAATGAGAGACTGTAGGGCAAACAAACAAAATAAACAAACAAAAAGGTAGCAGATGCCCACCACATTAACAAACTCAGATCCCTCATCTGTTAAAGGTGGATAATAATATGATATACTTCTTAGGACTGCTGTAAAAATGAAATGAATTAGTCCAGGGACAGCATCTAGCACAATGTGGCATAGTAGGTGTTCTTTCGATAAGTGTTTTTATTGTGCTACTGTTACTACTACTGTTAATTACTATTATTATTACTCCTAGTCATGTAGCTTTGGAAAGTCACTTAACCCACCTGACTCATTTCTTCTTTTTGAATGGCTGATGACACACACCTTGCAGCAAAACAATGAAAGTTAATAGGCACAAGGTACCTAGCACAGGACTGGCAGATGGTACAGACCTGTGGATACATGATATTATTTTTATTGCTATTTGAGAAGGAAAGTCTCCTGAAGGAATAAGATACACATGCCTCATCTACATATTCATGGATCTTTTTACAAGCCAAATTCTAAAATTCAGATTCTGAGATGGTCTAGGGTTAGATTCCTGAAGAGCTCTTTTTACTCAGTAAGAAGCAGTGTAGCTGCAGAGATGTGCCTGCTCCCAACACTGGCCCATTGATATGGAGTTCACATCTAATATGATTTCAGTCCTGTTCCTTCCTGTAGTCCTGGGGAAAGCTTCAGTCATTGGCATCCTTTAGAATGGCTTGTGGTAGGGGTTCATGGAAAACAATGGTGAGTGGCATCTATTCCCCCTAATTATACACACACAGGTAAGTAACACAGCTTCACCTTCTCATCTTTGATTGAGATTCATGTGTGAGCACCAGCCCGTGACCACTACAAACATCCCAATGCATGGACTTGGTAGAAACTGATCCTATGAGAGTATAAAATAGTGGGGTGACTCTGTAGACCTTGACCTATAGATCTGTATCTCACAAGAATCCATGCAGTAGAGAATGAATTGTGTTTTAAACTGTTGCAGAGCAATTGTACACGTAAGAAAGGCTAAATTCCCATAAAATAAAATCATCTCACTCTCTTGGCCATAATTTTAAGAGTATATCATCGTAAATGGATAAAGGAGTGTCCCCAGTGGACTGGGCTCTCTATAGCTTTTAGTTAGGCAATTATAATTCTGTTTTACTTACAATGGGATATTTCTTGATGCATTTTAAATAGAAAGAATGGTTTCTCTATTCATGGAGACTCCGTAAGTGTTAAATAGATAGAAATGGAATTTGTGTGGGTATTTATAAAACCACAGAAAGAGAATTTTGAATTATATATGCATACACGCTCTTTGGTAGTTTGAAAGCATTTTCAGTCCGCCTGGGGAAGCAGAACTGTAGGAAAGTGATATCACTGTCAGCGTCATTCCTCCCAAACTATTTTGAATGTCACTAGCAGTTAAGGCAACATGTTGTTTTTCAGAGGAGAAAGGCAAGAAAATAATTAAACACATTTTTCCTTAAGGAAAAAAAAAAGAGAAAGCAAGTCTGCTGTGAGCCTGCTTTTGTGAGAAAGTGATAGTAATAGGACTATGAACAAATACAATTTCTCCTAGGATATCTTTGAAAATTTAGCTGAGTAAACTTTGTCTCAGGGTAAGTAGGAAAAATTCATACGCTCTCCGTGAGTAAAATAAGTGCAGATATATCAGGATCTCTTGTCAAGATTTTGTGTTGAATTCAAGAAAGGAACATTGGACAGCTGTGCAGATTCTAGTGACATTTTAGATGAGGAGAACAATGATTTTTAAACCTATACCCCATAATTAGCTTACTCACCACCAAGAACTTGAAGCCAGAAAAGAAATGCTCTTCAGGAGTCATGCCACTCAGAGAAGCGTGGGAAGAGCAGCACACTTAGTGGGATCTACCCAATAACTGAAATGTAAGCTCTCAGAATTGCTCATCTGCACCATTGTAATAGTCATCTAACTGGTCTCCCACTTTTAATCTCTAATCCCCTTCTCCCCACCTACATCCATCATTCCCACAACCACCAGATTAATATATTCTGACAGCAAGCTTCTAAACAAGGTCAGAAAAGAATAATTAAGATATTATTATAAATCTGATAGCACATTATCTGGTTCATAGTGTTTGATAAAAAAAAATTTTTTTAAAGATTCACTACTTGCCCAAATTCCTCCCCGCTCCCCGACACACAGACACACTTAAAAACTCAGCTTTTTCCTTTCTACCATTGCTTGTCATATTAAGTACAAACTCCTTATAACAGGATCTAACTACCATTTAGGTTTATCATCCAAATTGTCCAGTCCCTTTATTCTACCCTTGCCACAGTGAACTCTTTTGTATCTCCAAACATGGTTTCCATTTCCATGTCTTGGCTTATTATTTCCTCATGTCTGGAATGCCTGCCTCCTCACCATCACCTAGGATCCTTCTCACTGTCTCTACCAAAGCCAGGGCCACATTTCAAGGCCCAGCTCATACATTACATCCTCTACTATATACTTCATGACACTTTTACCCAAAGGCTCTACTTGTACTTTTCTTTGAGCCACCTTAGTAATTTATGTTTATGTTGTTTTAATGATACCTCATTATTTGGCCTTGCATTATAATTTATGCAATTGTCTTACTTTGTTACCAGAAAATATTATATTGCAATAGAAAGACCTCAGATTAAATCTCAGTTCTGCCACTGAAAAGCTACCTGAACTTAGGCAATTTTTTAAATTTTCAGAGCCTCAGGGCATCTGAAAAATGCCTACTTTGTGGAGTTTTTAAAAGGATTAAATTGCATGACAAAATATATGTAGCTCATCTGGTACAGTGCCTGACACCTAGTGAGAGGTGAATAATAGTAACAGTGCCACTTATTAATATATTTTCAGGTCTTTGCAGACTTTGTGTGATTCATTTTTGCATTTCAGTATAGACAAGCATAGCACCTGGTTCATGGTTTATGTTATATAAATATGCTTTGAGTTGGCAATAATTAGAGGTTTCCAGCATTAGAGTGTGACAGTACATTTATCTGAACATATCCCTTGCCCTATTTTCCATTCTTCCTGTATAAATCTGTTTCTATCTGTTTAAAAAAAATATTAGGGATTCAGAGTCTAAGGATCGAGCTTCCTACGGCATAGAATTGTGGTGTCGATTTAGCAGACGCCCCCTACTGGCAGAGTTGATGTTAGAAAATGAAATAAACTATGACCCAACAGAAGATGGTTCTCCCAGTCTTTGCTCTTCACCCACCCTCCTGGCTGTTTACGGACAGCCCCTGCTCAGGAAAATATACATTGGCTATTATATTATTCGTGTGGAGGTGGATCTGTGTCATCCTTGACTAACTGGGAGGTGAATATTATGCGTCACATTCCCCAAAACAGAAAGCCTCAATACAGGAGGAGCTTGGGTTCAGACAGGATGTAAAATGTTCAGAATGTTTAGGAATACCAGTTCTGAACAGGTAGACCCAATTCCATTCCTGATGTGCCCTTCACCAGCAGATCTTGAGCAAATCATTTAACCCAGATATTGTGAAAGCCACAATTTCTGATCTGAAATACTGAGCTCATAATAGAACCTGCCCTCAGAGGCCTCTTGTGAGGATTTAATAAGATCATATCCCAAGAGCCCAGTGGCTGGTGCATAATTTACCCTCCAGAAACTGAATTGTTGCTGTGATTAAGCTAACACAGCCATGCTTGCTTTACTCCATTGTCTTCAAATTCCAATTTGCCTCAGAATCCTCTGGGCATCTGATTTAAAATACACATTTCTAGACTACCCTCCCAGATATTCTGATTTTGTTGCAGACCAGAATGTGCATTATAAACAAGTGCGCAGGTGATTCTAGTACAAATCCTAATAAGCAATGCTACACTTTATAATTTTCAATCCAAAGATAAATGAAAGACAGCAACTCTCTTGGAAGACAAAATTTTTTCATTCATATTACTTAAGAACTTAAAGCCTTGTGACAATAAACTTCTAAGAATAATTAATAATAACACACACATCTAGCACTTATTATATGTCAAGCATTGGTCAAAGAGCTTTTCATACAACAGCGCTTTAATCTTTACAACAACTTTTTGAGGCAGGTACTCTTATTCTCATCATTTTATAAATGAGAAAATTGAGGCACAGAAAGTTTAAGCTCCTTGCCTAAGTCATCTATATAGAAAGGGACAAAGCCAGAATTTGAATCAAAGAAGTCCAGCTTCAGAGCCTATGCTCCTAAACACAAATCTGTACTTCATTAAAAGTATAGCAAAATTCACTGTCTCACCAAATCACACAGAACTCTTCCATATAAGGGGCCAACTTTTCTGTAGTGCTTTTCTATTTAATGGTAGCCCTGGGAGAAAAGGTAACTAATATGGCAGTCACTGACTATCTTTCTGATGCATTCTACCATTGTGTGTGTGTGTGTGTTTGTGTGTGTGTGTTGTTGTTGTTTTAGTTTATCTTGATTAGGATGGTCTCTGCTTCTTTTTTAATAATATCACAACCTCTATAAAAGGCCATTTTTGAGAGAAATTAATAACATGCACCAGAAAGCCTAAAGGTTACAGCTCATTTTTACCATCTACAATAAGAAATATCACTTAATGGGTAGCATCTCCCAGGCTATGTTCTCATGAGATTTTTATAGCTAAGAATAAAATTCATGCCTATGGCAGACTTTTGTAACCAATTTTAAGGAGTGACTTGCCACTTTTTCCATCCAAAATCCTGAGGGAAGAGAGGAAAAGGAGTAAGAGAATGGCAGGAATCAGAACTCACAGTCATTCCTAAGAAAAAATTTGTGGCAATTCAAAAGTGATTTGTTTTCTTTCCCATGTCTAAGCCCCCATGCTCCTTCTGCACAGACTTTCGGATAATAATAATATGCATGCAGATGGCATGTTCCAGGTTTCACAGCCCTTTCACAACCAGCCATTCATTTGAGATGATTGAAGCAAACCGTTTCAGGCTGAATGCAACTGTGAGCTGTTCAAAGGCAACACCTGGCAGCCCAGGATCACAGACGTGTTGTCATTGACATGACATGGGCTTAGAGAAGCTGAGGGTGAGCAAAGACCTGTGCCTTTGCATCACACACAGAGAGCTAGCACAGTGCCTGCTTATCAAGTTTGTACTTCATAAATGTTTGTTGAATGAATAAAGTATCACACCCAACTGCTTCCTTTTATAGATGAAAAACCCAGATTTCTTAGAGGTGGAAAATTTCATGAGGCAGCAGTGAAGGCATGAAGATTAGTCAAGGGAGCCAGGAAAATATAAGAGAACTTCTCTCTGCCTGCTTCCCTCCTTTTTCTAGGTTTCTCTCATCCTTCTTTCTCTGTATGTCTCTGAATCTTTCTTATGCTCCTTTGGTTCCTTCTTTACTAAAGTAACTGGTATTAATATGTAAATAAAATATGTTTATGTGTAGAATTAAGGCAAATCTCGGCATTTTAAAACTCTCTTTTTTATGGCTAAAGATGGAAATAAACTCAACATAATGCATATAGTTTACAGAAGTGAGAGAATTACTACTAAGAACCTCCATCTTTTGGTCATAGAACCAAAGATGCTCAGGGATTAAGGGATCTTTCAGTTGAGTCTATAAAACTGACTAACTGTAATTGTATCTTCTCTACAACATCCATTCCAGGCATTTGACTATTGCCTTTTTGAACATCTTAAAATAATGGGGAATTCAGCACTTGATGGGGGCAGCTATTCTTTGAACTACTCTGAGTTCTGAAAACTTTTACTTGTGTAGAGCTGAACTTTCATGCCCTAAATCTTTCACACGTTGATTGTTCTTGATTGAACCCTTTGGAGACACACAGAATGAGTCTAGCCTGTCTTCCACCTGACAATCAAATATTTGAAGACAGATATTTGAAGACAGCTTTCATGCCCACCCCCTTCCCCCAAGTCTTCTCCTTTCTGGAATAAACATCTCTGTTTCCTTTAGCAGATCCTCATATACCTTTACAGTGCGTATCTTCACCCCATTAAACATTCTTCTCTGAACATACTCTTATTTGCCTATATACAAGGCTGATAGTGGACAGATACATACTGGGATAGATATAATATGAATTAAAATATGGAAATGGTTTTACTAAAGTTGATAAAAAGCTATAGTTCTAATTCTCTCACCAAGTGTCCATCACTTGGGACCCTCCTGACATCATTAGGATCAATAACCAAGGGTTGTTCCTGGACCAATGTCCTTTTTCATTGGTAAATGCCCAAGTCATACCAGTTGCTAAATAAGTAGGACTCATTCCTAAATATCCTTTTAAAGGTTTTGTCCAGAAACCAATAGAAAAAAAAACTTAAAAAAAAACAACAACATCTACTCAGCACTGTTTATTTGCCCAGCACTGTGGCGTGTTTTTAACCTTATCCTTATTTAATTTTCACAGCAAGACTGTGAAATAAGAATCATTATTTCCATTCTATAAATAAGCAAACTAAGATTCTCAGAGGTTATGTATCTTGCCTAGTGTTTTCATAATTGTTAAATTCCAGAACAAGAATTCCAAAACAGATCTATGGTCAAATAAATTTGAAAAATAATACAGGTTCTTTATCCACTTGAAAAAGCATGGATGAAATTGAGCAATGAAAGTTTCTAAAAAGTCCTTCATTAAAGAAAGGTTTAACCCAGTGTATTTGAGATTGGGTCTTTTTCTTGTTTAATACCTATAAGTGTTACAGGACAGGGGTCCCAATCCAGACCCTAAGAGAGGGTTATTGGATTTCTCTCAAGAAAGAATTCAGGGCAAGTCCTCAAGGCAAAGTGAAAGCATGTTTATTAAGAAAGTAAAGGAATAAAAGAATGTCTGCTCCATAGACAGAGCAGCCCTGAGGGCTGCAGGTTGCCTATTTTTATGGTTATTTCTTGATGATATGCTCAACAAGGGGTGGATTATTCATGCCTCCCCTTTTTAGACCATATAGGGTAACTTCCTGATGTTGCCATGGCATTTGTAAACTGTCATGGCTCTGGTGGGAGTGTAGTAGTGAGGGCGACCAGAGGTCATTCTCATAGACAGTTTAGTTTTGGTGGGTTTTGGCCAGCTCCTTTCCTGCAACCTGTTTTATCAGCAAGGTCTTTATAACCTGTATTTTGTGCTGACCTCCTATGACTTAGAAAGCCTGTGACTTAGAAAGCCTTAACCATCTAACCGTCTGAGAATGCAGCTCAGTAGGTTTCAGCTTCATTTTACCCAGCTCCTATTTAAGATGCAGTTGCTCTGGTTCACACGCCTCTGATATGAGCACTTTGGCAAACTGATACTTTAATTATATTGGAAGCTGATCCCCACTCTTGACTCATGATAACCAAAATGATGACTCAGAGCTCCACATCATTTCCATGGATGTCATTGTTAGGATCCGCTCCTCTTTCCTATCCATGAAAGATATGTTTTGAAACCAAAGCAGGAACTTAAAGTTATCCTTCATATGATACATTTGGTTAAATTCATGTCATTATCCAGTTTAATAGTATCACAAATTTGCCACCTTATATTGTCACTGTTCTTATTGGTTTAATTCATCTTCAACTGGCTGACCAAATTCTTTACATCTTCACCTAGACAATCATAAATGTTAAACACAGAAGAATTGAGGACTACCAGTTTCAGGTCTAATATGTAAATGTCATGCACGTCTGTGTGAAGAGAGTCCATCAACAGGCTTTGTGTGAGCAACGAGGCTGTTTATTCACTTGGGTGCAAATGGGCTGAGTCCGAGAAAGGAGTCAGCCCACTTGCACCCAAGTGAATAAACAGCCTTGTTGCTCACACAAAGTCTGTTGGTAGACTCTCTTCACACAGACAGACATGACATTTGGTGCCAAAACCCGGGAATAGTCAGGGAAGCAGAAAATTTAGTTAAAA
The DNA here is from genome assembly GCF_000001405.40 of Homo sapiens. Taxonomy (NCBI): domain Eukaryota; kingdom Metazoa; phylum Chordata; class Mammalia; order Primates; family Hominidae; genus Homo; species Homo sapiens. Next base: position 157,341,077 of record NC_000002.12, read on the forward strand.
TGTCTCGACCTAATAAGGGAGCTGGGCAGGTGGGGATAACTGAAAAGGAGTGCATAAAAGAATGTTGTCCAAGTTGGCACCAGAGTTGGGGAGTTTTAAGAGGCTTAGAAGCCTGGTCATCAATACCTACAACAGTTATGGAGGCAAGGGAAACAGGCCCTTGAAAAGAAGGTAATGTGGAGTGGGTAGCCTCCATATTGATTAAGAAGGAGGTGGACTTACCCTCCACTGTAAGAGTTACCCAAAGCATCTGTGATGGTCCAGGAGGCTTCTGAGGTGATCAGGCAGCGTCAGTCTTCAGCCGCTAAGCCGAGAAGATCTGGGAAGGAGTCAGTCAGAGAGCCTTGGGCCAGAGTTCCAGGGGCTCTGGGAGTGGCTGCCGGGTGAGCTGGTTCCAGTGGGTTCCCACACAGATGGGACATGGCTTAGGAGGAATCCCAGGCTGGGCATTCTTTAGCCCAGTGGCCAGATTTCCAGCATTTGAAGCAAGATCCTGGGGGAGGAGGTCCTGGAGGAATGCCTGGCCACTGTGGTTTAGATGTTTTGAAGTTCTTTTGTGCTGGAGATGTGGCTGGGGTTTCTCTCTCACACAGCAGAGGCAAGTAATTGTAACTCAGAAATACATTGCTGCTTGGCTGCCTCTTCTCTATTATTGTACACCTTGAAGGAGAGGTTAATTAAGTCCTATTGTGGGGCTTGAGGCCCGGAATATAATTTTTGGAGTTTTTTCTAACGTTGGGAGCAGATTGGGTAATAAAATGCATATTGAGAATAAGACGGCCTTCTGGCCCCTCTGGGTCTAGAGCGGTAAAGCATCTAAGGGTTCTTGCCAAACAGGCCATTAACTGGACTAGGTTTTTATATTTGATGAAAAAGAGACTAAATGCTAACTGATTTGGGAGAGGCTGGATAAAGAAAAAGGAGCATTAACCTTGACTATGCCTTTAGCTCCAGCCACCTCTCTAAGAGGAAATTGTTGGGCAGGTTGGGGAGAGCTAGTCACAGAACGAAACTGTAAGCTGGAACAGGTGTGAGGAGGGGAAGTGATAGAAGGATTATAGGGTGAGGGAGCAGAGGCTGAGGAAGAATTGGGACCTTGCTCGGCCTGGTGAAGAGCAGCCTGGGGAGGCTGGGAGAGGTCAGATGGGTTTGTAGAAAAGGAGGATTCAAAGGACTCAGAGCTTGGGGTGGAAACTGAAGGAACAGACAGGAGAGAAGGAAGAAAGATTTGGGACAAGTTGCATTGGGAGCAGAGACTAGGGAGGGACCAATGTGTAAAAGAATGCCCGGATGTCAAGCACCTCAGACCATTTGCCCATTTTTCGACAAAAATTATCTAGATCTTGTAGGATGGAGAAATCAAAAGTGCCATTTTCTGGTCATTTAGAACCATTGTCAAGTTTGTATTGGGGCCAAGCAGTATTGCAGAAGAAAATAAGGCATTTAGGTTTTAGGTCAGGTGTGAGTTGAAGAGGTGTAAGTTCTTGAGAACACAGGGTAAGGGAGAAGAAGGAGGAATGGAGGGTGGAAGTTTGCCCATAGTTAAAAGGTGAGTTTAGAGAAAAGAGAGGATAGAGACACAGTGTGGGGGGAGGTGGTCTTGCCACCCAGGGAAGGTGGTACTTGCCACCAAGGTGAAGGATCAAGGCAGGCATCCCCACAGTGATTAAACACCAAGGGAAGACTGTCTTCCCAAGTCCATGACTGTTGCCGGAGTTTTGAGTTCATGGATAAAACGTGTCTCCTCTGTCTCTACCAGAAAAGGAAAGGAACCAAAATTAAGGAAGGGAGAGATTGAAGGGTGGAGGGCTAACAAGACAGGCTGGAGAAGAGAACAAAAAGAGGCCACTTACCTGATTTAAAATTGGTGAGATGTTCCTTTGGCTGGTCTGAGGACCCAAGGTCATAGGTGATCTCCTCACGGAGTGAGGGTGAGGACCCGGGATGAGTCTCCTGAAGGAGTCCCCTGTCCCAGGTCTTTGGCACCAAATGTTATGCATGTCCATGTGAAGAGACCACCAAACAGGCTTTGTGTGAGCAATAAACTTTTTAATCACCTGGGTGCAGGCAAGCTGAATCCAAAAAAAAGGAGTCAGCAAAGGGAGATAGGGGTGGGACAGTTTTATAGGATTTGGGTAGGTAGTGGAAAATTAGACTTAAAAGGGGTTGTTCTCTTGTGGACAGGGGCGGGGGTCACAAGGTGCTCAGTGGGGAGCTCCTGAGATTCACTGTCCAGGAGAAGGAATGTGACAAGGCCAATTGATCAGTTCAGGTGGGGCAGTAACAAATCACAATGGTGGAATGTCATCAGTTAAGGCAGGAACTGACTATTTTCACTTCTTTTATAGTTCTTCAGTTGCTTCAGGCCACCTGGATGTATATGTGCAGGTCACAGAGGCTTATTCCAGAAGGAAGGAAAGGCAACTTTCTCCTTATGTCAATTCTACCCCCTGCCCCCCAAATATTTGGACCCCTCACCACACAAACAACTATCCCTGTTGCTGCTCCTTTATGCATCTCCCAACAATAGCCTACTGGAATCCCTTTAGGCAACCTTCCACCATCCAAATGTTCCTTTACTCTATCTCCAGAACCCAGCCACACACATTACCAAACAGATGGGAGTATTCCAACTTTGCATTACTGATGAGCCCTCTATCATTACTGACAAACCAAAAAACATTGGCAGTCACTATTGTTTGGAAAGACACTTATCCTCCATCTCCCTCCATCCTTGGCTATCCTCCCCCTGCTCATCTGAATCTCCTCCTATCCCCTCCTCTTGCTTGCTTATATGCAGCCCCATGAATAGCAGTGAAAGGTTACTCATAGACACTATGTGCTTTCTTATACACCATGGAAACCAAACCTCTCCCTCTATGAGTTGCACTATCCATCCCCATTACAACCTCTAATGGCTGCTGCCCTTGCTGGAGCTCTAGGATTTTGGGTGCAGGACTCCTCTTTCAGTACACCCTCTCACCTTTTCACTTTACATTTCCAGTTCTGCCTGACACAAGGTCTCTTCTTTTATGTGGTTCTTCCACCTACATGCACCTACCTGCCAACTGGATGGGCACATGTACTCTAGTCTTCCTTACCCCCAAAATCCAGTTTGCAGATAGGAATGAACAACTGCCTGTCCCCCTCATGACACCAACACAACAAAAAGAGTCATCCCAGTTATCCCTTTACTTGTGGGTCTAGAACTTTTCTGCCTCCACTATTGCACTTGGAACTGGAATAGCAGGCATATCAACTTCTGTCACAACATTCTGCAGCCTCTATAATGACTTCTCTGCTAGCATTACAGATATATCACAAACTTTATCTGTCCTCCAAGCCCAGGTTGACTCTTTAGCTGCAGTTGTCCTCCAGAACTTCTGAGGCCTCAATTTACTCACTGCTGAAAAAGGAGGTCTCTGTATGTTTTTAAATGAGGAGTGTTGTTTTTACCTAAAACAATCTGGCCTGGTATATGACAACATAAAAAAACTCAAGGATAGAGCCCCAAAACTCGCTAACCAACAAAATAATTATGCTAAACTCCCTTGGGCACTCTCTAATTGGATGTCTTGGGTCCTCCCAATTCTTAGTCCTTTAATACCTCTTTTTCTCCTTCTCTTATTTGGACCTTGTGTCTTCCGTTTAGTTTCTCAGTTCATACAAAACTGCATTCAGGCCATCACCAATCATTCTATATGACAAATGCTCCTTCTAACAACCCCACAACACCAACCTTTACCCCAAAATCTTTCTCCAGTTTAATCTCTCCCACTCTAGGTTCCCATGCTGCCCCTAATCCCACCTGAAGCAGCCCTGAGAAACATCACCCATTATCTCTCCATACCATCCCCCAAAATTTTCACCACCCCAACACTTCACCACTACTTTGTTTTGTTTTTCTTATTAACATAAGAAGACAGGAATTTCAGGCCTCTGAGCCCTAGCTAAGCCATCATATCCCCTGTGACCTGCACATATATATCCAGATGGCCTGAAGCAACTGAAGAACCACAAAAGAAGTGAAAATAGCCAGTTCCTGCCTTAACTGATGACATTCCACCATTGTGATTTGTTCCTGCCCCACCCTAACTGATCAATTGACCTTGTCACATTCCTTCTCCTGGACAGTGAATCTCAGGAGCTCCCCACTGAGCACCTTGTGACCCCTGCCCCTGCCCACAAGAGAACAACCCCCTTTAAGTCTAATTTTCCACTACCTACCCACATCCCATAAAACTGCCCCACTCCTATCTCCCTTTGCTGACTCCTTTTTTGGATTCAGACTGCCTGCACCCAGGTGATTAAAAAGCTTTATTGCTCACACAAAGCCTGTGTGGTGGTCTCTTCACATGGACGCACATAACAGTAATCAGATGAGAAGTCACCACTTCCATTCCTACAATAACAACAACAAGCTAGATAAACAAAAACAATGACTTTTCTTGGACCCATCAAATAACTGAAGTTTCAGGGCAAAACACTACCCCAAATTTGGAGAGACAGGTGTATCTAGAGACACAGGTGGGATCTGCTTACGTGGAAAAGAAGCTGCTGGGATCTACTTACCTGGAAAAGAAGGTGCTGGAGCCATAAATTGTTAGGAGCATTTACATGGTAATGTTGGCAAATTGCTGGAGGCTGTGTGTGGACTCATGTGAGAAAAAAAGCTCAGGGGGGCCACCGTTCTAAGGGTACCCTCACACATTTGTGAGCTTTACCTCCAAGAACATGGCCAAATTCTCATAGTAAGGATGTGAGAAAGATCCTTCCCTGGATTTGGCAGGAAAAGAGGATGAAATCCCCTTGGAGAGTTCTCCATAACAAAGGCCTACTTTGCAGGGTGAAAGACTTTCCCAGAGCCTTATTCCAGAAGGAAGGGAGGAAAGGCATTCCTCTCTCTCCCCTGTCTTCTCTAGCTTTCTAGTCCCCACTAAGGGAAAAATTTAAAAGCTATGCCACTGGAGAAACACTTGTGAAGCTGACAGTTCAGAAACATGCCCCCAACCCCCACAAAAGATGGAGTTTTAACAAGATTATGGAATGCTTCTACCTCCCAGAACCTTCTCACCTCAGCAATAGGGCTCCCGTATGACAGTGGATTACAGTTGAAAAATCTGCAAAACAGAGATTCTGAGAAGTACTTAGGGAAGCCTAAAGTCAAGGTGAGAGACAAAATTAAGGAAGAATCTGAAGCTTCTGACATCCACACCAATAGCAAACAGTAAACATAGCCCAGCACTTAGCCAGATTAACATAAATCCTCACAATAAAGGCCTACTTGCCTATTTGTCTATTTTCCTCTCTGGTTTGAACAAAAAATTACAAAGCAGGCCAAGAAAAAACAAACACACACAGTCTAAGGAAACAAAGCAATCACGAGAATCAGGCTCAGCTATGACACAGATGATGATATGATCAGACATGGAATTTACAATATCATAACTATAATTAATACGTTAAGGGCTTTAATAGAAAAAGTAGACAACATGAAAGAAGAGATGAGTAAAGTAAGCAGCGAGATGGAAACTCTAAGAATCAAAACAGATGATCAAAATAAAAAACAAAGACAGCTGAGAAAAAAACTATCAGTGAGATTGAAGATCATCAATAGCAAACTGAAATGCAAAGAGAAAAAAAGAATTTTTTAAAAATCACATATCCGCTAAGAACTGTAAACAATTTTAAAAGCTATAACATACATGTAATTGGAATATCAGAAGGAAAAAATTAAAGAGAACAGAGAAAAAGAAATAGCTGAAGTAGTAATGGTTAAAAACTTTCCAAAATTAATGACAGTCACCACATCACAAATTCAGGAATATCAGAGAATATCAAGCCAAATAAATACCAAAAACAAAACTAACTGCAGAAAACCAGACACGAAGAAAATATTATGAAAGAAGCTAGAGGGGGAGAAAACTTTGCCTTAGATGAATGAAAATAACAATTATAATAGACTTCTCATCAGAAACTATATAAACAAAAGGACAGTAGCATAAAATATTTAAAGTCTTGAAAGCAAAAAAACCCAACAAGCTTGAATTCTATATCCAGTCAAATTGTCCTTCCAAAGTGAAGGAGAGCCGGGTATGGTGGCTCACACCTGTAATCTTGGCACTTTAGGAGGCCAAGGCAGGCGGATAACCTGAGGTCAGGAGTTCAGATCAGCCTGGCTAACATGACAAAACCTCATTTCTACTAAAAATACAAAAATTAGCCAGGCATGGTGGCACACGCCTGTAGTCCCAGCTACTCGGGAGGCTGAGGCAGGAGAATTGCTTGAACACAGGTGGTGAAGCTTGCAGTGAGCCAAGATCATGCCATTGAACTCCAGCCTGGGTGAAAGAGCAAGACTCCATCTTAAAAAAAAAAAAAAAAAAAAAAAAAGGCCGGGTGTGGTGGCTCATGCCTGTCATCCCAGCACTTTGGGAGGCCGAGGCAGGTGGATCTCCTAAGGTTGGGAGTTCGAGACGAGCCTGACCAACATGGTGAAACCCCATCTCTACTAAAAATACAAAAACTAGCCAGGCATGGTGGCAGTAGCTGTAATCCTAGCTACTCAAGAGGCCAAGGCAGGCTCCAGCCTGGGCAACAAGAGTGAAACTCCATCTCAAAAAAACAAAAAAAAAAAGAAGGGGAAATAAAGATTTTCTCAGACAAACAAAAACTAAGCTTCAAAACCAGCAGATCTAGCCTGCAACAAATTTTAAACATGGAAAAATTCTGGGAAGCAACATTAAGAACCTCCTCTGTGAATGCTATCATTTTGTTAAGCAGCCCTTGTTTAGATACATAAGAACCATCTTCCAATTGGGTATTTATTATTGCATTAAACCCATTCTTCATGATTTCCCCAGAAATATCATGAAAGTGTTCCCAAAATGCCTGTGGAATATCTGATACACTCATCCAACAGTCACTATTTCCTGCTAAAGAACAAAATGATGTTACTCCATTGTGAAGTGATCTTGGTGATCTCTTGCTGGATCTCCTTCTAGATTTTTATGAATCACATCTTTAATAATTCATTCTAGGACCTTGCCCAGGGTTAACTTAAAGCTCTCTAGTCCTGAATAGCAGCATGTATCCTTTTTTCCTCTAAAATGTGAATCTACGTTTACATTTTCCTCTTTTCCATTTTCCCTTTCTCCTTCACATATCACTGTCCTCATTTGCACCTTAGGATATTATATTCTGGGGTTAAATTTGCTCACAGGAGGAAACTTGAACTCATTTTTAGCAGTAGGATTATCTCTTATAATATTTTATCTCATTTTCATCTTCTGTTCTTCCCAATCAATGTTTATTCTACACAGCTTAGTGTTGAAATCAGTCTCTTTAAGAGAAAAGACAAAGCAAAATAGAGATTAAAGAGTTCTCTCCTATGTCAACCATCAACTTTATGCTCTAAACCACAGCGCCGAGTTTATTCATTTGATGATCTTATTCTTACCGTAATGTAACTAGGGTCTTCTGGTTATCATTGGCTTTATCAAAAGTTGTAACCCATTTTATACTTTAGTCTTTGTAAATCTTATCTTCAGTTCTTTGCTTCTCCCTTAATCATTGCCTTGTATTATTCAACATTAGGAGACCCCATTTCCATTGCTTTAAATCTGAGGTCACCAGAGTGCATTCTCTATACTGCCACCCAGGGTCACATCTCTTTCCTCCCCATGTATCTATTACTATATACAAAAACAGATGAATAAAATTTACTTACCAAACTACATCCCTCTTAAAGCACACCATTGGCAGAGGCTGAGTGTTTCTCTAATATAAAATGCTTATCAGGGTATTAAAATATGGAAAAATCAGCTTCCTATAGCTTGATAAAAAAATTCAGTAATTGTTATTATTACTCACTTATTTGAGTTCATTAATAATAAAATTGCATGAAATAATAGCTGTGCAATATATAATACATAATAGTATATAACATAATAATATAATGTTTGTATAAAGGGAAACAACTTTTTTCCCTCAAAAATCTGTGTTTGTGTCCATATCTACCACTGATTAAACACAGGGGGGTGCCTTTTAACCTCTTTGTGCCTTTGTCTCCTCATCTGTAGAACTGGGTTAATAAATGAATGTGTTGTTATTCTTGTAAGGCTAAACAAAATTAAGTACATACACTTGACCTTGGAAGCCTTAAGGCAGTGAATACCAAAGTGTGGAACGTGATGATTTTAGATGACTATTGGACATGTATTCAATAATATTAAATCACATGGTATGAAAATTACTTCAATTTTGTTTTAACCCTTGTAATTACATAAAAAGGAAAATCCCTATTTGGTGCCAGTGTGTTTTCACATCTTCTAGCACTTGTTATTCTCCCTTTTAAGCAAAGGAAGAGTAGGTGACAGGCTTTCCTTCAGCAGGCAAAAGTGTTTCTCTTGAAATGAATTACATTATTTTGTTTTAATTGCACTCATTTTGCAATTATATTTTATTATGGCAAGCAATATTCCTTTTCAAGTTTCAATTTCTTTTTCTTTTTCTTTTCTTTTTTTTTTGAGACAGAGTCTGGCACTGTTGGCTGGGCTGGAGCGCAGTGGCATGATCTCAGCTCACTGCGACCTCCGCCTCCTGAGTTCAAGCGATTCTCCTGCCTCCCATTTCTTTTTCAAATGAATTAATTGAAATAAAAAGAAATAATTTGTTTTAGATAATAACTAAATGTATTACAGGTGGTTTGAGGTTTGGCAAAAATTATGAAGTTATTATATGAAAGACTGAGGAAACATTCGATAATGTAATATACACATTTTAATCTATTTGCCTATTATCAATGAAGTTATATTTTTATTAATTATTATTAAAAAATAAGTCTCTGAAAAATTTGTGCTTTACAGGTTCCTAAGCCTGATTCTTGAAGCCTCTCACACAGAAGTTTTAAAAGATTCCCTAGTAAATAATAAAAAGAAAGTTTGCATTTGATATCTGACTTTTATTTCCTCTAGGTTAGGGGTAATATCTACCTTCTTTATATGCTCTACAGCATCTATTAGAAGGCTGAGTGCACAAGTGTTTTTAAGTAAATATTCAAATGTGCTGAATTGACATTTAGGTGTGTCAAAAATGTTTGTGGGTGATATATGTGTGCCTCCCCTGCTCTTCTCAAAGTACCTCCAGCTGTTAATACTACCAGAGCAATTTCCACCCAATTTCCCTCTCAACTCTGAAGTTATAGCTCAGATAATGTGGCGACCAGTCTGAATCACAGAATCTTTAGCTATTTGTCATTTCCATAATGTCTGCCAGCATCTTGTAAGCTGGCTGTGTGATGTCCAAGACCAGATAAAGGAATTGCACTTTTCTCCATAGCTTATATATGCTAAGTCCCTTTACCACACTATAATTGTCTTTAATTTTTTCCCAGTTCAGTCCCTGCTCTCCAATGCCATGACAACACACATCCTATAAAGAGAGTCTTTACAAATAGTCATGAGATGAGGACTTTTGACATTTCTCTTCAGGGATCTTATCCACATCCATTTTCTCTGCCTGTTGGTTCTTGACATTTTAATGTCTGAAGAGCTTACATTCTATATAACCAATAGGAAGGGGAAAATAATATCTTTACCTTCTGATCACAAAGAAAGTTGTTCAAAGTCCTAAGCTTAATACAGTACGCAAAATGTTTCCAGAATTCTTGAGTGAGGCATTCCAATATTCATGAGAAACATTATTTACCATTACAGTATCTAAAGAGGAACCCAAAGTCTGCAGAAGTAGGCAAGTTAACACTAGATTTAAAATTTTCTGCCCTTTAAGCTGTGTTTGTAGAACCCACACCAATTCCATTTGATTAGCATCTTCTCTAAATCTATGTAATCCTCTCAACCTGTTCTATACTTTTCCTTTATCTCTGACTCTTGGTGTTAAAGTCCTTAATTAAAAAGTAACACAGATGACTGACAAGCACATACATATACATACACAATTGGCTAGAATCCAAAATTCTAACATTTGTCTGGCTTGCTAGGTTGTCCACTGGAGCCTAGATTTTGAACCTTTTGAATATCAGGCTGGCTGACTGCCAACTGATGGTTCAAACATTCAACCAGTCTTCTATCTAATCTGCCCTCAAGAAGGAATCTGGGAAAAGCCAAAACCTGATTTTCCCTTTATATATGAATTCTCTCATCATCCTCCAAGCAGCCCAATAAGATAGGTCTTATTAACTGTATCATATGGAGTAGGAAACCTGAGATTAGAAAGTTAAATAAGTTGCTCAAGGTCATGGAACTAGTGAAGGGCAGAGTGTGGTTAAAAGTCAACTCTGTAGGATGAGAAAATCCATTTGTTTCTATTATACCAACCAGCTCCACAATGGTGTTATTCAAAAAGCTAATCTTAAGAAAGCTTTAGAGTAGTAAAGAAATATTAACTTGCCTTTAATATTAGCTTATCACTTGCTCTAGGAAGCCACTATTCTTCCTCATCTGTCCAATCAGATACTTGACTCTTAACAGCTGTAAAATATCATCTCTGGCAGCTTTTGATGATAAAACAACTCCAACGTTCAAATGCTACTGCTGTTGCTTCATGCAGGTGTACCTTGTTTTATTGTTCCTCATTGTATTGCTCTTTGCAGATATTTCTTAGAAATTGAAGGTTTGGGAAAATTCTGCATGGAGCGAGTCTATCAGCACCTCTTTAACAACTGTTCTCACTTCATATCTTGCCTCTGTGTCATACTTTGGTACTTCTTGCAATATTTCAAAGTTTTTCATTATTATTATATCCGTTATGGTGATCAGTGATCTTTTTTGACTGTTTGTTTGCTTTTTTTTTTTTTGAAAACTTGAGACAGGGTCTCACTCTCTCACCCAGGCTGAAGTGCAGTTGCACAATCACAGCTCACTGCAGCCTCAACCGCCTGGGCTCAAATGATCCTCCTGCCTCAGCTTCCAGAGTAACTAGGACCACAGGGTATGCACCACCACACTTGGACAATCACTGATCTTTGATGTTACTATTGTAATTGTTTTGGGGTGCCACAAACAAACTGTACCTGTATACGACAGTGAACTTAATTGATAAATGTTGTGTGTATTCTAACTGCTCCACTGACGGAGGAGCAGGCGGTGAACTTAATTGATAATGTTGTATAAGACGGTGAAGTTAATTGATAAATGTTGTATGTATTCTAACTACTCCACTGGCTGGCCATTTCTCCCCTCCCCACAACATATCCTTGGGCATCCACAATTCCCCAAGACACAATGGTACCAAAATTCAGCCAATTAACCCTACACTGGCTTCTAAGTGTCCGAGTGAAAGGAATAGTCTCTCACTTTAAATCAAAAGGAGGAAATGATTGAACTTAGCAAAGAAGACATGTTGAAGGCCAAGATAGACAAATGCTGGGCATCTTGTGCCAAATACTTAGCCAAGTAGAAAATATAAAAGAAAATATCTTGAAGAAAATTAAAAGTACTACTTCAGTCAAAACATGAATGATAAGGAAGCAAAACAGCCTTTCACTGGAAGAAGATGACATCTAGGACTTTATAGCTAAAGAGGAGAAGTTAATGCCTGGCTTCAAAGCTTCAAAGGACTGGCCAACTTTCTTCTTTGGAGCTAATCCAGCTGGTAACTTTAAGTTGAAGTCAGTGCTCACTTACCTTCTAAAAATTCTAGGGCCCTTAAGAATTTTGCTAAATCTACTCCGTTTGTACTTTATAAATAAAACAACAATGCCTGGATGACAGCACATTTGTTTATAGCATAATTCACTGAATTTTTTTTTTTGAGATGGAGTTTCACTCTTGTTGCCCAGGCTGGAGCACAGTGGCAGAAGCTTGGCTCACCACAACCTCCGCCTCCTGGGTTCAAACAATTCTCATGCCTCAGCCTCCCAAGTAACTGGGATTACGGGCATGCGCCACCATGTCCAGCTAATTTTGTATTTTTAGTAGAGACAGGGTTTCACTATGTTGGTCAGGCTGGTCTCAAACTCTCAACCTCAGGTGATCTGCCTGCCTCCGCCTCCCAAACTGCTGGCATTACAGATGTGAGCCACCATGCCCAGCGATTTACTGAATATTTTAAGCTCATTGTTAAGATCTGCTGCTCAGAAGAAAAGATTCCTTTCAAAATATTACTGCTGCTTGAAAATGTACCTGCTCACCCAAGAGCTCTAACGGAAATGTACAAGGAAATTTATGTTCTTTCCACGTCTGCTAATATAACATTCATTCTGCAGCCTATGGATCAAGAAGTAATTTTGACTCGGAAGTATTATTATTATCAGCCCCCTGCAGCCTTGACCTCCCAAGCTCAAGCTGTCCTCTCTCCTCAGCCTTCTGAGTCACTGGAACTATAGGCATGTGCCACCACACCCAGTTAATTTTTTTAATTTTTTTTCTAGAGACAGGGCATCATATGTTTCCCAGGCTGGTCTTTAACTCCTGGGCTGAAGCAATCCTCTTGCCTTGGCCTCCCAAAGTGTCAAGTCTTATTATTTAAGAAATATATTTTATAAGGCTATAGCTACCATAGATAGTGATTCCTCTGATGTATCTAGGCAAAGAAAATTGAAAACCTTCTGTAAAGGAGTCACTATTCCAGGTGTCATTAAGAATATTCGTGATTCATGAGAGAAGGTCAAAATATCTACATGAACAGGAGTTACGAATAAATTGATTCCAACTCTTATGGATGACTTAGTTGGTGTATTAGTCCATTTTCACACTGCTGATAAAGACATACCCAAGACTGCGTAATTTATAAAGAAAAAGAGGTTCAACTGGCTCACAGTTCCATGTGACTGGGGAGGCCTCATAATCAGAATGACAGAAAGCAAAAAGCCCTTCTTACATGGTGGCAGGGAAGAAAGAATGAGAACCAAGTGAAAAGGGAAACCCCTTATAAAACCATCAAATCTCGTGAGACTTATTCACTACCATGAGAAGAGTACGGTGGAAACTGCCCCCATGATTCAGTGATCTCCCGCCGAGTCCCTCCCACAACATGTGGAAATTATGGGAGCTACAATTGAAGATGAGATTTGGGTGGAGACACAGCCAAACCATATCAGATGGATTCAAGATTTCAATGAAGGAAGTCACAGCAGATGTGGTGGAAATAGAAAAAGAAATAGAATTAGAAGTGGAGGCTGAAGTTGAGAGTGAATTTCTACAATCTTATGGTAACACTTTGACAGATGAGGACTTGCTTCTTTTAGATAAGTGAAGAAAGTGGTTTCTTGAGATGGAATTTACTCCTGGTGAGGAGGCTGTGAACATTGTTGAAATGACAGCAGAAGATTTAGAATATTCCACAAATTTAGTTGATAAAGCAGTGGCAGGATTTGAGAGGCTTGACTCCAATCTTGAAAGAAACTCTACTGTGGGTGAAATGCTGTCAGACAGCATCACATGCTAAAGATAAATTTTTTATGAGTGGAAGAGTCAATTGATGTGGCAAACTTCATTGTTGCCTTATTTTAAGAAACTGCCACTGCCACACCAACCTTCAGCAACACCACCCTGATTAGTCAGTGGCGATCAACATTGAGGCAAGACCCTCCACAAGCAAGAACATTATAACTCAGGCTGAAGTTGCATGTGAACATTAGCATTTTAGCAATAAAGTATTTTTGAATTAAGGTAGTATATTTTTTAGACATAATGTTCTTGTACACTTAATAGACTACAGTATAGTGTAAATATAACTTGTATATGCTCTGGGAAACCAAAAAAATGTGCTACTCACTTTATTGTGATATTTGCTTTATTGTGGTGGTCTGGAACAAAAGCCACAATATCTCCAAGGTATGCTTGTATATATATATATATATATATATATATGATTAGAATGAAATGTGGATACTATGCCTTTTTCCTTCTCCACAAACCACAAAAAATAAATGGGCTTCCAATTATAATGGTCTGTCATTCAGACTCCTAAGCTGCTGTTTAAATTCTGCTTTTCGATTCACCTTCTATGGTTTCTTTTTTACCACTAACTTTTGACTGTTGCTTTTTTATCCAGTTCAAGAAAATCATACCTCCTGGAGCTCTTTAACAACACTTCCCACTGACCAACAGCGATTGGAAATGTAATAAGCCTGAGCACTCTGCAAATATCACTTCCCCCATGTATGTATAATCAGGCCATGGAGAAATATCCTATGATCCTTTTGGCTTGCTCAAAGACGACAAGATTCCATCTAGAGGAAAACAAAGTTTGGAATAATTGGCTGCCTGCAAAAAGCTTCCATACGGAGGTCAGTGATTCTGAAATTTTCTGACCAGCAATGCATGTTGGAATCTCTTTATTGCAGATAGAGGCAGTCTAGAGTATGTTAATTTTATATCCAGATTATTTTTGTCTTCATGTCTCTGAACAAAGTTTTCTTCCTTCATAGTATCTGTAAGTCAAAATTCTTTTTCTGTTTACTCTCTGAAACATACCCTCTTTCTACATTTGTGCCATACTTTCCTGAGTTCTTCCAACAAACAAAGTGTTAGGAGAAAACACAACAGGCTCTTCTACCCCAAGAATGCTTTCATGAAGTTCTAAAAGTCCTTAGGACACAGTTTTCAGAAATACCAACAAAATAGTAAGGAGAAAGAAAGCCCACTATCATTATCATTTAGTGGGACAGCTTATTACCACCACTCTTCAGTTCCCATCGAGAACAAACTTCCACACCTCTCCTAAGAGAAAGCAGTTTGGGAGGATGGCCTTCTCTTCTCCCCCATGACTCACTCTGCAGGAATGCCTTTATTGTTGATATTGAGGAGATGAAACTAAGCATGTGTAGCCCAATCTCTTCTTGCCTTTCTCCTCTCTTACTTTGGGACCTTCCCTTCCTGCAGACTGAATATGTTCTCCTTTCCAGCTCCTTCTTCCTTTACACCTCTCTCTCTGCTCTCTCTGTTCCTGTCATTAGAGGAAATTTACTGCTGTCCAACTGTTCTGCTTCTGACTAGGTATATAAGTTAAATTCAAAAGAAGGTAGTGAGAAGCTTATTTGGCCTTTGATTCAAGCCACATTCTCCATTATATAATAACAATGAAATAGATCTTTTCATGCCTGTCTTACTGCTGTGTCTGTTTCTTAGTTGGGACAGATTGACACAGAGAGTGGTATGATTGATTAGCACGTTCAGACCCAACTCAAGCTTTCCCACTGGTCTCACTTTGCTATTTTGTAAATGAAGTCTTCAAACAAATGCTGTTTGCCCTGTCCTGCCTTCAAAACACGGAATGAGGCTCAGTTCTTAATTCCCCGGGCTATATTTATTAAAAGCTTGAAAATGCTTGAAGTTTAATATCCTAAGAAAAAAAATAAGTACTCTTAGAGAACTACAAATCTTCACCAAACTTCCCTCTCCAGGCTTAGGATCTGGCATGTTCCAAGTCACAGGGAGTCCACTCTGTCCCCACAAGTGAGAATATCCAGACATCCCTCCATATTAGGGTCCTGATCATAATTCTATAAGCCTCAGACAGAGAAGCAGGTTAGTCTACATCCTAATTTCAGACTTGCTTTCTTTCTTGCTCTAAGATGATTGACAATGGGAATGTCCATTTCCTTTAGAGGAAATCACATCACACTATCTGTATTTACAGTGTGTTTTTTACTCCATAGCCAGACAAAAAGAAAATCATCATATATGACAGCACATTTCCCAGTCTTACTCTTAAACAATCATGTGAGATGTATCAAACATTTAGTCGTATTACGTCACGCTGTATTACGTCAAGCTATATCTAGCTTACTTGATTGTTTTATAGAGAGATGGTAAGCAACACATCTTTGAGATGGTGCTCAGACTCACCTCCAAATCTTGAGCACTTGAATGAAGAGACCCACATATCACCATAGAACAAACAAATATTTTAGTCAAAAGGCAGAAGAGATCAAGACTTAGGAAAGGAGTGTCTCCAAATCTTTAGGTATATAGCTAAAATGTATGCAATCTATGTTACTAAATAGGATTCAGCATTTCTGTGATACATCAGCACTCAGATGACTTCACTGGTTCAGTCTTGCCAAAGCAATGGGTAGATGCATGCATGACTTGCGTCTGCCTGGATCACTATGGCAATCCTTCCCAGAATAAATGCAATTTCTGCCTCAAAGATTCCGTTTTCACCTCCCAAGTGACCAATTTTAATAAAGTTAAGCCTCCAAATAACAAATAGCCTGCTACAACAAAAATTAAAATTTAGTCTGCTCTAGGTACTCCATTACATTGTTTGTATCACCGTTACTGACTACATGATCTATTCAGAACCTTTTTATATATAATATTACTTAATCATGAGCAAGTACTTTTATTATTCCTAATTCATAGATGAGGAACCTGAGGACTCATGGCCTATGTACCCTGCCAATGACTTCTGTGCTAAGTCCTGAACCTACTTGACTTCAAATGTATTCATCCTTTCCTGTTCTGGATTACTTGGGGCTGCATTTCCTAGGCTTCTATGTCAGTTGAATTATACAGATAGGGGTTTGCTGGAACACTGAGAGCAAGAAAGGCAAAAGCCATAGTTTTCTCCCCATCCTCTCTATTTGTTCAGCATCTTTAGTATTAGCTCTGTCCCCCATGTGCTCCAATTCCTGACACAGATGCCTAAAACAAATGTTCTGTCTAAGCCACATCTTTTCCCCCACCAGCTCTCTTTCTTCCCTGCCTTTTCCATTTCTGGATCACTTCACATCACAGGTAAAACAGGCAGCTGGGGTATTCTCTGGGACTACCCCCAAACATCTGAGTGGTGAAACACACAGGGGAGGCATTACTATTTTGTATGAAGAAAGGGCACACCAAAACAGAGAAGTTATAAATATGGTCCTAATCCTGGTGTCACTTTCACATATTTATTTAATTCTTCTTTCAATTTCTGCCACAGGCAAAATAGGAAGAGATCAAAAATTTTTTAACCTGAAAAACATTTGAAAATATCAGAAAAAATTATTTTGAAATTGAATTCTCATTTGGAGTATTTATTATAAACAGCTGTCATCTCAACAGGCTCAGTAGGCAAAAGCTGTGTGTCTGATTTAGAGGTTGGGTTGAGACAGTCAACAAAAGTCTAAAAACCCTTAGACCCAATGTGATGACACTCAGAGAAGTGAGAAAAAGGATGGAAAAGAGGAAAGATTTATGAGACATAGCAAAGAAAGCCAAGGTCAGTGTGAATGACAAGAATTCTCAAGAAACAGCTGTTGAATTTAACTTAATCAAAACTAGCTGGTAAAGTGGAATTTTAGTTTGATATTTGAATAAGAGACTAAGATAATTCTACATAAAAGTACATAATATGAAGAATAAAGAAATAATTTAGAAGAGGTCTGGTAATTTTATTTAAAAATGAAGACGTACATGAGCATTTTTTTTGAATTTTGATGACAAAATATAAAAATATAGCAAGAAAAATCACATAGTGAAATAAAAATCTTAAAAGATAGTAATAAGAATAAACATTGTTTGAGCCCTTTATATGGCTCAAACACTAAAAGAGGTACTTCAAATACATCATCTCCTTTAACATTCACAATAACCTTATGAGACAAATATTATCCCCATGTTATGGATTAGGAGGCTATGATTCAGGAAGATTCATAACATGTTTAAGGTCAAAAAGGTATTTGTGTTCCTGTAAATATTAGTAGGCATTCAACAAAATAGTTCCATAATAAAATTTTTGAGAAACAGCCAACACTATTTCTCTCTGCTAGAGATTAGGCTCTAAGGTTGTACAGAGATAACTTTTTTAACCCTTCTTTACCCTAAAACTTATCAAATTTATAACATGGTGGAAAATATATGTATGTGTACGTGTGTTGTATAAATGTGTGTGTGTAATTACTACTTTTGTGGACATGAATCTTCCACAGAACACAATTTGGAAAAGACAGCAAAAAGCTATAATAGAGCCAAATCACTAAGGCTAAATTCAATAGAGACAAATTTAAATCTAGCATTGATATTTTTAAAGTCCCATTATTCAAGAACAAAATTCAGGCCAAGAATGCCTTTTAAATGCCCTGGAGGTGGACTACCATGAGTCAGACGATGATGATGAAGCTGATGGTTAATGAAATCTTAGGCTAATTTAATAGAAGTGTACTGTCTGTATCAAGGGAGATTAAGATATATGTCTGGCTCTGAATTAAGCCTTTAAATAGAGTGTTGACAAATAAAAGGAGTGGCAGACTTTGACAATTAAGTTGAAAGTTATAGAAGTGATGTTATATAATATTACCGGAGAAACTAGAAATAATATTTTAATTGACATAAATATATGACTGGTTTAGGGTTGTTAAGGGTAACTAAGATGTGATACTTATGTTCCTATAGTTAACAGATCATCATTAAAATAAGGATGTAGACTTAACTCGTGTTTCTCTAGAGTCCAGGACTAGGACTAACAAATGATAAGGAATTCAGTTTAGGTTTAACATAAATAAAATGTTTCAACAAGCTGTCTCAGAAGAAAATAGACTGACCAAAAATTAGAGAAAATCCAATCAAATTAAATAGTCTCTTAGAACTTGCCACAGAAAAGAGGCATTGTCCAGTCACCTAACTTACCTTACTTACCCTGGAAATTTATTAGTAAAAAAGGAAATTTCAGAAATCTCATATTTAAAGAAGAAATGGAAATGTATGTATGGATGTCCGTAATTCAATAGCATCTTTGGTCATCAAAGAACTGCTCTCTTGACTCAATGGCATCAACTACACTTGAGATCTCACTTCTCTTTTCTGCTGTAAATGATTTAACTGCCCCACAAGCAACAGATGTCTTTGCTTCTCATGGCTACTCCTATTCTAGGCTTCTCCTGCCCCATGACTTTTCCACACTAGTTTTTTTTTTCCTATGGTGTTTTTTCTTCTGACATCTCTGCTATCTGATGATTTTTCTCCGTGACTTACTTTAAAATGTCCTGCTAGATAATCTTTTTTGTTTCTTGAGACAGGGTCTCACTCTGCCACGCAGGCTGGAGTGCAGGCTCACTGCAGCCTTGACATCCCGGGTTCAAGTGATCCTCCTACCTCAGCCTCTTGAGTAGCTGGGACCACAGGTGCATGTCACCACACCCTGCTAATTATTGTACTTTTGTAGAGACAGGGCTTTCCCATGTTACCCAGGCTGGTCTCAAACTCCTGAGCTCAAGCAATCCACCCACCTTAGACTCCCAAAGTGCTGGGACTACAGGCATGAGCCACCACACCCAGACTAGATAATCTTATTGAATTGTCCTCTCAACATCGAATACAGTGCATCACTATTAAGTTCCTCTCACCAGGCCGTCTTACAGATTTCTTTCTCCAAATAGTTGCCTTTGTAGCAGCTACCCAGCCATAATCCTCTCAGTTGTGACCAGAACATTACGGTCACAAGACAGCAAACACTGCAACCTATATGAAGGAAGTCCTTAAGAGGTAATAAATGGTGGACACTATAAATGGACTATCCAGGACCACCATCTCATAGAAATACTCTAGAAGATGCTTCTGTTTTGTATTAGAGGTTAAATAAAATCTCAAAAGTCCCTTCCAACACTAATGTTCTACTACATGAATGTATAGATCTAAGCCATTATTGTTTCTTAATATTGATAAAAAATATTAGGGCTTATGGAAAGCATAGGTTTACTGGCATCATATTTAATACAAAGCCTATGATATGGTTTGGCTGTGTCCTCACCCAAATCTCATCTTGAATTGTAGTTCCCATTATCCCCACATGTCATGAGAGGGGCCTGGTGGGAGGTAATTGATCACTGGGGGTGGATTCCCCCATACTATTCTCATGATAGTGAGCAAGTTCTCACGAGATCTGATGGTTTTATAAGAGGCCTCCTCCTTTGCTCAGCCATCATTTTTCTCCTTCCAACCATCATGTGAAGAAGGACATGTTTGCTTTTCCTTCTGCTATGCTTGTAAGTTTCCTGAGGCTTCCCCAGTCACGTGGAACTGTGAGTCAATTAAACATCTTTCCTTTAGAAATTATACAATCTCAGGGGTTCTTTATAGCAGTGTGAGAACAGACTAACACAGTAAATTGGTACCACAGAGAGTGGGGCACTGATACAAAGATACCTGAAAGTGCGGAAGCAACTTTGGAACTGGGTAACAGGCAGAGGCTGGGACAGTTTGGAGGGCTCAGAAGAAGACAGAAAAATGTGGGAAAGTTTGAAACTTCCTAGAGATGTGGAGGGTTCAGAAGAGAGGAAGATGCGGAAAAGTTTGGAACTTCCTAGAGACTTGTTAAATGGCTTTGACCAAAATGCTGATAGTGATATGAACAATGAAGTCCAGGCTGAGGTAACCTCAGATGGAGATGAGGAACTTGTTGGGAACTGGAATAAAGGTAACTCTTGCTATGCAAAGAGACTGGTGGCATATTCCCCCTGCCCTGGAGATCTGGGGAACTTTGAATTTGAGAGAGATAATTTAGGGTATCTGGCAGAAGAAATTTCTAAGCAGCAAAGCATTCAAGAGGTGACAGAGTGTAAAAGTTTGGAAAGTGTGCAGCCTGGTGATGTGATAGAGAAGGAGCTGAATGTTAATCAGCAAGACAATGGGGAAAAAGTCTCCAGGGCATATCAGAGACCTTCATAGCAGCCCATCCCATTACAGGCCCAGAGGCCTAGGAGGAAAAAATGGATTCCTGGGCCAGGCCCAGGGCCTTGCTGCTTAGTGCAGTCTCAGGACTTGGTGCCCTGCATCCCAGCCACCCCAGCTGTGGGTAAAAGGGGCAAAGGTATAGATCAGGCTGTGGCTTTGGAAGGTTCAAGCCCCAAGCCCTGGCAGCTTCCACCTGGTGTTGAGCCTGTGCATGAACAGAAGTCAAGAATTGAGGTTTGGGAACCTCCACCTAGATTTCAGAGGATGTATGGAAATGTCTGGATGTCCAGACAGAAGTCTGCTGCAGGGGCAGAGCCCTCATGGAAAACCTCTTCTAGGGCAGTGCAGAAGGGAAATGTGGGATTGGACACCACCACACACAGAGTCCCCACTTGGTCACTGCCTGGTAGAGCTGTTAGAAGAAGACCACCATCCTCCAGACATTAGAATGGTAGATCCACCAACAGCTTGCCCTCTGTGCCTGGAAAAGCCACAGACTCTCAACGCCACCCATGAAAGCAGCCAGGAGGGGGCTGTACCCTGCAAAGCCACAGGGGTGGAGCTGCCCAAGGTCATGGGAGTCCACTTCTTGCATCAGCATGACCTGGAGTCAAAGACATGGAGTCAAAAGAGATCATTGTGGAAGTTTAAGATTTAATGACTGCCTTATTGGATTTTGAACTTGCATGGAACCTGTAACCCCTTTGTTTTGGCTAATTTCTCCCATTTGGAATGGAAACATTTACCCAATGCCTGTACCCCCATTGTGTCTTGGAAGTAACTAACTTGATTTTGATTTTACAGGCTCATAGGCAAAAGGGACTTGCCTTGTCTCAGATGAGACTTTGAACATGGACTTTTGGGTTAATACTGGAATGAACTAAGACTTTGGGGCACATTTAGAAGGGCATGATTGTGCTTTGAAATGTGAGGACATGAGATTTGGGAGGGGCCAATGGTAGAATGATATGGTTTGGCTGCACCCCCACCCAAATCTTATCTTGAATTGTAGTTCCCATAATCCCCATGTGTTATGGGAGGGGCCCAGGGGGAAGTAATTGAATCATGGGGGCGGTTCCTCTATGCTATTCTCATAATAGTGAGCAAGTTCTCATGATATCTGATGTTTTTATAAGGGGGCTTCCCCCTTCGCTTGGTTCTCATTCTTCTCCTTCCAACCATCATGTGAAGAAGGACATATTTGCTTCCCCTTCTACCATGATTGTAAGTTTCCTGAACCCCCCACTCTCAGTCATGCAGAACTGTGAGTCAATTAAACTTCTTTCCTCTATAAATTACCTAGTTTTGGGCAGTTCTTTATAGCATTGTGAGAACAAACTAATACAGCCTAATTGAAATACTATTACTTCTTCCAACAGACACCCCTAATCCAGACCCTTTATTAATAAGTGAGATCAAAGAGAAATGACAATAAGATATAAACATATACAGACATAACTAAGTGTTTTACATATTCCACCGTAGCTCTTACATGCTGAATTTAAGCAAATCTCTTTGTCTGAGACTCGGTTTCCCCATTTGAAAAACTGAGAAATTATCACTTGACTTTCAAGGTGTGGAAATTAAATTTTACCAGTATGCTAATTCTTTTTAACTTGAAAAATCTTTATAATACTCTTAACCAATAATCCAGAAGCAGTTTAAATCATTGATTTTGTCTTCCTCAGTTAGCAAAATAGACTTTTTCAAACAACTATAGAGTACCTGTTTGGTGCACAGAAGAAAATGAAACATTAAAAATTTTCAAGTAGGCAAAAAAATTTCAGCATCCCCCTAGGTGACTGACTTATTACCATTTAGCTCTTCTTCCTCAGTTCTCCTCTTTCTCTCCCCAACTTTTTCTACCATTTGATTTTCCTGAATGACTCATAAGTATAGAACCACCAATTATTTTATATTTCATATTAAGCGGTGCAAGCCAAATTGAGTTACAGCTTAGACAAGAAATCCTAGGGGAAACACCCAGGAGACTGTCATGACACACTTCTTGTTCTCTGGCATAAGCAGAGATAATAATTAAGCATCACGTGACATATTACTCTAAAAATAGATGCCCTGTGTGGTTTTTGTCATACACACATCCAAGGTGTTTTAAAAAAATGTTTATTTTAATGTGTTACACATTTAGCCTCTGGGAATCATTTCACTGAGCAGCTGAAAAGCTGCAGTAAATTCTTGGTTACTGAAATGACATGAGGATGAGTTATTTAAATATCTTTATGTTCATAACATAGACTGGGTTGAAACAAATCTTCCTGCTGTGGCTAACTCATAAAGATCTCATGATCTAAGTAGGAGATGCCACATATCTTCTTTTTTTTCTCAATGCATGACTCTCTTTGGATATTCATTCATTCAACAAATATTTATTGTGTATCCACAAAGTACCAGGCACTGTTTTCAGGACACAGGATACTGCAGTCAACAAGATAAATGAGTACAATGCTTGAATAAACCTACAATTCTGTTTTAAGATGGCAAACAGTAAACAAGGACATAAATTAATACATAATTTCAGATGGAGATGAGAGTTGTAAAGAAAATTAATGATAACTGAATAAGGAAAATGGGGACAAGGAAGAGCTTATTTAGATTAGGTAACTAAGACAAGCTCTCTAAGAAGTGAAGAACTGAATGAGAGGAAGCCTGCCAATCGAACCCTGGCAGGAAGAACAATTATAGAACAGGGAACCACAATGGTAAGCATGTCACGTTTAGAGAAAAGAGACCAGTGTGGCTGAAGCACAGAAGTCAGAGTGTGGTTGGAAATATGGCCAGTGTGGTAGGCAAGAGACAGGTCCCTCAAGAATACAAGAAATATGGTCTGTGGTAGGCAAGAGACAGATCCCTCAAGAATAATTGTGGAAGTGAATGGATTTAACCCAAGTTCAAAGAGAAGCAATTGGGGAGTTTTAAGCAAAGAAGTGATATGATTTAATTTATATTTTAAAAGCTTACTCTGGTTAGATGGGGGTGGAAATAGGAATGAAAGAAGGCAAATCATTTAGGTATTTGAAATATTCAGTAGTATAGGCAAAAACAGCTGATGACTTAGATTACCATTGCAGGCAGATGAGTAGCAAAAATGGTGGTCAGATTTAGTATATACTATAGGGGTAAAACCAATGTGCTCCTCTGATTGATGTGATTTACAAAATAAAAAAAGGAATCAAGGCAACAATTTCCATACTTTATTTCTCAGTCTATCTTATGGTGCTCACTGCATTTCATGGTAGGAGTTCAAAGGTAACATTAAAAATAAGGAGTATCTACACAGCAGAAGGTTGGAGAATGAGGAAGCATTGACCAGATATGAGAGAATTATGAAGCACTGCATTGTGACCCCTGTAGGAACAAAAGTAAATATTGTCTCTAGCTTTTGTTATCATTGTAGGAAGACCAGGGATCCTAGGGTATGTAAAATTTTCCATCTCCTTCTTATAACAGACTAGTTCTGTCTTTACATTTTACACAAGACCATAGATTTTGCACAGTGTTTCTTTCACTAAGCCCCACCAACATATTATCTAATCTTAATAAAATTTGGTCAGCAGAGATGTAAAAAATGCAGAGAAAACAAAATAAAAGTAAAAAAGAAAATGTGAAGGCAAAGATGATGAAAAAAATAGAAGATAAAGGCCTGAAATATGCCTGAAAAGTGCAAAAAGTGTGCATTTCTAATTATCAGCTTCTGTGTACTTTTGAACTGCGGAAGTTTTGAACTGAATGAGTTCAAAAGGTGGCCAAGACTGATGAAGTGTCTCTGTTAATAGAAAAATTTAAACTGAGTCTTCTCAAGAGAGGCATACTTAGAAGCTCTAATGAGCTCCTCAGTGGAAGAAAAATCCGAACCTAATCTTTTGGTTCAATAAGTTAATTCTCTTAGTGAAAGATGAGTCGAGTGAGCCAATCTTTATGAACACTGAAAGCAAAACGGCAGAGAATTAAAGCTCTGAGCCACTACACTTCAGGCCTTTCCTCTCTTTTTTTTTTCACTTTCTTTCTTTCTTTTTATCTTCTTTGTTGGCTAATCTAGGAGCAGTTTACCAGGCTGCCAGGCAATGCAAAGGTCTAAACTCTTTGTGAAGAGAATTTGAAATAATCACATTATGTTTGTCAAGGCTTTGTATTTGTGGAGGTGAACAGTAACAAATAAGAGAAAAAGTCTGCAATCTGTGTTTGTATCACAGGGATAATGCCCAGGATTCTTTGTATTTTGTGGAAGAATAGCATGGGATCTCAGACTAAGTCCTTGAAGTACAAATATGATTGTACAAGGCTTCCTATAGAAAATGTCTACCTTGAATTTCATGGCCCTTGGTATTTTGGTAAACTTAGTTTTATAGCCTTATAAATGATGCCATCAAATTTCCATAAGGACATCATGAAAGTAGACTTAAGTTGTAGAAAACTGTACGAAGTTTACTTCTGTATGTCTTAATGTAACTGTAAACATCCCGTTTTACCAGCTATGGCATCTAGGAAATATTCAGCTCCATTTAGCCACAGCACAAAGGGTAGAAGAAATTTAAAGGTCAGAGCCCTAAACTCTTTTACCCAGTTACAGAAGATGTTTTGTCAACATGAATAAATAAAAGTGGTACTTCAGTTAAAATTGAAGGTATTGCTTCACTAAATAAGTATTAATACAGAATGTTTCACGGTAAAATAACCAAGGTAAATTCGATAATGGGGCTGGGGATGGTGCTCATCATTTTTTGTGGTACGAAACTAAAGAACAAGTTTTCTTTTTGTGGTCATCAGCAAGTATCAGTGTGCTACTCTGGAGATAATATTTTCCATCAATGGAGGGAAAAGAACTAGTATATATGAGTGGTTAAGTGGAATCTGAAAAAAATAATATCAAAGGCAAGACCATGCATTATAGCTTAATCCATGTATGTAGGCTACTTGACTGGAAAGCCATATGGTATTGCAAAAAAAGCGCAGAGTATCTAATAAGAAAGACATGTTTGTATCCATACTCTACCTCTCACCGGAAACTGATCTTGGGCCAATTACTTCACCTTTCTGAGCTGCAATGTCCTTAACTATAAAATAAAGTTTCAAAAATCAATCTTATGGGGTTATCAGAAGAAATAAATGTCTCTAGCTTAGAGATGTTTATAAATGTCTGTACCACCTTATAAGTACCCGACCCATAGTATATATTATGTAGAACACCTTCACATCTACTTCACAGGGTCTTCACTGATATAGACAGCAAAGGTATATCAATTTGTATTCAAAGAAAACCAACATCTATTCAAGAAATTTTAAAACTATAAGAATTGGTTGGGTATGGTGGCTCACACCAATATCCTAGCACTTTGGGAAACAGAGGCCGGAAGCTCACTTGAGGCCATGAGTTTGAGACCAGCCTGGGCAACATAGTGAGACCCTGTATCTACAAATCTTAAAAATATTAGCCAGGCTTGGTGGCATGCACTCGTAATCCCAGCTACTCAGGAAGCTGAGGTGGGAGAATCACTTGAGACTGGGAGTTCAAGTCTGCAGGGAGCTATGACCACCACTGCACTCCAGCTTGGTCAACAGAGTGAGATGCTGTCTCAAAAAGAAAAAAAAAAGTATGTTTTAATTTTTCTTTAAAATAGTGCATCCTCCTCTGTAATTACATCTAGAGCATTTTATTAGTGGCAGGGCATTAACCACCTCTTTACACAAATACACTTCTTCCTGCTACCTTAGAATCTCAGGTAACAATAGGAAACTTGCCTTGTTTATAGGCTGAGAAAGAAAGAGAATATATTCAAGTAAGAAGCTCACAAAATCAGGAAATTTCTTCTCTCTAAGGCATTTCTGGAAAAGTTAGCAGAGTTTCTAGAGAAGAGCACCAACTGTGTATTTATATAAGGTGAATTTTATTAGTTGAAAATAATGATCTGCATTACAGGAACTCAGGTGAGATTATCTATAAATATACAGAAATTCTAGAACTAGTGAAAGAGTTTCTCAACTTTCATCCTCTTAAAAGAGTTTGGAAGACAAAAGCCAAAGTATGGCAGTTTCTAAACGTAATTAACATTGGCTGAATCTTTCTTATGGACCAGACACTGTTCTGAGAGCTTCCACTAATGACCTTATTTAATCATCCAACAACTCTGTGAGTTATGCAACAATTTAACCTCTATTTTAAAGATGAGGAAATAGGCAAAGGTCACACAACTATTAGAGAATACTGGCATCTGATTCCAAAGGCCAAATTCTCAACTATTTTACTGCACTCTTTGCCAAGACTGGTAAATCTCTTGAGCTTCTGCTCAAATATTTCCACTTACCAGTTATAGCCTCCTGGTGTTTACCCTTCAGAATCAAATTCTTTAAAAGGAACTGTATTACATGAGATATAGTCTGACTATTTGGTATTATTTTCTTAAAGAGCACATGAAAGTTATATTGGGATTTTGGGGGGTATTTTTTCAAAATAATTTATAAACAAAACTATTCCCATTTTATTTTTCTTTCACCACTATCACTAGATACCAATTTTACTAAACTTTGACTGTCAGACTGATTTGCAAGAATTCCCTCCTCTGATATAACCTCCTGCATTCAATAGAGAAATAAATAAATTACTTACAGTCCTTGTAGATAGCACTTACTGAATGCTTACTATATGCCAGCCATTGTACTAATTGCCATACATATTAATAACTTATCCCATTGCATCCATACAAATCCCTACAGGTAGTTGCTGTTATTATCTTCATGTTATAGCCCATGAAACAAAGGCTCAGAGAAATGTCATGCCCAATATCACAAACACAGTAAAAAGTAGGAACAAGGTTTGATTCCAGGAGGAGGAGCCAAGATGGCCGAATAGGAACAGCTCTGGTCTACAGCTCCCAGCGTGAGCGACGCAGAAGACGGGTGATTTCTGCATTTCCATCTGAGGTACCGGGTTCATCTCACTAGGGAGTGCCAGACAGTGGGCGCAGGCCAGTGGGTGCACGCACTGGGCGCGAGCCGAAGCAGGGCGAGGCATTGCCTCACCTGGGAAGGGCAAGGGGTCAGGGAGTTCCCTTTCCGAGTCAAAGAAAGGGGTGACGGACGCACCTGGAAAATCGGGTCACTCCCACCCGAATATTGCGCTTTTCAGACCGGCTTAAAAAACGGCGCACCACGAGACTATATCCCACACCTGGCTCGGAGGGTCCTACGCCCACGGAATCTCGCTGATTGCTAGCACAGCAGTCTGAGATCAAACTGCAAGGCGGCAGCGAGGCTGGGGGAGGGGCGCCCGCCATTGCCCAGGCTTGATTAGGTAAACAAAGCAGCCGGGAAGCTCGAACTGGGTGGAGCCCACCACAGCTCAAGGAGGCCTGCCTGCCTCTGTGGGCTCCACCTCTGGGGGCAGGGCACAGACAAACGAAAAGACAGCAGTAACCTCTGCAGACTTAAATGTCCCTGTCTGACAGCTTTGAAGAGAGCAGTGGTTCTCCCAGCACGCAGCTGGAGATCTGAGAACGGGCAGACTGCCTCCTCAAGTGGGTCCCTGACCCCTGACCCCCGAGCAGCCTAACTGGGAGGCACCCCCCAGCAGGGGCACACTGATACCTCACACGGCAGGGTATTCCAACAGACCTGCAGCTGAGGGTGCTGTCTGTTAGAAGGAAAACTAACAAACAGAAAGGACATCCACACCAAAAACCCATCTGTACATCACCATCATCAAAGACCAAAAGTAGATAAAACCACAAAGATGGGGAAAAAACAGAACAGAAAAACTGGAAACTCTAAAACGCAGAGCACCTCTCCTCCTCCAAAGGAACGCAGTTCCTCACCAGCAACGGAACAAAGCTGGATGGAGAATGACTTTGATGAGCTGAGAGAAGAAGGCTTCAGACGATCAAATTACTCTGAGCTACGGGAGGACATTCAAACCAAAGGCAAAGAAGTTGAAAACTTTGAAAAAAATTTAGAAGAATGTATAACTAGAATAACCAATACAGAGAAGTGCTTAAAGGAGCTGATGGAGCTGAAAACCAAGGCTCGAGAACTACGTGAAGAATGCAGAAGCCTCAGGAGCCGATGCGATCAACTGGAAGAAAGGGTATCAGCGATGGAAGATGAAATGAATGAAATTAAGCGAGAAGGGAAGGTTAGAGAAAAAAGAATAAAAAGAAATGAGCAAAGCCTCCAAGAAATATGGGACTATGTGAAAAGACCAAATCTACATCTGATTGGTGTACCTGAAAGTGATGGGAAGAATGGAACCAAGTTGGAAAACACTCTACAGGATATTATCCAGGAGAACTTCCCCAATCTAGCAAGGCAGGCCAACATTCAGATTCAGGAAATACAGAGAACGCCACAAAGATACTCCTCGAGAAGAGCAACTCCAAGACACATAATTGTCAGATTCACCAAAGTTGAAATGAAGGAAAAAATGTTAAGGGCAGCCAGAGAGAAAGGTCGGGTTACCCTCAAAGGGAAGCCCATCAGACTAACAGCGGATCTCTCGGCAGAAACCCTACAAGCCAGAAGAGAGTGGGGGCCAATATTCAACATTCTTAAAGAAAAGAATTTTCAACCCAGAATTTCATATCCAGCCAAACTAAGCTTCATAAGTGAAGGAGAAATAAAATACTTTACAGACAAGCAAATGCTGAGAGATTTTGTCACCACCAGGCCTGCCCTAAAAGAGCTCCTGAAGGAAGCACTAAACATGGAAAGGAACAACCGGTACCAGCCGCTGCAAAATCATGCCAAAATGTAAAGACCATCGAGACTAGGAAGAAACTGCATCAACTAACGAGCAAAATCACCAGCTAACATCATAATGACAGGATCAAATTCACACATAACAATATTAACTTTAAATGTAAATGGACTAAATGCTCCAATTAAAAGACACAGACTGGCAAGTTGGATAAAGAGTCAAGACCCATCAGTGTGCTGTATTCAGGAAACCCATCTCACATGCAGAGACACACATAGGCTCAAAATAAAAGGATGGAGGAAGATCTACCAAGCAAATGGAAAACAAAAAAAGGCAGGGGTTGCAATCCTAGTCTCTGATAAAACAGACTTTAAACCAACAAAGATCAAAAGAGACAAAGAAGGCCATTACATAATGGTAAAGGGATCAATTCAACAAGAGGAGCTAACTATCCTAAATATATATGCCCCCAATACAGGAGCACCCAGATTCATAAAGCAAGTCCTGAGTGACCTACAAAGAGACTTAGACTCCCACACATTAATAATGGGAGACTTTAACACCCCACTGTCAACATTAGACAGATCAACGAGACAGAAAGTCAACAAGAATACCCAGGAATTGAACTCAGCTCTGTACCAAGCGGACCTAATAGACATCTACAGAATTCTCCACCCCAAATCAACAGAATATACATTTTTTTCAGCACCACACCACACCTATTCCAAAATTGACCACATACTTGGAAGTAAAGCTCTCCTCAGCAAATGTAAAAGAACAGAAATTATATCAAACTATCTCTCAGACCACAGTGCAATCAAACTAGAACTCAGGATTAAGAATCTCACTCAAAGCCGCTCAACTACATGGAAACTGAACAACCTGCTCCTGAATGACTACTGGGTACATAATGAAATGAAGGCAGAAATAAAGATGTTCTTTGAAACCAACGAGAACAAAGACACAACATACCAGAATCTCTGGGATGCATTCAAAGCAGTGTGTAGAGGGAAATTTATAGCACTAAATGCCCACAAGAGAAAGCAGGAAAGATCCAAAATTGACACCCTAACATCACAATTAAAAGAACTAGAAAAGCAAGAGCAAACACATTGAAAAGCTAGCAGAAGGCAAGAAATAACTAAAATCAGAGCAGAACTGAAGGAAATAGAGACACAAAAAACCCTTCAAAAAATCAATGAATCCAGGAGCTGGTTTTTCGAAAGGATCAACAAAATTGATAGACCGCTAGCAAGACTAATAAAGAAAAAAAGAGAGAAGAATCAAATAGACACAATAAAAAATGATAAAGGGGATATCACCACTGATCCCACAGAAATACAAACTACCATCATAGAATACTACAAACACCTCTACTCAAATAAACTAGAAAATCTAGAAGAAATGGATACATTCCTCAACACATACACTCTCCCAAGACTAAACCAGGAAGAAGTTGAATCTCTGAATAGACCAATAACAGGAGCTGAAATTGGGGCAATAATCAATAGTTTACCAACCAAAAAGAGTCCAGGACCAGATGGATTCACAGCCAAATTCTACCAGAGGTACAAGGAGGAACTGGTACCATTCCTTCTGAAACTATTCCAATGAATAGAAAAAGAGGGAATCCTCCCTAACTCATTTTATGAGGCCAGCATCATCCTGATACCAAAGCTGGACAACGACACAATGAACAAAGAGAATTTTAGACCAATATCCTTGATGAACATTGATGCAAAAATCCTCAATAAAATACTGGCAAACCGAATCCAGCAGCACATCAAGAAGCTTATCCACCATGATCAAGTGGGCTTCATCCCTGGGATGCAAGGCTGGTTCAATATATGCAAATCAATAAATGTAATCCAGCATATAAACAGAGCCAAAGACAAAAACCACATGATTATCTCAATAGATGCAGAAAGAGCCTTTGACAAAATTCAACAACCCTTCATGCTAAAAACTCTCAATAAATTAGGAATTGATGGGACGTATTTCAAAATAATAAGAGCTATCTATGACAAACCCACAGCCAATATCATACTGAATGGGCAAAAACTGGAAGCATTCCCTTTGAAAACTGGCACAAGACAGGGATGCCCTCTCTCACCGCTCCTATTCAACATAGTGTTGGAAGTTCTGGCCAGGGCAATCAGGCAGGAGAAGGAAATAAAGGGTATTCAATTAGGAAAAGAGGAAGTCAAATTGTCCCTGTTTGCAGACGACATGATTGTTTATCTAGAAAACCCCATCATCTCAGCCCAAAATCTCCTTAAGCTGATAAGCAACTTCAGCAAAGTCTCAGGATACAAAATCAATGTACAAAAATCACAAGCATTCTTATACACCAACAACAGACAAACAGAGAGCCAAATCATGAGTGAACTCCCATTCACAATTGCTTCAAACAGAATAAAATACCTAGGAATCCAACTTACAAGGGATGTGAAGGACCTCTTCAAGGAGAACTACAAACCACTGCTCAAGGAAATCAAAGAGGATACAAACAAATGGAAGAACATTCCATGCTCATGGGTAGGAAGAATCAATATCGTGAAAATGGCCATACTGCCCAAGGTAATTTACAGATTCAATGCCATCCCCATCAAGCTACCAATGACTTTCTTCACAGAATTGGAAAAAACTACTTTAAAGTTCATATGGAACCAAAAAAGAGCCCACATCGCCAAGTCAATCCTAAGCCAAAAGAACAAAGCTGGAGGCATCACACTACCTGACTTCAAACTATACTACAAGGCTACAGTAACCAAAACAGCATGGTACTGGTACCAAAACAGAGATATAGATCAATGGAACACAACAGAGCCCTCAGAAATAACGCCGCATACCTACAACTATCTGATCTTTGACAAACCTGAGAAAAACAAGCAATGGGGAAAGGATTCCCTATTTAATAAATGGTGCTGGGAAAACTGGCTAGCCATATGTAGAAAGCTGAAACTGGATCCCTTCCTTACACCTTATACAAAAATCAATTCAAGATGGATTAAAGATTTAAACGTTAAACCTAAAACCATAAAATCCCTAGAAGAAAACCTAGGCATTACCATTCAGGACATAGGCATGGGCAAGGACTTCATGTCCAAAACACCAAAAGCAATGGCAACAAAAGCCAAAATTGACAAATGGGATCTAATTAAACTAAAGAGCTTCTGCACAGCAAAAGAAACTACCATCAGAGTGAACAGGCAACCTACAAAATGGGAGAAAATTTTCGCAACCTACTCATCTGACAAAGCGCTAATATCCAGAATCTACAATTAACTCAAACAAATTTACAAGAAAAAAACAAACAACCCCATCAAAAAGTGGGCGAAGGACATGAACAGACACTTCTCAAAAGAAGACATTTATGCAGCCAAAAAACACATGAAAAAATGCTCTTCATCACTGGCCATCAGAGAAATGCAAATCAAAACCACTATGAGATATCATCTCACACCAGTTAGAATGGCAATCATTAAAAAGTCAGGAAACAACAGGTGCTGGAGAGGATGTGGAGAAATAGGAACACTGTTACACTGTTGGTGGGACTGTAAACTAGTTCAACCATTGTGGAAGTCAGTGTGGCGATTCCTCAGGGATCTAGAACTGGAAATACCATTTGACCCAGCCATCCCATTACTGGGTATATACCCAAAGGACTATAAATCATGCTGCTATAAAGACACATGCACACGTGTGTTTATTGCGGCATTATTCACAATAGCAAAGACTTGGAACCAACCCAAATGTCCAACAATGATAGACTGGATTAAGAAAATGTGGCACATATACACCATGGAATACTATGCAGCCATAAAAAATGATGAGTTCATGTCCTTTGTAGGGACATGGATGAAATTGGAAATCATCATTCTCAGTAAACTATCACAAGAACAAAAAATCAAACACCGCATATTCTCACTCATAGGTGGGAATTGAACAATGAGATCACATGGACACATGAAGGGGAATATCACACTCTGGGGACTGTGGTGGGGTGGCGGGAGCGGGGAGGGATAGCATTGGGAGATATACCTAATGCTAGATGATGAGTTAGTGGGTGCAGCGCACCAGCATGGCACATGTATACATATGTAACTAACCTGCACAATATGCACATGTACCCTAAAACTTAAAGTATAATAAAAAAAAAAAAGTTTTGATTCCAGAGCCATGTGACTACAAACTCAAGATCTTAGTCATCATAGAATAGAATTACCTTCAAATTTTACCAGTTATGTGAGTCCGGGGAAAGACATATGCATTAGTCTGTTCTTGCACTGTTATAAAGACATACCTGAGACTGGGTAATTGATTTTCTTAAAAAGAGGTTTAATTGGCTCATGGTTCCATAGGCTGGACAGGAAGCATGGTGACATTGGCTTGTGGGGAGGCCTCAGGGAAATTACAATCATGATGGAAGGCAAAGTGGAAGTAAGGCAGTTCACATGGCCAGAGCAGGAAGGAGAGAGAGAATGGGGATGTACTACACACTTTTAAACAATCAGATCTCACTGTAATTCTATCATGAGAAAGGAACTAAAGGGAGAAATTCACCCTCATCATCTAATCACCTTCCACCAGGCCCCACCACCAACATTGAAGATTAGAATTCAACATGAGATTTGGGCAGAGACACAGATCCAAACCATATACCATTCTGCCCTGGCCCCTCCCAAATATCATGTTCTTCTCACATTTTGAAATACAGTCATGTCTTCCCAACAGTTCCCAAAGGCTTAACACATTCCAGCATTAACTCAAAGTTCCAAAATCCAAAGTTGCATCAGAGACAAGGCTAGTCCCTTTCACCTATGAGTCTGTAAAATAAAAAACACAGTAGTTACTTCCAAGATACAATGGGGGTAGAGGCATTAGGTAAATATGCCCATTCCAAAAGGGAGAAATCAACCAAAAGAAAGGGGCCACAGGGCCCAAGCAAATCTGAAACCAAGCAGGAAGTAATTAAATCTTAAAGCTCCAAAATAATCTCTTTTGACTCTATGTCTCACATCCAGGGCACTTTGATGCAAAGGGTGGGTTCCCAAGGTCTTGGGCAGTTTCATGCCCTGCTAGGCGGTGCCCTCATGGGGACTCAGTTTGGGGATCCAATCCCACATTTCTCCTCCACACTTCCCTTGGTAGAGGTTCTCCTTGAGGGCTCCACCTACCCAGTAGGATTCTGCCTGGACTTCCAGGTTTTTCCATACATCTTCTGAAATCTGGTTGGAGGCTATCAAGCCTCATCCTTGCACTCTGTACACCCACAGGCTTACTACCATGAGAAAGCCACCAAGGCTAATGGCTTGCACTCTCTGAAGCAGTGGCCCAAGCTGTACCTGGGCCCCTTTTAGCCACAGCTGAAGCTGGAGCAACTGGGATGTTCAATGTCCCTAGGCTGCAAAGGGCAATGAGGCCCTGAATCTGGCCCATGAAACCATTCTTCCTTCCTAGGCCTCTGACCTATGATGGGATGAACTACCTCTCTGAAATGCCTTCCTTTTAGTTATGCAAATTTGTGCAGCCTGCTTGAATTCCTCCTCTGAAAATGGGTTTTCTTTTCTACCACATGGCTGGGCTGCACATTTTCCAAACCTTTGCACTCTGCTTTCCTTTTAAATATAAGTTCCAGTTTCAGGTCGTTTTTTTGCTCATGCATATTAGCTTAGGTTGTTAGAGGCAGCCAGACTACATCTTGAACACTCTACTGCTTAGAAATTTCTTCTTCTGGATACTTTAAATTATTTCTCTCACGTTCAAAGTTCCACAGATCCCTAGAGCAGGAGCACAATCCAAACCTCTTTGCTAATGCATAACAAAAGTGACCTTTGCTCCAATTCCAAATAAGTTCCTCATTTCCATCTGAGACGTTATCAGCCTGGCCTTCACTGTCCATATTATTATCAGCATTTCAGTCACAACAATTTAACAAGTCTCTAGGAAGTTCCTAACTTTTCCTTATCTTCCTATCCTCTTAGCCCTCCACACTCTTCCAACCTCTACCTGTTACCCAGTTCCAAAGCTGCTTCCACATTTTCAGGTACATTTATAGCAATGCCCCATTCTTTGGTACCAATTTTCTATATTAGTCAGTTCACATGCACTGCTATAAATACCTGAGACTGGGTAATTTATTTAAAAAAAAAGGGTTAAATTGGCTCACAGTTCTTCAGGCTGCACAGGAAGCATGGCAGCATCTGCTTCTTGGGAGGCCTGAGAACTTACAATAATGGCAGGAGCCAAAGGGGAAGTAAGGCACTTCACATGGCCAGAGCAAGAGGGAGAGAGAGAGAGTAGGGATATGCTACACACTTTTTTTTTTTTTGAGACGGAGTCTTGCTCTGTCACCCTGGCTGGAGTGCAGTGGCGTGATCTTGGCTCACTGCAAGCTCCGCCTCCCGGGTTTATGCCATTCTCCTGCCTCAGCCTCCTGAGTGGCTAGCACTACAGGCGCCCGCCACCATGCCCAGCGAATTTTTTGTATTTTCAGTAGAGACGGGGTTTCACTGTGTTAGTCAGGATGGTCTCGATCTCCTGACCTCGTGATCCACCCACCTCAGCCTCCCAACGTGCTAGGATTACAGGGGTGAGCCACCTCGCCCAGCCAAGATAACATATATCTTAGAGTTGAAGAGTACTGGAGTATATATAGTAAGTATTAAACAAATTCTGACTAAAATTTTAATTCTACCCAATAATGTTCTTTGAATAGAAATTATCAACTCTATACAAACATAGTCAGGAATATCTTGGGTCCCATGGAGCATCAAGTCGCCATAGTGACAAGACAGAGAAACATCTTAAGAAGACCTCAACATGATCACATATTGTTAAAATGCTTCTGTTGTTGGAGATTACTCTTGCCTGAGTTTGTCCTTTAGCTCAAATCCCACTCTCAATGTGAACTGGTGTCTGAGTTTTACAGAGAGGGTCAGGTATAATGAAAGCTCATGTAATGTTTTTGTATTCAAAATGTCTATAAGACTCTGGAGGATAAAAACTTGAATGCAAGGTGTTACTTCATGATACAAATAACATGAGGGAAAGGGATTCCTCTAAAAATGTTTTTTTGGAAAGAAGTTTATAGTGCATGCACTCTTTTTCTTGTTCTGCTATTTGGGTTGGGCACTTTGCAGCTAGCTTCTCGTATTATACCACACTAACATCAAAGGACTATTCTCCAGGTGTACATTTAAAAAGAAACAACCTGGGCCTTACATTTAGCCCTATCTTTATGAAATTGGGTTTTGATTTTAAGGAAAATATATCATATTAAAGACATATTTATTCTACACCCTTCCTTGGAATCTACCAAAAGTACCAAAAACAGTTTAAAATTTAAATAATGTAATATCTACAAGTTCAGAAATGAGTGACAAAACAAATAAATAATTATGGGAACATACACACAGTCTACTGATTTCAATAAAATGTGGACCAAAATGAGGGATAAAGCAACAAACCAGTACATCTTAAAGTAACACAAAAGATCTGTAAAGACTCTTCCAAAGACATTTTACGTAAAATAAGGAGGAATGAGAGTATGTGAAGTCCACAAAAGACTCAGGGGATACCTCTAAATAAGTCAAAGTCAACACTGCAAATAGCATAAGAAAAACTGCCTCTGAGGCTAGGATAACTTGACCTCAGAAACCATCTGGAGGTAATATGAGGAGGAGAAGAATCAAAGAGAAACACCGGCCAGATTTGCAGCTAAAAATGAATGCAGCTGAGCAGAAATAAATCCAGAATGATTACTTCTAAAACTCTTGTAAGCCAAGTAACTCCACTGAAACCCAAGGTAAACTCTCACTAGTTCACCTGATCATGCTGAAAGGAAATGTGCCAGATAACGATGTTGAATTGATGAGTAGAAGTTGTAAAGTAGCATTCCTTTAAAGAACAATTAATACCAATTTTTCTCAAACTATTCCAAAATTTAAAGCAGAGAGAATTTTTCGTAACTCATTCTATTAAGCCAGCATAACCCTGGTACCAAAATCAGAAAAAGACACAGCAACGAAAAGGCAACCACAGTTCAACATTCCTGATGAACACAGATGCAAAAATCTTTTTTTTTTTAAACTTAACTTGTCATACTTTGTTATTAATATACAAAGACAACAAACTTTTAAAACATTACATTTACTAAGATTCTGGCAATAAGACACAGCATACCAGGCTTGCCACTCAACTTGTTATTGTAAGTCTCAGCTTCAATATGAAGCCGTTTTTTTTTTTTAATCAAAACCCTGCTTTTTACATGCTAAATATCTTGGCAAGTAGGCCATTAAACATAGTAATGAACTTAAGACAGCAAGAGTGAGGAGTTAACAAAAGCTAAACATTGCAGCCTAAACAAAATTCATACAAAAAAATAAACTATCACTAGTTACATAAAATTTTCCTGACTGGTTAAAACTTAGTATAAAACATGCATTTTAGAATCTTTAGCTATCAAGTTCAAAAAGTACCAATGTCTATTTAAAATAATTCCTCTCCCAAGCCAAAGTGTAGTCAAAATTAATTCAAATGACATAACACATTCTAATGCTAAAAAATATTCATTATTACTGAAGTGGAGGTAAATCCCAGAGCTTTTGGGGCTTTCTCATGCTGCAAATGGCTGTTTCTCTGGTTCACTCAAAGCAGCATATGACAGCATCCAAAGATGACACTAAGCTCAGTAAAGGGCAAGACTGCTGGTAGCCAGCTCTGACCTCCCCGTGAAGCATGGCTACTGTGTCCATAATACAGGATGTGTGAGGATCAAAGGCACACTATTCTGCTAGCTAAAGAGATAGCAAACCACCCCCCAACCCTAAAAGCTCCTTCCCCAGGTAAATAAAAGTATACGAGGGGAAAAAATTAAAATACACTTATCTACAGAGTAAGGGTTTTGAAATATTAATGTAATCCCTCCTTCAAAAATTCTAACTAGAGTCATCTGGTCATTTCTGATTACATCTTAAAGATGTATCCAGATTCAATTTCTGTTGGTTTATCCTTAGACGCTTCTAGTCAAAAGTATTAATTTTATTCCCAAATATCTTAACCACTAGTACGACTGCAGTGTATTATCTCCCAGAGTTATCAAGCACTGGAAGAGAAAAAAATAGATGTTCAAGCAGCAGGCAACATTTATGGCCCTTTCACACAGTGGCATCTGAGTGGCTACTGAATAGTCCAGGAATAATTCTAAAAACAAGAAAATTCATGCATTTTAGTAAATATGTTGTAGTTTTCACAGTTGAAATTTCCTCAGACATTGCACTTTCTTTATAAGGGAATCCTGATTTTTCTTAATGTTACGGTGAGTCAGGACTTGAACTAGCAGCCTTCTTTTTCTTCTTCTTACTGTGTTTCTTATGCTTCTTTTTCTTTTTTGTTTTCTCCTCCTCAATATATTCTGATTCTGACAAGGACTCAGATGATAAAGGTTTATCTTCAGAATACATCTTT
Source organism: Homo sapiens (assembly GCF_000001405.40). Classification (NCBI taxonomy): domain Eukaryota; kingdom Metazoa; phylum Chordata; class Mammalia; order Primates; family Hominidae; genus Homo; species Homo sapiens. The sequence continues at coordinate 157,379,873 of NC_000002.12, forward strand.
CTCTTTTTGCTGAGTCCTTTAATATGCTTTTCTTTCTCAGTTCCATCTTTTGACTTCTTTTTCTTTTTTAAACTATCCTTACTGTCTGATTCAGTTTCTGACATGGAGCTTTCAGAAGATTTATGTGAACGGTTCTTCTTTTTCTTTCTCCATTTTCCTTGTTTCTTATCCTCATCTTCAGAATCAGAAGAACTGCTGGAAGAATCAGAGCTTGATGAAGAAGAAGATGAATACCTACCAGATTTCTTCTTTTCTTTTTTCTTTCTCTGTCTTTTTTTGGATGAGCTCTCACTTCCACTTAACAATTTCTCCCTGTGTTTTTCCAGTTCTTTCTTCCAGTTCTCATTCATTTTTTCTTCAAATTCAGCCAAAGCCTTGGAGCCTTTCTTTTTCTTTTCTAGTTGCTCTTTTACTTCTTCCCAGGTAGGCCTTGGTCGATTCAGATAATCCTGTATTGTTGGCCCTGAAGACTGGATTGGACCCCTTGATCTCGCCATTGCTATTGGGTTCATATAGGCCACCCGATTGTCCCGCTTCCCCATGGTGCTGGATCGAGCGCACAGTAGCACGCCGAGGGAAACCGGGCCAGAGAGACTGCCGAAGAGGGCCTGCCGCAGGTCCTCTTGCCGCCTCGCAAAAATCTTAAACAAAATGCCAACAAACCAAATCCAACAACACATCAAAACAATAATATACCACAGTCAAGTGGGATTTATCCCAGGAATGCAAAGATAGTTCAAATTATGCAAATTACTAAACGTTATACATTACATCAATAGAATGAAGGACAAAAATCACATGATCATCTCAATTCAATAGATTCAGAAAAAGATTTTGATAAGATTTATTCTGACTTCATGATAAAAACTCTTAATAAATTAGGTATAGAAGGAAAGTTCCTCAACATCATAAAGTCCATATATGACAAACCCTTAGCTAACATCATACTGAACGGAGAAAAAACTGAAAGGCTTTCCTCTAAGAACTGGAATAAGATAAGGATACCCACACTAACCATTCATATTTAGCATAGTACTAGAAGTCCTAACTAGAACAATCTGGCAAAAAGGAAAAAAAATGGCATTCATATTGAAAAAGAGCAAGTCAAATAGTCTCTGTTTGCAGATGACATGATCTTATCTTATATTTCAAAAAGCCTAGGGCATTGGACTTGGAAAAGTTTTTATGAATAACACCTCCAAAGCATAGGCAACAAAAGTGAAGACAAATGAAATTATATTAAACTAAAAACCTTCTGCACAACAAAGGAAACAATCAACAGGGTGAAAAGAGAACCTGCAGAATGGAGAAAATATTTGCAAACTACTCATTTGACTGGAGATTAATATCTAAAAAGCTTCTGCAAAACAAAGGAAGCAATCAAAAGAGTGAAAAGAGAATCTGCAGAATGGAGACAGTATTTGCAAACTACTCATTTGACAGGAGCTTAGTATCTAAAATATACAAGGAACTGAAATATCTAGATAATAAAGAAAACAATCTGATTAAAGAATGGACAAATGATCTGAACAGACATTCCTCAAAAGAAGATATACAAATGGCCAACAGGTATATGAAAAAAATGCTCAATGTCACTAATTATCAGGGAAATGCAAATAAAAACGACAATGAGGTATGATCTTACTCCATTTAAAATGGCTATCATCAACAAGATGATAAACAACAAATGCTGCAAGGATGGGGAGAAAAGGGAACTCTTATCCACTGTTGATGGGAATGGAGAATATTACAGCCACTTTGGAGAACAGTATGAAGATTCCTCAAAAAAAAACTGTAAATAGAACTACCATATGATCCAGCAATCCTACTACTGGGAATTTATCCAAAAAAAGGAAATTATTATATCAGAGACACATCTGAACCCTCATGTTTACTGCAGCACTATTCAGAGTAGCCAAGATATGGACTCAGCCTAGATGTTCAACAACAGATGAACAAATAAAGAAAATGTGATGCATATACCTCACAAAATAAAATTCTGTCATTTGCAGCAACATAGATTGAACTGTAGGACATTATGTTAAGTAAGATAAGCCAGGAATAGAAAGTTAAACATTGCACATTCTCACTCGAATGTGGAAGCTAAAAAAAGTTGATCTCATAGAAGTAAAAAGTAGAACAGAGGATACTAGAGGCTGGGAAGGACAGGGGGAAGGGAGGAATAGAGAGAGATTTGTTGAACAATACAAAATAATGGCTAGATAATTTTAGTGTTCTATACCACTGTAGGATGACTATAGAGAGCAATAACATGTTATATAGTTTTAAATGGCTAGAAAGAGGATATTGAACATTCCCAACACAAATAAATGATCAAGGTTTGAGATGATGGATATGCTAATTACACTTATCTGATCACTATACATAATATATATCAAAAAATCACTAAGTACCCCATTATCTGTACAATTATTATTGTCAATATAAAAAAGGAAATTTTAAAACAGAAAAAAATACACTTTGAAAGAATTATAAACTAAATCAGACTTCTAAAAAGCAAAAACTGAAGAAAGAAATAGTGAAATAAAATCTTCAATATGTTGTGAGAAAAAGCTACATGTCTATAGTTATAAACCCAGAAAATCCTTATTTAAGAAAACATAAAATAAATATTTTTGTATATTAGGCCATGCACCATGTGTGCCTAATATACACATGGGAGGCAGAGGCAAGTGGATCTCTTGAGCTCAGGAATTCAAGACTAGCCTGGGAAACATGGTGAAACCCCATCTTTACAAAAAACACAAAAGTTAGCTGGACATGGTGACACACCCCTGTAGTCTCAGCTACTTGGGAGGCTGAAGAGGGAGGATTGCTTGAGCCTGGGAGTTCAAGGCTGCAGTGAGCCGTGATCACATCACTGTACTCCAGCCCAGATGACAGAGTGAGATCCTGACTAAAGAAAATAAAAATTAAAAAAGGGTTCACCACTAGATTTTCACTAAAGGATCTTCTGAAGCAGAGGTGTCCAATCTTTTGGGTTCCCTGGGCCATATAGAAAGAAGAAGAATTGTTTTGGGCCACACATAAAATAAAGTATCACTAATAATAGCTGATGAACTAAAAAACAAAACAAAAAACGCAAAAACATCTCATAATGTTTTAAGAAAGTTTACAAATTTATGTTGGGCTGCATTCAAAGCCATTGTTGGGCCACATGCAGCCTGTGGGCTGCAGTTTGGACAAGCTTGTTCTAAAGTATCAATATGAGGAAGAAAGAAAATGGTCTTAGAAGTAGTGTCTGAGATACAAAAAGAAACAGTAAGAAATTAATAAAGATGAAGGTAATAAATATTGTCCTTATAAAGTAACTACTATTATTATATTTAACTTGTATGGCTAGAAAAACAGAGTTGAAATATCAGAAAACAATATCATGTATGTCAAGAGAAGAGTGATCAGAGGTAATGGGTAACATTCTTACTTCCTTCAAAAGAAGAGATTGTTTTTATTAACTTCAGAATTTGCTAGGTCATTAAATGCACAAGGTACAAGTTCTAGGGTATCTAGTTAAAGACCAGAAATAGAATATATACTCTCCAAATAAACCCAATAGAGTGAGAAACAAAAAATAAAATTCATTATCTTAAAAGGGATAATTGTGACAAGCATAGAAAAGCAAAATAAATAGCACAATATATTAGGACACCTACTAATAAATGAATAATTAAAATAAATAAAATAGCACTAAGTATTACTTTTGCACCAATCTAATATTTCAAATTAAAGACAGACATTATAAGGATGACCTTTCAAAATCCAGCTATATTCCATTTACAAGAGACACATGTAAGAATAAAGATCCAAAAATGTTGAAAGCATAGAAAATAATATGCCAGGAAAATAACAAGAAACCCCATAATATTTATATTAGAAATGTAGATTTGAATACAAGTATTATTAGAGATAAACACATCTCTTTCACATCACATAGTGATGAAAGTTTCCAGTCATCATAAAGATATATTTCTAAACTTTTATGCATCTTTATGCTTCAGAATATATATAGCAAAATTTTACTTAAATGTGAGAAATTGACAAATGTAACTCAAAGTGGAAGACTTCTAAACACTTATTTCAATTTAATGACCAAGCATTAAAAATTAAATTATGTATAATTCTGCAACCAAAATGAGAGAATATATATCTGCTTGAATGCACATGAAGCAACAGTAAAAAGTGGCCATGTAACAAGCAAAATACAAATCTCGGCTAATTTTAAACAATAACTGTTATGTACATCACATACTTGTATTGTTTATCAAATGCCTTTGATAAACACAGTCAACATTACACTGAATGGGCAAAATCTGGAACCATTCCCTTTGAAAACTGGCACAAGACAAGGATGCTGTCTCTAACCACTTCTATTCAACATAGTATTGGAAGTTCTGGCCAGGGCAATCAGGCAAGAAAAAACAATAAAGTATATTCAAATAGGAAGGGAAGAAGTCAAATTGTCTCTGTTTTTAGATGACATGATTTTGTATTTAGAAAACCCCATTGTCTCAGCCCAAAAACCCCTTAAGCTGATAAGCAAATTCAATAAAATCTCAGGATAAAAAATCAACGTGCAAAAACCACAAGCATTCCTATACACCAACAATAGACAAGCAGAGAACCAAATCATGAATAAACTCTCATTCACAATTGCTACAAAGAGAATAAAATACCTAGGAATACAGCTAACAAGAGATGTGAAGGACCTCTTCCAGGAGAATTACAACCCATGGCTCAAAGAAATAAGAAAGGACACAAACACATGGATAAACATTCCATCCTCATGGATAGGAAGAATCAATATCATTAAAATGGCCATATGGCTGAAAGTAATTTATAGATTCAATGCTATTTAAATCAAACTACCATTGACTTTCATCACAGAATTAGAAAAACTATTTTAAATTTCTTATAGAACTAAAAAAGAGCCCATATAGCCAAGACAATCCTAAGAAAAAGAACAAAGCTGGAGTCATCATGTTACCTGACTTCAAACCATACTACAAGGGTACAGTAACCAAAACAGCATGATACTGGTACCAAAACAGACATATAGACTAATTGAACAGAATACAGACCTCAGAAATAAGATCATACATCTACAACCATCTATCTGATCTTTGACAATCCCGACAAAAACAAGCAATGCAGAAAAGACTCTCTATTTAATAAACGGTGCTGAGAAAACTGGTTACCCATATGCAGAAAACTGAAGCTGGACCTCTTCCTTATGCCTTATACAAAAATTAACTCAAGATGGATTAAGTTAATGAATTTATAAGGAACTTAAACAAATTTACAAGAAAAAAACAGACATCCCCATCAAAAACTAGGCAAAGGACATGAACAGACACTTCTCAAAATAAGACATTTATGCAGCCAGCAAATACATGAAAAAAAGTTTAGCATCACTGATCGTTAGAGAATTGCAAATAAAAAACACAATGAGATACCATCTCATGCTAGTCAGAAGGGTGATTATTAAAAAGTCAAGAAGTGGCTGGGCGCGGTGGCTCACACCTGTAATCCCAGCATTTTGGGAAGCAAAGACGGGTGGATCACCTGAGGTCAGGACTTCAAGACCAGCCTGGCCAACATGGTGAAACCCTGTCTCTATTAAAAATACAAAAAATTAGCTGGGTGTGGTCATGGGTGCCTGTAATCCCAGCTACTCAGGAGGCTGAGCCAGGAGAATCACTTGAGCCCGGGAGACAGGTTGAAGTGAGCCGAGATCATGCCATCGCACTCCAGCCTGGGCAACAAGAGTGAAACTCTGTCTCAAAAAAAAAAAAAAAAAAGTCAGGAAGCAACAGATGCTTGTACTCCATTGGTGGAAATATAAATTAGTTCAACCATTGTGAAAGATAGTGTGGTGATTCCTCATGGATCTAGTACCAGAAATACCATTTGACCGAGCAATCCCACTACTGGATATACACCCAAAGGAATAGAAATCATTCCATTATGAAGATACATACAAACATACATGCACATGTGTGTTTATTGCAGCATTATTCACAATAGCAAAGACATGGAACCAACCAAAATGCCCATCAATGATAGACTGGATAAAGAAAATGCAGTACATATACACCATGGAATACTACGTAGCCATAAAAAGGAATATCATGTCCTTTGCAGGGACAGAAAACCAAACACTGCATGTTCTCACTCATAAGTGGGAGCTGAACAGTGAAAACATGTGGACACAGGGAGGGGAACAACACACTGCGTGGGAGTGGGGGGTGCAAGAGCATCAGCACAAATGGCTGATACATGTGGGGCTTAATACCTAGGTGATGGGTTGATAGGTGCGGCAAACCACCCTGGCACATATACACCTATGTAACAAACCTGCACATTTTGCACATATATCCTGACACTTAAAGTAAAATTTTAAAAAAAGAAAAAAAAGAATCAATAAGTAGGTCAGATGAGCACTCACAGTACCTGGTTTTAACTATATATCACTGAAAGGGACACTGAAGAGGTAAGAAAGACAGACTTGAATTGCAGATGCCACTCTGTTTCTAAGACCATCAAAGCAGTATCTCTATGAGTCTGCAAGAACCACAATGTCACTGGGCTTAAGGTTCCCCCTAAAGTAAATATAGCTTAGATCACAACACACAAGTCCTTTTGAATATCTGAAAAGCCTTCCCAAAAAGGACGGGTACAAACAACACCAGACAGCAAAAGCTACAGTAAATATCTAACTTTTCAATGGCCAGACACAGATGAACATTTACCAGTATCAAGACCATCTGGGAAAACATGACCCTACCAAATGAACTAAATAAGGCACCAGGGACTAATCAAGGAGAAACAGATATATGTGACCTTTCAGACAGAGAATTTGAAATAGCTGTTTTGGGGAAAGTCTAAGAAATTCAAGATAATGCAGAGAAGAAATTCAGAATTCTATCAGATAAATTTTAAAAAGAGAGATTGACATAATTAAAAAGAATCAAGCAGAAATCCTGGAGCTGAAAAAATGCAGTTGGCATACTGAGGCATGCATCAGAGTTCTTTAAAAGCAGAAGTGATCAAACAGAAGAAAGAATTAGCTTGAGGACAGGCTATGTGTAAATACACAGTCAGAGGAGATAAAAGAAAAAAGAATAAAATACAATGAAGCACACCTACAAGATCTAGGAAATAGCCTCAAAAGGGCAAATCGAAGATTTATTGGCCTTAAAAAGGAGGTAGAGAAAGAGACCATGGTAGAAAATTTATACAAAGGGATAATATCAGAGAACTGCCAAAACCTAGAAAAAGATATCAGCATTCAAGTGCAAAAAGATTATAGAACACCAAGCAGATCTAACCCAAAGAAGACTACATCAAGGCATTTAAAAATCAAACTCCCAAAGGTCAAGGATAAAGAAAGTATCCTAAAAACAGCAAGAGAAAAGAAACAGATCACATACAAAGGAGCTCCAATACATCTTGCAGAAAACTCTTCAGTGGAAAACTTACAGGCCAGGAGAGAGTGGCATGACATATTTAAAGTGCTGAAGGAAAAAAACTTGTATCCTAGAATAGTATATCTGGCTAAAATATCCTTCAAACATGAAGGAGAAATAAAGACTTTCCCAGACAAACAAAAGTTGAGGGATTTCATCAACACCAGACTTATCCTACAAGAAACGCTAAAAGGAGTACTTCAATCAGAAAGAAAATGACTTTAATGAACAATAAGATCTCATCTGAAGGTAAAAAAAAAATAGTAAGTGCACAGAAAAACAGAATATTATAATGTTGTAACTGTAGTGGGTAAACTGCTCTTATCTTAAGCAGAAAGACTAAAGGATGAGCCAATCAAAAATAATAATTACAGCAACTTTTCAAGACTTCGTACAATACAATGTAAATAGTAAGAAAAAAAGTTAAAAGGCGGAGGGACAAAGTTAAATTGTAAATTTTTATTAGTTTTCTTTTTACTTGTTTATGCAAACAGTGTTAAGTTTTTATCAACTCAAAATTATGGATTATAAGATAGTATTTGCAAGCCTCATAGTATCCTCAAATCAAAAATTGCAACATATACACAAAAATAAAAAGCAAGAAACTAAATCATAACACCAGAGAAAATCACCTTCACTAAAAGGAAGACAGAAAGGAAATAAAGAAGGAAGAGAAGACCACAAAACAACTATCAAACACATAACAAAGTGGCAGGAGTGAGTCCTTACTTATCAATAATAATATTGAATGTAAATGGACTAATCTGTCCAACTAAAAGACATATAGAATGGCTGAATGAGTTATGCAAATATGTATAATTAATGTAAATTTTTAAAGATTTTAGATATTAAAAACTTGATTCTGAATTTTATAAAAACAAACATATACTGAATAGAAAGAGAGATAATCATTTGTGAAGATTATAAACAAAGCGAAAATGAAGAAAAAATGGAAATCAAGAGAAAAGAAAGATAAGACTTGAAGAACAGAATATCCAGTTTTTTTTTAACTTTTATTCTAGGTTACGGAGTATATGTGAAGGCTTGTTACATAGGTAAACTTATGTCATGGGGGTTTGTTATACAGATTATTTCATCACCCAGGTATTAAATGCAGTACCCAATAGTTCTATTTCCTTCTCCTCTCCCTCCTTCCTCCCTCCACCCTCAAGCCAACCACAGTGTCTGTTGTTTCCTTCTTTGTGCTCATAAGTTATCATTTAGCTCCCACCTATAAGTGAGAACCTGCATTATTTGGTTTTTTTGTTCCTGTATTAGTTTGCTGAGCATAGTAGCTTTCAGTTCCATCCATGTTCCCACAAAGGACATGATCTTGTTCTTTTTTATGGCTGAATAGTATTCCATGGTGTATATGTACCACATTTTCTTTATCCAATCTGTCATTGATGAGCATGTAGATTGATTCCATGTCTTTGCTATTGTGAATAGTGCTGCAGTGAACATTCACATGTATCTCTTTATGGTAGAATGATTTACATTTCTCTGAGTATATATCCAGTAATGGGATTGCTGGGTCTAATGGTGGTTCTGCTTTTATCTCTTTGAGGAATTGCCATACTGCTTTCCACGATGGTTGAACTAACTTACATTCCTACCAACAGTGTATAAGTATTGCCTTTTCTCTGCAATCTTGCCAGTATCTGTTATTTTTTAACTTTTTCATAGTAGCCATTCTGACTGGTGTGAGATGGTATCTCATTGTGGTTTTGATTTGCATTTCTCTAATGATCAGTGATACTGAGCTTTTTTTCATTTGCTTGTTGGCCACATGCATGCCTTCCTTTGAAAAGTGTCAGTTCACGTCCTTTGCCCACTTTTTAACAGGGTTGCTTGTTTTTCTCTTGTAAATTGGTTAAGTTTCTTATAGATGCTGGATATTAGACTTTGGTCAGATGCATAATTTGTAAATATTTTCTCCCATTCTGTAGGTTGTCTGTTTACTCTGTTGATAGTTTCTTTTGCTGTGCAGAAGCTCATTAGTTCAATTACATCCCATATATCAATTTTTGCTTTTGTTGTGATTGATTTTGGCGTTTCGTCATGAAATCTTTTCCCGTTTCTATGTACAGGATGTTATTGCCTACGTTGTCTTCCAGGGTTTTTATAGTTTTGTGTTTTATATTTAAGTCTTCAATCCATCTTGAGTTGATTTTTGTACGTGGTGTAAAAAAAAGGGTTGAGCTTCAGGCTTCTGTATATGGCTAGCAAGTTATCCGAGCATCATTTACTGAATAAGGAGTATTTTCTACATTGCTTGTTTTTTCAGCTTTGTTGAAGATCAGGTGGTTGTAGGTGTGTGGCCTTATTTCAGCGCTCTCTATTCTGTTCTATTGGTTCTGTTCCATGTGCCTGTTATTATTATTATTATTATTATTATTATACTTTAAGTTTTAGGTTACATGTGCACAATGTGCAGGTTAGTTACATATGTATACATGTGCCATGCTGGTGCGCTGCACCCACTAACTCGTCATCTAGCAGTAGGTATATCTCCCAATGCTATCCCTCCCCACTCCCCCCACCCCACAACAGTCCCCAGAGTGTGATGTTCCCCTTCCTGTGTCCATGTGTTCTCATTGTTCAATTCCCACCTATGAGTGAGAATATGCATTGTTTGGTTTTTTGTTCTTGCGATAGTTTACTGAGAATGATGATTTCCAATTTCATCCATGTCTCTACAAAGGACATGAACTCATCATTTTTTATTGTACCAGCATCATGCTGTTTTGGTTACTGTAGCCCTGTAGTATAGTTTGAAGTCAGGTAACATGATGCCTCCATCTTTCTTCTTTTTGCTTAGGATTGCCTTTGCTATTTGGGCTCTTTTTTGGTTCCATATAAATTTTAAAATAGTCTTTTGTCTTTGTGTGAAGGATGTCATTGTTAGTTTGATAGGAATAACATTGAAACTGTAAATTGCTTTGGAGAGTATGGCCATTTTAATGATATTGATTCTTCCTATCCATGATCATAGGATGTTTTTTCATTTGTTTGTGTTCTCTCTGATTTCTTTGAGCAGTGCTCATTCTCATTGTAGAGATCTTTCACCTTCCTCATTAGCTGTATTCCTAGGTAATTTATTCTTTTTTGTGGCACTTGTGAATGTCTTTCTGGTTGGCTCTTGGCTTGACTGTTGTTGATGCTAGTGATTTTTGTACATTGATTTTGTATCCTGAGACTTTGCTGGAGTTATCAGCTGAAGGAGCTTTTGGGCCTAGACTATGGAGTTTTCTAGATACAGAATCATGTCATCTGCAAACAAAGATAGTTTAACTTCTCCTCTTCCTATTTGGATGAACTTTATTTTCTTCCCTTGCCTGATTGCTCTGGATAGGACTTCCAAAACTACGTTGAATAGGAGTGGTGAGAGAAGGCATCCTTGTCTTGTGCCAGTTTTCAAGTGGAAAGCTTCCAGCTTTTATCCATTCAGCATAATATTGGCTGTGGGTTTGTCATAGATGGTTCTTATTATTTTGAGGTATGTTCCTTCAATACCCAGTTTATTGAGAGTTTTTAACATAAAGAGGTGTTGAATTTCATTGAAAGCCTTTTCTGCGTCTATTGAGATAATCAGGTGGTTTTTGTCTTTAGTTCTGTTTATGTGATGAATCACATTTGTTGATTTCCATGTGTCGAAACAACTTTGCATCCCATGAATGAAGGCTACTTGATCATGGTGGATTAGCTTTTTGATGTGTTGCTGGATTCAGTTTGCAAGTATTTTGCTGAGGATTTTCACATTGATGTTCATCAGGGATATTGGCCTGAAGTTTTATTTTTTGTGTTTGTCTTCCAGGTTTTAGTATCAAGATGATGCTGGTCCATAGAATGAATTGAAAAGGAGTCTCTCTTTGTCAATTTTTTGGAATATTTTCTGTACAAATGGAACCATCTCTTCTTTGTACATCTGGTAGAATTTGGCTGTGAATACATCAGGTCCTGGGCTATTTTTCGTTGGTAGGCTATTTATTACTGATTCAATTTCAGAGCTCATTATTGTTCTGTTCATGAAATCAGTTCCTTCCTGGTTCAATCTTGAGTGGTTGTATGTGTTTAGGAACTTGTCCATCTTTTCTAGGTTTTCTAGTTTGTGTGCATAGAAGTGTTTGTAGTAGTTTCTGAAGATTATTTTTATTTCTGTGCAATCAGTGGTAACATTCCCTTTGTAATTTCTAATTGTGTTTATTTGGATCTTCTCTCTGTTCTTCTTTATTATTCTAGCTAGCACTATCTATCTTATTAATTTCTTCAAAAAACAAACTCCTATATTCATTGATCTTTTAAATTGTTTTTTGTGTCTCAATTTCCTTCGATTCAGCTCTGATTTTGGTTATTTCTTATCTTCTGCTAGCTTTGGGGTTGATTTGTTCTTGCTTCACTTATTCTTTCAGTTATGATGTTAGGTTGTTAATTTGAGATCTTTCTAACTTTTTGATGTTGGCATTTAATGCTATGAATTTCCCTATTAACAGCACTGTAGCTGTGTCCCAGAGATTCTGGTATGTTGTATCTTTGTTCTCATTAGTTTCAAAGAACTTCTTGATTTCTTATTTAATTTCATTATTTGCCCAAAAGTCATTTAGGAACATGTTGTTTAGTTTCCAGGTAATTTCCTGGTTTTGAGAAATTTTCTTAATCTTGACTGATATTTTTATTGCACTGTGGTCCAAGAATGTGTTTGGTATGATTTTGGTTCCTTTGCATTTGCTGAGGATTGTTTTATGCCCAATTATGTAGTCAGTGTTAGAGTATGTGCCATGTGGCAATGAGAAGAATGTATATTCTGTCTTTTTGCAGTGGAGAATTCTGTGGAGGTCTATCAGATCCATTTGGTTCATTGTTGAGTTCAGGTCCTGAATATCTTTATTAAGTTTCTGCCTTGATGACCTGATTAATACTGTCAGTGGAGTGTTGAAGTCTCCCACTATTATTGTGTGAGATTCTATGTCTCTTTGTAGGTCTCTAATAACTTGCTGTATGAATCTGAGTGCTCCTGTTTTGGGTGCATATATATTTAGGATAGTTAAGCCTTCTTGTTGAATTGAACTCTTTACCATTATATAATGCCCTTCTTTCTTTTCAAAATCTTTGTTGGTTTGAAGTGTGTTTGTCTGAAACTAGGATTACAACCTTGCTTTTTTTTCTGCTTTCCCTTTTCTTGGTAGATTTTTCTCCACCCCTTTACTATGAGTATCATTTCATGCAAGATGGGTCTCTTAAAGACAGCATACCACTGGGTCTTGTTTTTTCATCCAGGTTGGCACTCTGTTACTTTTAAGTGGAGTATGGGGCCTGTTTACATTCAAGGTTAGTATTGATATGTGTGAATTTGATCCTGGCATTGTGTTGTTAGCTGAATACTCAGATTTTTAAACTATAAAAAGTAAGAATTTAAGAAAAAAAATAGTTGAAGAAAAAGCAGTAATCATTTTAAAAAAGAAACAAATTATCTAGATGAAAAGGAAGATTATTTTTCAGATCAAAAGACAAATCTAGACTTCTTTAATAAAAATGCACACCACTCACACTCTTAGTTTGATATATTGGCAAACAATTTTAATTCCAGGAATAAACTGAAAAAAAAACACTTTTACAAGAGAAATAAACTGGCTTTGGATTATTCATCCATAAAACTAGAAGTCAAAAGAGCAAATGATATTTATTACCATCTTGAAAAGGACTGTGATCCTAAAATGCTCTCTTCTACTAGTATAGTATTCACATGGGAAAGCAGAGACATTTTCAGATATCAAAAACTTAGAAAATATACTCCTGATGAAATATAAAATATTAAGTTGTACAGCTGTATATCTGATATCATTTAATTTAAATATATATGCTAAATATTGGATTTATATGCATATATAAATACCTAGACAAAGGCTGATAAGAAAACTCACTAAAGTGTTAACAACAGTATTTCTGAAGAAATGAGTAGGAGTCAACTGAGAACATTTTAAATTTGATTTAATAAATATATAAAAATTGTTTTGTCACTGACAGGCAACTATGCTCATGAACATTCTCATTTGAGGACGTTCAATAATCCATACTTGACTCCCGTTAAGTATGTTCCCTGTTCTGGCACCTCACAAGGAGATTTTGCTCTTATAAACCTGACATTTTCAAATTCTTTTTTGTTTCCAAAATAAGCCCAAAGGGAACACATATTTCTATTGCTTTCTAAAATGACTGCCAGATTTTTGTCTGTTTCATTCTTAGTGACGCATATACAACATTTTTTGTTTTTTTGTTTCTAGGGCAAAAATGTCAAACATCTTTTGGACCATTTTGACTGTGATATTCTTCATCCTAAAATAGTAACAATCAAAAACCTCTAATTACACAAAGATAAAGCAAATTGATTATTATAATCTCTACAATTATAAAATCAGCATAGATAATGCAAACACAATCACATATTAAATCCAAAAATTTTGCCAAGATCAATGATAATAAACATAAACATCATCTCATTGCACTGGTCTAGCAATGTACCACTCCTAATTTCAGTATATCTTTTTGCCAAGGGCTGCTTCAGGTGCCATCTCCAAAGACAGAGAGAAAGGAGAAATTCACTTATTACAAATGGCCTGTTAAGTTCTGAGACAGATTCTAAGTCTCCTGAGTATCAAAATACAATACATTAAAAAACCATCTAATTACCAACAGTTTTGAGTACCCACCAAGTCTGAAGCCTAGTTGAGCTCGCCAGTCAGCATTATTTGATCTCACGTGAAAGAAGACATAAGAGTTTGGGGGGACAAGAAATAAAGCTCATCTTATTTCCTATGTGTTCAATGACAGGTACTGTGGGATGGCACAGAAATGAATAAGTACACAAATCTGCCTTCAAAGAATGTGGCATTTTCAGAAGCATAAGAACACTAATTTCTATACTAAGTATAAAAAAAGGAATATAATCAATATTTTTAGGAAAGAACATCATAAAGACTTAGGATGTGTAAGGATGGTGAACTCATATCAAGGCGGAGAAATCAAAGGGAAATTGTGAGTGTGGATATGGATGTGTATGCGTATATACACTTACACATGTGTGGGATGATAGGGAATGTGGCATTTGAGCCTATTTGAACATAACAGGTTGAATTTCAAAAATTTAGAAATGAAGAGAAGGGGATCTGTAGACTGATAGAACAGCATAAATAAAACCCTAATGCCAAGGAAGCTTGGGAGTGAAATGAGAGCGCAAAATACCAAATACAATCTAAGATAATTTTGACACATAATTGGTCGATCTACAAAGTCTATCGAGGCAGGTAATCATAGAAATGGTGTATATATCTGAAAATGTTTTATTTTAACCTAAAATGTACAGGTGGAGATTCACCAGCATTTTGCCATATGGCCAACTATTCTCCTTTGAAAATGAGTCCACTAATTGGAATCCCCATATTATCACCTTTGTACAAACCTTTATCCAGAACATCCAGTCTCAGTTTCTTTAAAGTAAAAAAGGAACTAAAATATCCTTGTGAAGCAATCTTAGTACAGAATTTTGGATTTTTGCTATTTCTTTTCTGTCTTTCATATTATCCTGCCCGATTTTGGAAGCAACTTTTAAATCACAAATACAGCTGGGAACAAAATCAACCAAACTTTGAGTAACACACAATTCAACCAAAGAGAACAGAGGTGCCTGAGCACACCAAATGTGAATTAACAAGGGAATGGGGAGCATGACTTAGGCTCATGGGGCAGATAAGCAGAGGTCTTTTAAGTCTCCACTGCAGCCCAGAGGCATGAAATACATGTAGGGAAGCAGGGAAAGATAAGGCTGCAAAGGAGAGCTCAGAGTACAGTGAGAAGAGGCTCTAGAGTTCAGCTGAAGTTTTGTGCTTAATTTAATCAACAATGAAATATTTTTCTTGGAAAATGGCATGATCTGTGGTTCACTTTAGACTTAAAAAGATTAATCAAGCTATTGTCATAGAATGAGAGGGAGGAGGCAGCACCTAGAGTAATAGTATGGATTATGTAGGGAGTTTCCTCAGTAATCTAGGTATAAGTTAGAAGTTGCAAACTGGTGTTCATAAGATTAAATATGCCTAATAAATATGTTTTCTTTGGTTTGTACAGTGTTATCTAAACCTTAAAATTTATTTGTCAACATTTAGAAGCCAGGAGACAATGTAAAAATTATTTTTCAGGCCAGGAACAGTGGCTCATGCCTATAATATCAACACTTTGGGAGGCCGACGTGGTAGGATCACTCTAGCCCAGTAGTTTGTGACCAGCCTAGGAAACATAGCAAGACCCTATCTCTGCAGAATAACTTTAAAAAAAAAAATTTGCGGGGCATGATGGTACTCTCCTGTAGTCCCAGGTACTGGGGAGGCTGAGATGGGAGAATTGCTTGAGCCTGGAAGGTCGAGGCTAAAGTGAGCCGTGATCACACCACTGCACTCTAGCCTGAACAATAGAGTGAGACACTGTCTCAAAAATTTTTTTTAAATTAATTTTTATGAAAATCAAGAAACCTGAAAAACAACTCACTGGAGCTGAGTAACAGCTTACCATCTGGGCATGAGTTCTTCAGTTTACAACAGTCTCCACCTCGCCCTGTTGTCCTAACACTGAGGCAGAGTGTGTATTACAAAATAATTTGTCTTTACCTGGCCCACGTCACTCCTTTATGTACTTTCTCTTATCTCTGTAGTCATGGAGACAGCAAAAATTGTTTGTTCAATACAACTGAAATACAGGGTCTATACTGGAGAAAGAGAGCAATAGGGTCAAAGAGTTATATTAGGAGCGAGGAATTCTGGTCTGGGAAAATGAAAGAGGTATAGAGAAGTGATATTTAAAGTTGTGACTGAGGATAAAAACCACAAGGAAAAGAATATATAGAGAGGGGAAAAGTAGAGATAAGAGGATAGAACTTGCAGAAGGCTCCATTCAGGTACGGAAAGAGGAATTTGAAAATAATCAAGAATGCAGGAATAGACTATTTCATAAAGGAAAGAGGCCAATAAAAAATGTAAAATTCTACAAAGAGCCTGATGAGGACAAGATTTAACAAAAAGCCATAGCGTTGTTCTTTAGAAAGTTGCTAATTACGAGATTGTTTTATAATTGAATGATGCGGCAAAAACTGGATCACAGAGGATAAGCCAATGAAAAACTGAGTCAAAAGACAGAGGAGATAGTGAATGAGTAGAACACTTTTCCAAGAAGATTGGTTGTTAAGAGAAGGAAAAAGACACAGAAACAGATTAAAGGGAAAATTAGTCAAGAGAAAATGCATGTATACATATGTATACATACACATAAACATTTGGGTATGTATACATGTATATATCTGCAGAAATACACATATATTTAAGGCATGTAAAATTATGACAAATTTTTCTAAGTGTAGAAGTAAAGACAGCAAGTTGTCTTGGAGTATGATTTTGCTATTGAGAGAAGAATTCCTAAGACCACAGCGCCTTCCAATTTGGCCATGCCATATAGAAGGGGGATTGAAGACAAAAGACTGAGAATGTGAATGAAAACTAGAACTGCCATCTTGGGAGCTCATATTCTCAGGACTGAACACATACCAGATGACTGAGATTGATTTTTTTCCATGAAATACAAAGATATGGAAGGCTCTGGACCATGAAAGTTATAAATGCCTTGAATGCTGCAGGGCAGGATCTCAGTAATGGCACTTTGTGATAGCAACAGAAGCAACAGAAGGGCAACTTGGGCCCACTTGTGGCTGTTTCTTTTCTTTTCTTTTTTATTATCATACTTTAAGTTCTACAGCACATGTGCACAATGTGCAGGTTTCTTACATATGTATACATGTGCCATGTTGGTGTGCTGTACCCATTAACTCATATTTACATTAGGTATATATATGTATACCCATTTACATTAGGTACATCACCTAATGCTATCCCTCCCCCCTCCCCCCACCACATGACAGGCCCTGGTATGTGATGTTCCCCACCCTGTGTACAAGTGTTCTCATCGTTCAATTCCCACCTATGAGTGAGAACATGCGGTGTTTGGTTTTCTGTCCTTGCGATAGTATGCTGAGAATGATGGTTTCCAGCTTCATCCATGTCCCTACAAAGGACATGAACTCATCATTTTTTATGGTTGCATAGTATTCCATGGTGTATATGTGCCACATTTTCTTAATCCAGTTTTTTGTTGTTGTTGTTGTTTCTCTTCTCTTCCATTCTTTTCTTTTCTTTTTTTTTTATTTTATTATTATTACACTTTAAGTTTTAGGGTATATGTGCACAATGTGCAGGTTAGTTACATATGTATACATGTGCCATGTTGGTGTGCTGCACCCATTAACTCATCATTTAGCATTAGGTATATCTCCCAATGCAATCCCTCCGCCCTCCTCCCACCCCACAACAGTCCCCAGAGTATGATGTTCCCCTTCCTGTGTCCATGTGTTCTCATTGTTCAATTCCCACCTATGAGTGAGAACATGCAGTGTTTGGTTTTTTGTCCTTGTGATAGTTTACTGAGAATGATGATTTCCAATTTCATCCATGTCCCTACAAAGGACATGAACTCATCATTTTTTATGGCTGCATAGTATTCCATGGTGTATATGTGCCACATTTTCTTAATCCAGTTTATCATTGCTGGACATTTGGGTTGGTTCCAAGTCTTTGCTATTGTGAATAGTGCCACAATAAACATACGTGTGCATGTGTCTTTATAGCAGCATGATTTATAATCCTTTGGGTATATACCCAGTAACGGGATGGCTGGGTCATATGATATTTCTAGTTCTAGATCCTTGAGGAATCACCACACTGACTTCCACAATAGTTGAACTAGTTTACAGTCCCACCAACAGTGTAAAAGTGTTTCTATTTCTCCATATCCTCTCCAGCACCTGTTGTTTCCTGACTTTTTAATGATTGCCATTCTAACTGGTGTGAAATGGTATCTCATTGTGGTTTTGACTTGCATTTCTCTGATGGCCAGTGATGATGAGCATTTTTTCATTTGTCTGTTGGCTGCATAAATGTCTTCTTTTGAGAAGTGTCTGTTCATATCCTTCTCCCACTTTTTGATGGGGTTGTTTGTTTTTTTCTTGTAAATTTGTTGGAGTACATTGTAGATTCCAGATATTAGCGCTTTATCAGATGAGTACATTGCAAAAATTTTCTTCCGTTCTGTAGGTTGCCTGTTCACTCTGATGGTAGTTTGTTTTGCTGTGCAGAAGCTCTTTAGTTTAATTAGATTCCATTTGTCAATTTTGGCTTTTGTTGCCATTGCTTTTGGTGTTTTAGATATGAAGTCCTTGCCCATGCCTATGTCCTGAGTGGTATTGCTTAGGTTTTCTTCCAGGGTTTTTGTGGTTTTAGGTCTGACATGCAAGTCTTTAATCCATCTTGAATTAATTTTAGTATAAGGTGTAAGGAAGGTATCCAGTTTCAGCTTTCTACATGTGACTAACCAGTTTTCCCAGCACCATTTATTAAATAGGGAATCCTTTCCCCATTTCTTGTTTTCATCAGGTTTGTCAAAGATCAGATGGTTGTAGATGTGTGGTATTATTTCTGAGGGCTCTGTTCTGTTCCATTGGTCTATATCTCTGTTTTGGTACCAGTACCATGCTGTTTTGGTTACTGTAGCCTTGTAGTATAGTTTGAAATCAGGTAGCGTGATGCCTCCAGCTTTGTTCTTTTGGCTGAGGATTGACTTGGCAATGTGGGCTCTTTTTTGGTTCCATATGAACTTTAAAGTAGTTTTTCCCAATGCTGTGAAGAAAGTCATTGGTAGCTTGATGGGGATGGCATTGAATCTATAAATTACCTTGGGCAGTATGGCCATTTTTACGATATTGATTCTTCCTATCCATGAGCATGGAATATTCTTCCATTTGTTTGTGTCTTCTTTAATTTTGTTGAGCAGTGGTTTGTAATTCTCCTTGAAGAGGTCCTTCACATCTCTTATAAGTTGGATTCCTAGGTATTTTATTCTCTTTGAAGCAATTGTGAATGGGAGTTCACTCATGATTTGGCTCTCTGTTTGTCTGTTATTGGTGTATAGGAATGCTTGTGATTTTTGCACATTGATTTTCTATCCTGAGACTTTGCTGAAGTTGCTTATCAGCTTAAGGAGATTTTGGGCTGAGTCGATGGGGCTTTCTAAATATACAATCACGTCATCTGTAAACAGGGACAATTTGGCTTCCTCTTTTCCTAACTGAATGCTCTTTATTTCTTTCTCCTCCCTGATTGCCCTGGCCAGAACTTCCAACACTATATTGAATAGGAGTGGTGAGAGAGGGCATCCCTGCCTTGTGCCAGTTTTCAAAGCAAATGCTTCCAGTTTTTGCCCATTCAGTATGATATTGGCTGTGGGTTTGTCATAAATAGCTCTTATTATTTTGAGATACATCCCATCAATACCTAATTTATTGAGAATTTTTAGCATGAAGGGTTGTTGAATTTCGTCAAAGGCCTTTTCTGCATCTATTGAGATAATCATGTGGTTTTTGTCGTTGGTTCTGTTTATATGCTAGATTATGTTTATTGATTTGCATATGCTGAATTAGCCTTGCATCCCAGGGATGAAGCCCACTTTGTCATGGTGGATAAGCTTTTTGATGTGCTGCTGGATTCAGTCTGCCAGTATTTTATTGAGGACTTTTGCATCGATGTTCATCAGGGATATTGGTCTAAACTTCTCTTTTTTGTTGTGTCTCTGCCAGGCTTTGGTATCAGGATGATGCTGGCCTCATAAAATGAGTTAGGGAGGATTCCCTCTTTTTCTATTAATTGGAATAGTTTCAGAAGGAATGGTACCAGCTCCTCTTTGTACCTCTGGTTGAATTCAGCTGTGAATCCACCTGGTCCTGGACTTTTTTTGGTTGGTAGGCTCTTAATTATTGCCTCAATTTCAGAGCCTGTTATTGGTTTATTCAGGGATTCAACTTCTTCCTGGTTTACTCTTAGGCGGGTGTATGTGTCAAGGAATTTATCCATTTCTTCTAGATTTTCTAGTTTATTTGCATAGAGGTGTTTATAACATTCTCTGATGGTAGTTTTATCTCTGTGGGATCGGTGGTGATAACCACTTTATCATTTTTTATTGCATCCATTTGATTCTTCTTTCTTTTCTTCTTTATTAGTCTTGCTAGCAATCTATCAATTTTGTTGATCTTTTCAAAAGACCAGCTCCTGGATTCATTGATTTTTTGAAGGGTTTTTTGTGTCTCTATCTCCTTCAGTTCTGCTCTGATCTTAGTTATTTCTTGCCTTCTGCTAGCTTTTGAATGTGTTTGCTCTTGCTTCTCTAGATCTTTTAATTGTGATGTTATGGTGTCAATTTTAGATCTCTCCTGCTTTCTCTTGTGGGCATTTAGTGCTATAAATTTCCCTCTACATACTGTTTTAAATGTGTCCCAGAGATTCTGGTATGTTGTGTCTTTGTTCTCATTGGTTTCAAAGAACATCTTTATTTCTGCCTTCATTTCATTATGTACCCAGTAGTCATTCAGGAGCAGGTTGTTCAGTTTCCATGTAGTTGAGCAGTTTTGAGTGAGTTTCTTAATCCTGAGTTCCAGTTTGAGTGCACCGTGGTCTGAGAGACAGTTTGTTATAATTTCCATTCTTTTACATTTGCTGAGGAGTGCTTTGCTTCCAACTATGTGGTCAATTTTGGAATAAGTGTGATGTGGTGCTGAGAAGAATGTATATTCTGTTGACTTAGGATGGAGAGTTCTGTAGATGTCTATTAGGTCCACTTGGTGCAGAGCTGAGTTCAATTCCTGGATATCTTTGTTAACTTTCTGTCTCATGGATCTGTCTAAAGTTGACAGTGTGGTGTTAAAGTCTCCCATTATTATTGTGTGGGAGTCTAAGTCTCCTTGTAGGTCTCTAAGGACTTGCTTTATGAATCTGGGTGCTCCTGTATTGGGTGCATATATATTTAGGATTGTTAGCTCTTCTTGTTGAATTGATCCCTTTACCATTATGTAATGGCCTTTTTTGTCTCTTCTGACCTTTGTTGGTTTAAAGTCTGTTTTATCAGAGACTAGAATTGTAACCCCTGCTTTTTTTTGTTTTCCATTTGCTTGGTAGATCTTCCCTTTATTTTGAGCCTATGTGTGTCTCTGCATGTGAGATGAGTCTCCTGAATACAGCACACTGATGAGTCTTGATTCTTTATCCAATTTGCCAGTCTGTGTCTTTTAATTGGAGCATTCATCCCATTTACATTTAAGGTTAATATTGTTATGTGTGAATTTGATCCTGTCATTATGATGTTAGCTGGTTATTTTGCTCGTTAGTTGATGCAGTTTTTTCCTAGCATTGATGGTCCTTACAACTTGGCATGTTTTTGCAGTGGTTGGTACCGGTTGTTCCTTTCCATGTTTAGTGCTTCCTTCAGTAGCTCTTTTAGGGCAGGCCTGGTGGTGACAAAATCTGTCAGCATTTGCTTGTCTGTAAAGGATTTTATTTCTCCCTCACTTATGAAGCTTAGTTTGGCTGGATATGAAATTCTGGGTTGAACATTCTTTTCTTTAAGAATGTTGAATTTTGGCCCCCACTCTGTTCTGGCTTGTAGAGTTTCTGCTGAGAGATCCGCTGTCAGTCTGATGGGCTTCCCTTTGTGGGTAACCCGACCTTTCTCTCTGGCTGCCCTTAACATTTTTTCCATCATTTCAACTTTGGTGAGTCTGAAAATTATGTGTCTTGGAGTTGCTCTTCTCAAGGAGTATCTTTGTGGCATTCTCTGTATTTCCTGAATCTGAATGTTGGCCTGCCTTGCTAGATTGCAGAAGTTCTCCTGAATAATATCCTGAAGAGTGTTTTCCAAGTTGGTTCCATTCTCCCTGTCACTTTCAGGTACACAAATCAGATGTAGATTTGGTCTTTTCACATAGTCCCATATTTCTTGGAGGCTTTGTTCATTTCTTTTTACTCTTTTTTCTCTAAACTTCTCTTCTCGCTTCATTTCATTCATTTGATCTTCAGTCACTGATACCCTTTCTTCCAGTTGATCAAATCGGCTACTGAAGCTTGTGCATGCGTCACGTAGTTCTTGTGCCATGGTTTTCAGCTCCATCAGGTCATTTATGGTCTTCTCCATGCTGTTTATTCTAGTTCGCCATTCATCCAATCTTTTTTCAAGGTTTTTAGCTTCTTTACAAAGGGTTCGAACATCCTCCTTTAACTCAGAGAAGTTTGTTATTACTGATCTTCTGAAGTCTTCTCTCAACTCGTCAAAGTCATTCTCCATCCGGCTTTGTTCCGTTGCTGGTGAGGTGCTGTGTTCCTTTGGAGGAGAAGAGGTGCTCTCATTTTTAGAATTTTCAGCTTTTGTGCTCTGAATTCTCCCCATCCTTGTGGTTTTATCTACCTTTGGTTTTTGATGATGGTGATGTACAGATGGGGTTTTGGTGTGGTTGTCCTTTCTGTTTGTTAGTTTTCCTTCCGACAGTCAGGACCCTCAGCTGCAGGTGTGTTGGAGTTTGCTGGAGGTCCACTCCAGACCCTGTTTGCCTGGGTATCACCAGCAGAGGCTGCAGAACCACAAATATTGTGGAACGGCAAATGTTTCTGCCTGATCCTTCCTCTGGAAGCTTCGTCTCGGAGGGGCACCCGGCCATATGAGGTGTCCATCCACCCCTACTGGGCGTTGCCACCCAGTTAGGCTACTCGGAGGTCTGGGACCCACTTGAGGAGGCAGTCTGTCCGTTCTTAGATCTCGAACTCCATACTGGGAGAAGCACTACGCTCTTCAAAGCTGTCAGACAGGGATGTTTAAGTCTGCAGAAGTTTCTGCTGCCTTTTGTTCAGCTATGCCCTGCCCCCAGAGGTGGAGTCTACAGACGCAGGCAAGCCTACTTGAACTGCAGAGGGCTCCTCCCAGTTCGAGCTTCCCTGCCACTTTGTTTACCTACTCAAGCCTCAGCAATGGCAGGTGCCTCTCCCCCACCCTCACTGCCGCCTTGCAGTTCAATCTCAGACTGCTGTGCTAGCAGTGAGCCAGGCACAGGATCTAATCTCCTGGTGTGCCATTTGCTAAGACCATTGAAAAAGTGCAGTATTAGGGTGGAAGTGACCCGATTTTCCAGGTGCCATCTGTCACGGCTTCCCTTGGCTAGGAAAGGGAATTCCCTGACCCCTTGCACTTCCCGGGTGAGGTGATGCCTCGCCCTGCTTCAGCTCACACTCCGTGGGCTGCACCCACTATCCAACAAGCCCCAGTGAAATGAACCCGGTACCTCAGTTGGAAATGCAGAAATCACCCATCTTCTGCATCGCTCACACTGGAAGCTGTAGACTGGAGCTGTTCCTATTCGGCTGTCTTGTAACCTCCCCGACTTGTGGCTTTTTCAATTATCCATTTCTCTTTTCAGAAGTGTGGAAGCACCACCAAGTAAGATCCCAGCATTTTCAAAAGATTTAGGACAGAAAATGGAAACATGATCAATAAAGGTTAGTTTCCAATGCTGAATCTAGCAATCAGGGGCTTAGGAAATTAATTTACATATTGAAGAGATATGATCTTCTGTTCATGCTGATAATGCAGGTTTTACTGGTTAAGCTCAGAATAGGTAAAAATAAAAAGTATTTGCTGGCCTGAAGAAAGAAGTCTGTGGGAAAGTAAAGATGTAAGAAGTGGGAAAGACATGCATTCATTTCAGTTAGAAATACCAGCAAAGAGAAAAAGGAGATAGAAATCATTGGAGGCAAGGGAATTGAGGGAACTCCTTCTAGATGGCTTCCACTTCAGCAGACTAGGAGTCATGGTTACATGCAGAAAATGATGTTGAAAAGCATGGAAATTTCATACATTCATGTTGGAAAATCTAAGAGGAGGTTATTAGGAGGTAGCTTTCTTCTTAAGACACTTTTAATATTTTTGACATTTTTTATCATTTTGCTTATACTCCATCCCGATTACAGTTCACCAACACCAGAGCTAACAGAGAAATTATAAACTTCCAGGGTAGTGTTTCTCAAAACATGGTTCCTAGCTATTAATGCAAGAATCTTTTAGGGAACTTGTTTATACAAAGACTTCTGAAACCCACCCAGGCCTATTCAACAGAATCTCTGGGGCCCAATGCCTGAGAATCTGCACCTTTACGAGTTGCTCAGGTGATTCTGAAGCAGCAAGCCAGCATTTGACGGGAGGCTGCTGTTTTAGAACCACTAGATTAGCTCATGTCTCATCCAGGTAGTCTCATGCATGACTATTCACCCACATCCTGTTTTTAATCAGTGGTTCTGTCTGTAGTTTTGAAACTCAGAATAAAATGTCACATATTGTGGTGAGGAAATAACAACCATGTCTTCAAATACAGCTGGTTGGGATCAGATCCCTACTCATTATCATTTTCTATGTTTTTCCTATTTTTAGTTTATACTTTTAAAATTTACTTACATCATTTATTGATAACCAAAAATGGTAGAGTTATTATAATTAAGCAATTTTTATAATAATAAATAGCATTGTCTAGCAAGCTCATTTCTTTTTTTTATTATTATACTTTAAGTTTTAGGGTACATGTGCACAACATGCAGGTTTGTTACATATGTATACATGTGCCATGTTGGTGTGCTGCACCCATTAACTTGTCATTTAACATTAGGTATATCTCCTAATGCTATCCCTCCCCCCTCCCCCCACCCCACAACAGGCCCCAGTGTGTGATGTTCCCCTTCCTGTGTCCATGTGTTCTCATTGTTCAATTCCCACCTATGAGTGAGAACATGAGGTGTTTGGTTTTTTGTCCTTGCAATAGTTTGCTGAGAATGATGGTTTCCAGCTTCATCCATGTCCCTACAAAGGACATGAACTCATCATTTTTTAAGGCTGCATAGTATTCCATGGTGTATATGTGCCACATTTTCTTAATCCAGTCTATCATTGCTGGACATTTGGGTTTGTTCCAAGTCTTTGCTATTGTGAATAGTGCCACAATAAACATACGTGTGCATATGTCTTTATAGCAGCATGATTTATAATCCTTTGGGTATATACCCAGTAATGGGATTGCTGGGTCAAATGGTATTTCTAGTTCTAGATACTTGAGGAATCACCACACTGACTTCCACAATAGCTGAACTAGTTTACAGTCCCACCAACAGTGTAAAAGTGTTTCTAGTGTAAAAGAGGATTGCTTCACATCCTCTCCAGCACCTGTTGTTCCCTGACTTTTTAATGATCACCATTCTAACTGGTGTGAGATGGTATCTCATTGTGGTTTTGATTTGCATTTCTCTGATGGCCAGTGATGATGAGCATTTTTTCATGTGTCTGTTGGCTGCATAAATGTCTTCTTTTGAGAAGTGTCTGTTCATATCCTTCACCCACTTGTTGATGGGGTTGTTTGTTTTTTTTCTTGTAAATTTGTTTGAGTTCTTTGCAGATTCTGGATATTAGCCCTTTGTCAGATGAGTAGATGATTGCAAAAATTTTCTCCCATGCCTGTTCTCTCTGATGGTAGTTTGTTTTGATGTGCAGAAGCTCTTTAGTTTAATTAGATCCCATTTGTCAATTTTGGCTTTTGTTGCCATTGCTTTTGGTGTTTTAGACATGAAGTCCTTGACCATGCCTATGTCCTGAATGGTAATGTCTAGGTTTTCTTCTAGGGTTTTTATGGTTCTCTCTCTCTTTTTTTTAAGTTAGCCTTGCTAAAGGCTTTTCAATTTTGTTAATGTTCTCAGGGAACTAGCTCTGGTTTCATGATTTTCTCTACTGAATTTCTAGTTTCTATTTTATTGATTTATGTTCTAATTGTTGTTAATTATATTATTCTATATATTTTGGATTTAATTTGCATTTCTTTTAAATTTCCAAAGGTGGAAGCTTATATTATTGATTTTAGATCTTTTCCCCTTTCTAATACATGCATTAAATGTTCTGAATTTCCCAGTAAGCACTGCTTTTGCTGCATACCACAATTTTTGATATGTTGTTTTTATTTTTATTTATTTTAAAATATTTTTTAATTCCTCTTGATATTTCTTCATTGACCTCTGTGTTATTTAGAAGTGTGTTGTTTAATCTCCAAGTATTTGAGGAATTTTCTAGCTAATTTACTTCTTTAGATCTATTGTGATCTGAGAGCAGACATTGGAAGATTTATGTTCTCTTAAATTTGTTAAGGTATATTTTATGGTCCAGTATGTGGTCTATGTTGATGAATAATCCATGTGAGTTGAGGAAGAATGTGTATTTTTCTGTTTTAGAATAAAGTAGTTGATAGATATCAGCTATATTCAGTTGATTGATGATGTTATTGATTTCAGCTATGTCCTTGCAGATTTTCTGCCTGCTATATTTGTCCATTTCTGGTAGAGGGTGTTGAATTCTCCAACTGTAATAGTGGATTAAACTAACAGACTACAGTTAGTTTTCATTTCATGTGTTTTGCTGCTTTGCTAGGCACATATGCATTAAAAATTGCTATGTCTTCTTGCAGAATTGGTCCCTTTATCATTATATAATGTTCCTCTTTATCCCTGATAATTTTCTTTGCTCTGAAGTCTCTTCTGTTTGAAATTAATACAGATACTCCCACTTTCTTTAAAGTAGTGACAACATGGTATGTACTTTTCCATCATATACTTTTAAATTCTATATTTAAAGTGGATTTCATGTACACAACATATTTATTTCTCTATAAAGAGATATATAAGTTTCTGCTGTGGGTTCCTGCCCTAGTCCATCATGATTCTTTGCATGTGCCTGTCTGCAATTAACGGGACAGTGATTTGCCCTGTGACCTCACTTCTTTGATGCATCTAAAAAGAGCTGTTGATTTTTCAGTTAAGTTTTTTTTTTCTTTCTTTCTTTCCTTTTTTTTTTTTTTTTTAAGACATAGTTTCAGTCTGTTGCCCAGGCTGGAGTGCAGTGGTGCAATCTCGGCTCACTGCAACCTCTCCCTCCCGGGTTCAAACCATTCTCTGCCTCAGCCTCCCAAATAGCTGGGATTACAGGCGCCTACCACCAGGCCTGGCTAATTTTTGTATTTTTAGTAGAGACGGGGTTTCACCATCTTGGCCAGGCTGGTCTTAAACTCCTGACCTCGTGATCCACCAGCATCGGCCTCCCAAAGTGCTGGGATTACAGGCATGAGCCACTGCGCCCGGCTGTTAAGTTTTTTACTTGCTGTTAAGACAGAGTTGTGACTTCCAACTTCGTTACATGCCCGACCAGAAGCCACAAGTCTGCCAATTTTTTTTTTTTTTTTTAGACGGAGTCTCGCTCTGTCGCCCTGGATGGAGTGCAGTGGTGCGATCTCGGCTCACTGCAACCTCCAACTCCCGGGTTCACGCCATTCTCCTGCCTCAGCCTCCCGAGTAGCTGGGACTACAGGTGCCAGCCACCATGCCCGGCTAATTTTTTATATTTTTAGTAGATACGGGGTTTCACCGTGCTAGCCAGGATGGTCTCGATCTCCTGACCTAGTGATCCACCCGCCTCGGCCTCCCAAAGTGCTGGGATTACAGACGTGAGCCACTGCGCCCGGCCCAAGTCGGCCAATGTTTTTAAAATAAAATTTTGTTTACATTTTATGTTAAATTTTACATAAAATTTAAAAAAGTATTTAAATTTTCTCAATTAATTCAAATACTTTATTATTCCACTGTGGTTTTTATTTATTCGTTTTACTCTTTTTAGTTAATTAAAATGTGCTTATTTTTTAGTAAACTTTATTTTTTAGAACAATTTTATATTTACAGAAAAATTGTGAAGATAGCACAGGGTTCCCAATATTAGATGTGAATAGGGGAGACTGAGCGCAAAAATACTTTGTACCCAGTTTCCTATTATTCACATCTAATGTGATTATGGTATATTTGTTACAAGTACTGAACCAATATTGGCACATTATTAACTAAAGTTTAAACTTTATTCAGAATTCCTTTTTACCTAGTGTCCTTTTCTGCTCCAGGTTGTTCTCCAGGATACCATGTTCTATTTAGTCATCATGTCTCCTTAGGCTTTTCTTGGCTATGACAGATTCTCTCACTCTACTCATTTTTAATGATCTTGACAGTTTTGGGAAGTGCTGGCGGATATTTTATAGAGTATCTCTTAATTGGAATTTGTTTGGTGTTTTTCTCATGATTAGACTGAAGCTATGGGTACTGGGCAAGAGGACCACTGAGACAAAGTGTCATTCTCACTATATAATATCAAGGACACATATTAGCAACATAAACCTATGGCAATTGATGTTGATCTCGATCACCTGGCTGGAGTAGTGTTTGTCAGGTTTCACTACTGTTAAATTACTTTTCCCCTTTTTCCATACCATACCCTTTGGAAAAAGGTCATCATATTCAGCCCACACTTAAGGAATGAGGAGTTCTGCTCCTCTTCCTTGAGGGTGGAGTATCTACATAAGTAACGGGAAATTTTTCCATACAGGAGGTTTGTCTCTTCACTCCATTTATTATTTACTCAGTCATTTATTTATATCGCTATGGACACATGAATGTATACTTATTTTATATTTTGGGTTATAATTTAATACTGTTTTATTTGTTGCTCCAAGTGTTTCATCTTTGGCCATTAGGAGCCCTTCTGATTGACTTCTATTTCCCTTTGACATATCTCAATCTTTATAAGGTTTTTTAAAAATATTTTATTACTTTCTGACATTACAAGATGCTGCAGGCCCTTCTTGTTCATTCCCTGCCCCAGACCTAGAATAAGCCATTTCTCCACGTAACTCTGGTTTATTTTATTGGGGAATGGTATTAGAAGCCAAGATCTTGGTGCTATGTGTGTTCATTGCTGCTAAAGTGTCATTACTTCCTTGACCTCTCAGCTGACAGAGCAAGGAAATAAGTGTGTATAAACTAATTCATGCATACACAGATATCTATAAATATTTATGTATGTAATCATCCATACTTTTATTAAGCTAATATTGAGTGCATACGGATGTCTAATCTAGCATTCTCCCTTACTTATCTGTGAACTTTGAATCCAACAGTAAGAAATCTGACTCCCATTATCAGCCATAAGAATTTATTAACTCTTCAATTGCAGTATACATATGTAGCACTGTCAGAGTTATTAATTGTATTCATGTGGAAAGCAAGTTTTTCTGTTAAGTTTTTCTGTTAGAGCAGAATGTTTTTGTGTGTTTTATTTTGTCTTTCATTTTATAAACTCCAATCATTTCCAGAGCTACTTAGCTCAGCATCTTTTTTTTCCACGCTCTTAAGTTGTTTTATACATTTTTGATACAGTTAGATTGTTTTTGTCACATTCTTCATTCTATCCTGGGATCCCCCAACCACCTAAGTGGATTTTTTGATAATTTGCATGCTTTTAGGATAACTCTTCATTCTGTAAAGTGCTATGGGTTTTGGCAAATGCAGAGTCATGTATCCAAGATTACAATATCGCACAGAAGAGTTTCATCACTATATAAAACTCACCAGTCTTCCTCCTATTCAACCATCTCCATGCCTTCTTCCCAGCCCTAACTCCTTAAAACCACTCATATCTTTACTATTGCTATAGTATTGCCTCTTCCACCATGTCATATAAATGGAAACATACAGTATTAGTCTTCTCAAACTAGTTTCTTTTACCTAACAACATGCATTTAAGATTCATAGTGTCTTTTAATGACTTGATAGATTATTTCTTTGTAGCTGAATAATATTGCATCTTATAGATGTAACCGTTTGTATATCCATATTTTCTCACAGCCTATGACTTGTCTTTTGATTCTCTGAACAGTGCCATTCACAAAGCAGAAGTTTTAATTTTTATAAAGTCTAATGTATCAACTTTTTCTTTCATAAATCATCCTTTTGATGTATCCAAAAACTCATTACGACACCAAAGGAAATCTAGAATTTCTCCTATGCTATCTTATAGAAGTATTATAGTTTTGTGTTTTATACCTATGTCTATGATCCATTTTGAGTCAATTTTTGTGAAACATATAAGAGCTTGCATATTGGACAGAACCATTTGTTGAAAACACTATCCTTTCTACATTTAATTGACTTTACTTCTGTGTCAAAGATAATTACTATATTTGTGTGTGTCTATTTCTAGGCACTCTGTTCTGTTCCACTGATTTATCTGTCTATTCTTTTGCCAATACCATGCTGTAATGATGACTATATTTTATATTAAGTCTTTAAAAGGATATTGTAATTCCTCCAACTTTGTTGTTCTTCAGTATTTTCTTGGCCATTATATGTCTTTTGCCGTTCCGTATAAACTTTAGAATTAATTTGTTGATGTCTACAAAATAGCTTGCTAGAATTTTGATTGAGATTACACTGAATCTACAGATTAAGTTGGGAAGAACTGAATTGTAAAACTATGGAGTCTTCCAATCCATGAACACTGACTCTCTATTTAGGGTTATAGTTTACCATATTGAGATCCTGTAATGTTTTGTTAGATTTATATCTAAGTATTTTATTTTTGTATGCTGTCAACATATTGTTTTTCCTTTTTCAAATTCCAGTTGTTCATTGTTGATATGTAAGAAAGCAATTGACTATTGTATGTTAACCTTGTATCCCATGACCTTGCTATACTCACTTAGTAGTGCCAGGATTTTTTGTTGCACTGTTGATTCTTTGAGACTTTTCACATAAACAACATATCATCATAAAGAGTTTCTTTTCTTCCTTCCTAATTTGTGTATCTTTTATTGCTTTTCCTTGCCTTATTGCACTAGCGAAGATTTTTCATACAATGTAGAAAGGAGAAGTGAGAGAAAATGTATTTGCTTTGTAACTGATCTTAAGGAAAG
The DNA here is from genome assembly GCF_000001405.40 of Homo sapiens. NCBI lineage: Eukaryota > Metazoa > Chordata > Mammalia > Primates > Hominidae > Homo > Homo sapiens. The sequence goes on from NC_000002.12 coordinate 157,411,136, forward strand.
TGTCCAGTTTGCCACCATTATAATATTAGCTGTAGGCTTTTTGTTGATGTTCTTTATCAAGCTGAGGAAGTTATCTTTTATTTCTAAGATATACATTTTTTATTCTTTCAAACTTCTTTTTTTCCCTCAAGTTCTGATAATTTTGTGATATCGTCTAACTTTTGCTCATGGCTGATCATTTCCTTTTGTGCTTTGTAGTTTTGATAAGTGTTTTGTTTACTTTTCTGTGTAAAAGTTCCTACTATCATCTGCTTATGAAGATGCGCCTGCCTAGAAGTGGCAAACTTCAGTATGCCAATCACTATTCACTTAAATGCATTCAGATTCAAGTAAAATTTGAAAGCAAGTAACTAGTTCATTCTTTCTTATTCTTTTTAAATCTTCTTTTATCACTTCACGCACCAAGGAGACAAAGTCAGGAGGCCAGAAAGTTTCTTAATCAACTTTTTGGCTAGTTATGCAATCTTGACCAGGTTATTTCATTCCAAAATTCACTAATGCTTCCATTTCTTTATGTGGAAATTATTATGACAGTCACTAATTTTTACTCAAGGAGATTTAGAGACAGCTCAATACCCTTATATTATCAAGTCTGTGAACTCCTTGAATGGTGTTACAAACAGACTAAGGTGGTCCCCTGATCCCTAACTCCTAATATTCATGATTGTGTAATCCCTGCTTCTTGAGTGTGGGTGGGCCTGTGACATGTTTCTAACAAACAGAACATGGTACAGTTGATAGGATACTATTCCCATCTTAATGTTACATTATTAGGCGAGGTGACGGGAAGTCACTTAAGAGGTTATGTTACATGGCAAAGGCGATAACATTGTATTATTTAAGACTCTGTCTTGTTTGTAGCCTCTCCCTTTTTCCTCTTCATTACCAGCCTTTAAGAATCAAGCTGCCATGAATTGTATGGCCACCAGGTAATGATTCTGACAGCAACCTGAAGGAGCTTAAAGGTTGATCCTTCTCCAATCAAGCCTCCAGATAACAACACCAAAATTGCAGTAAATTGCAGGTTTGTGAGATCCTGAGCAGATCCAGCTAACCTGTGCCCAGACTCCTGGCCCACAGAAGCTTTGAGATAATAAATATATTTTAGGCTTCTAAGTTTGTGGTTATTATTTATTTATTTTTATTTTATTATTATTATTATTTTTTGAGATGGAGTTTCACTTTTCTTGCCCAGGCTGGAGGGCAATGGTGTGATCTCGGCTCACTGCAATCTCCACCTCCCGGATTCAAGCGATTCTCCTGCCTCAGCCTACGGAGTAGCTGGGATTACAGGCATGCACCACTACACCCGGCTAATTTTTGTATTTTTAGTATAGACGGGGTTTCATCATCTTGGTCAGGCTGGTCTCAAACTCCTGACCTCAGGTGATCCACCCACCTCGGCCTCCCAAAGTGCTGGGATTACAGGTGTGAACCACCATGCCTGGCAGTAATTTGTTAAATAGCAATAAAAAAGCTAATAGTGCAAAGTCTCAATTAAGTAAGTAGTGTCTTTTAAGGTCCTCAAAGAAGTAAATGTTGAGAATCACCCAGGTTTTTTAAAAAGTCTGCTTTTAAGACAATTATTTCTTTATGGTAGAGAGAAATGTAGGGAGAGAGAGAGAGACAGAGAAAGAGAGAGAAAGTCCTGACACTGAAAAATAGCATTCTTTATTTCATAAAGGCATCAAATTTTGATTTTGTAGCCCATAGGTATGTAAGGAAATGGATATAAAATAACAATACTTTTATGATCTGAGGGGCTCAATATAGTTATGTATTACTTACTATTTTTAGTATGTATACATTCAAAAATGTCTGTACTTTGGTGATCAAGACACACATACTATTTCCAAGTTTGATCTATTCAGCGCAAACTGGGATTTTAAATGCTATCTGTATCTTAAGATATAAAATTATTACAAGGTAGAAAGTCATAAATAAAAGTTCACTTCCAAAAATATATTACTAATCTGTTTGTCATGGTTGTGTTCTTCAGCCACATGATAAAGTAATTCCCAATCTACTTGATTCAAATTTGGTTTATCAAATGCCCTTCTAGAAAAATGCATTTTCATAACAGGTTGTCAATTAATGGAATTCACCAGTAATACATATTTGAGAACTTTCAAGTTAAAAAAACACTTTTCAATTTTTTCCCTAGTAAATTATATCAGAATGAATCACTATGCACCAGAAGTTTCTTCTAAAGCCTGACTGAAGTCATAAATTAGTCTGAAAGTTATACTGTGAGAAATTTACCCACATTTCTACTAAACAAAAGCTAATTTTCTTACAGCTTGTGAAATATAGAACATGACATACCCTTCCTTCCTGTACTTTGGTTAACCAGTACTTTTTTCTTTATTCTCAGAACATACCTCGACTCTAATTCTTACCGCAAACTAAAGTGATGCTTGCTCCGTCCCTTCCCTGCCCCTTTTTTGCATTTGAGGTCTACTGTCATACAGCAGTGTTACACTTCTGTATTAAAATCACAAGAAAAGCAAATGATCTATGGTCTGCTTTCCCGTATGACCTATGTCATTCTGTGTAGTTCTCAAAGCATTTTTTCACCTTGTAGAAGATTTCAAAGTCATCTTTCCTCAAATAAATGTGGTGTTTCCTTCCCCTGGACTTTGTGAAATAGGATAACAAGAAATGCTGAATTCATATAAGTAGACCTTTAACAGGATGATTCTAGACTATGATGAGAAATAAGCAATACCAGTTGAATCATAACTGGTTTGCAAGCTCTTGTTGAAAATAAATGCACTGCTAATCATGTAGTTATTAAAGAACCTATGTCTGAAACTTGTATATGAGGAACAGAGAAATGTTTGTTTTCCTATTTACCCAAAGAAATGCTCTTATCTGTGCAGCATCTATAATTGTACATTTTAAGTATTCCTGTTGGGTGGAATAAAAAGTACTGTGATGATCACTAAACAGAACCAAAAGAGTAAAAGATATCTGGAATAGACTAGAGCAAGGAAGAACTGGCTTCCAATTTTAGCCCTGCCACTGACTAGCCTTGTGACCCTGAGAACATTTCCAAATTCCTGACTTGTTATCTGTATGCCTAACACCTACTATATAGTAATTGTGAGGATCATACGTAAAGTGTCTTTAGCCAACTAGGTACTCAGTAAATGGTAGACAGTATTGCTATCATTTCTGTGAAAGGTGTGACACCCTGCCTTTCATATGAGTGACTGTCATGCACAGGCCACTGGATGTTTCTCAGTTCAAAGAGTTAATAGAAGGCAAGTCCCAACTAGAAATCTTTTCATACTTTATCATTTCTTTCTCATCTTAGATGCTTCCTTACCCTACCCTCTTTTATCTCAAAATAACTCATTTCTTAAGCAGAAGTTTAATTAAATTTAGCAGCTCTACTTAAATTGAAGTGTTTCTATTTCTCCCAAACACACACACACACGCACAGAGAGAGAGAGAGAGAGAGAGAGAGAGAGAGAGAACTTAAAATCAGCAGACTATTTATTACATAGTCCAGATTGTCTACTCTAGAATATAGGTTATGAATAGCTGTGCCACCAGAACAGAGAATTCATAGACTTCAATGGATATTAAATAAAACATGGAGTAATTGAAAGGCTAGAAGTAATGTGATACTAACATAACCAATAGGCAAAAGACTGCTGAGGTGATAGCTATTTAGAATATAAGATATAAAGTGAGAAGTAATATGAAAAAAACTACAGGAGGGAAGTCCTTTTCCCAACCCTCAGTTTTGGATGTTAGACATTTGTAGAAAAAAAATTACAAAGCTGTAGGATTCGGAGAGTTCTAGACTTGCCATTAATGTTCAGGCAGAACAAAAGCTGAATTGGGCAAAAAACACGACATCCCCACCCATTTTGTTTAGACTGTCTATAAAAATGACTTTATTATGATCTTTGCAGCACCCATCTCAGACCACATCTTTCCATGGTTCTCATGAACCTTAACCCCTCCTATTAAATCTTATACTTCCCGCTTTATTGTCACTATAGATGTGAGAAACAGCTGATGGTCATCTTTGTTTACAAGCCATTACAGGTTTGAACAAATTCAAAATTGCCTATTATTAAGCCTCCGCAGGAGCTACTGGGCATAAGCAAACCTAAGATTTTATAACCCAGCAATTATCCTATAGAAAATAGTCCAGATTATTATATTCTGCCACACCTTTATTCATACTTGACTCCAAAAAGTTCTCAATTATTCACAGGGATAATCTAGAAAATAAATATTAGTTTTGCTTTCAAAGACATTACTGGAATGAGCAGGAACCTGCATCTTTGTTATATTAATTAACTTATTATTTAGTTTTCCTGTCTGCTTAGAAATTGGCTGTTTAGGTTGAAAAATGATTTAAGAAGCATAAACTATAACACAACAATTTAAATAAAGGTCACTATTGCTGTGAAATGGGATGTCAGTTTTGCAATTCTTCTGCACTTTCCCACCAAGCTGGGATCTGGGTGAGTCTAGAGATATTTGTGAAATAAGCTAATTTGAAAGGACACCACAATCCGTCAAAAGCGACTTTCTTCCTCTTCCACAGCACGATGAAGGCCAGGGATAAATTTCAAGAGTTGCTTTCGGACACTTCCCTTTCTGCTCTTCCGGGGCAGGGTCCCAAACATGCTTGATAAGTTGCCCTCCCACAAGGGAGACATGGATCCGCTGCTGGTGTTACTGATGCTCCGGTTCCTCCTTGAAGATGACCTCCTCAGAAAATCATCCCCCTCCTTGGGGATAAAGCACTCATCATCTGTACTCGTCTGCCGACTGAAGGCACCCCTGCTGGAGTCCTCAGACACACACGTCTGGTAGCCATCTTCACTGTCCATCGTCATGGAGCTCAGCCAGCTCTTACAGCTGCTCTCACTGGATAATCGATTCCGGTCCACAAGGGCTGGGCCTGGCCCAGGCAGGGGTCCAAACAAAGACAATTCATCCAAGTCCATGTTTTCCAAACTGGGGCAATTAGCTGCATCACCTAGAGCACAAAGTCTACTGTGAAATGGATCTGTTCATTACTCCCTACAAATAAATACACTACATCAAAACTTCTCTTTGAATGACACGAGAAAGAGTAAGGGTGAAAAATACTTTTCACTGAGCTTTGGCGTGCTTGAATAAGTAACTGTTTATGAGACCATTTGATAAACCTTATAGTAGGGTTTCCTGAACTATTGTTCATAGACCAAGGTTCCATGGTCACAAAAATTATAATATTAGAATAAATTTAAACAAGATGTTTCATATGAGAACAGTTCAGCCCAATTGACAGTCTACCAGTGTGGCATCTGAACCTCCAAAATGATCATTTCTTAAATTTAAATAACCCTGAAACCTTTTATTAAAATTCTCACAGAAATGGGGTTCCATAGAATACACTTGGGGAAATACTATCATGATTTTCTCCACTTAGTTTCTCTGATTCTTAGGTACTGTCTTTTAAAAATAATTCTAAAATTATTATAAAACCATTTGAAGTAAATAGAAAACAGTTATGGAACAGGTAATTCAAAAGTGTTTCTTAGAGAAAGGATTTGTGAAATCAAATGTATCTTCCAACCTCAATATTCCCAGTTTCGTTTTGGAATACTTAAATTCTCTGGAATGATACTGTACCCAGAAATCATCCTTGTCCTCAAGTAAGTAATAATTTATTTGAAGAAATTGAATTTTATCTGCTTGGCTAAATTTTTTTCATTGATCCTTAACAACGTACATCTGGCTCTTCAAACTCTAATGTTAATCACATACCAATATGACCCTCCCTGCTTCCACACTAACTGAGTTGGTTGGTATCTTGTGTGTGTGTGTGTGTGAGAGAGAGAGAGAGAGAGAGAGAGAACTTGTAATACCAGCCTTGGAAAAACGTAATCAGTAAGTGACTATGCTTCAGAAAAAATAATAGAATACTGTACACTCTAAAATGGTTTTATTTTGTACTGATTATCTCCACTGCTGCTGTCTTTTGTCCTCGGTTGACAATATAAAAAGAAACTGTTCTTTCAGATGATTTGCAAGGTTGAGTACAGCCAGCCCCATGGTGACTAGTCATAATGCTTTCCTTTTTGCTAATACAACCTACTTCATTTCATCTTGCAATAAGTGATGAATTTCTTTTGATTGGAGAGCAATTGCCTTATAGAATCACATGCCCTGGATGTTTACTATACATCTAGAAAAAGCAGAACTCCTTCAATTGCTCAAAAAATATGTACAACAATGACTTTATGAGGATCCTGACCTAACAATGTTGTCTATACAAGGCTGTTTCTATAGAACAGCAAGAATTTATATTCACTGGGCCATTCAGGATGCTCCAGAAGTGGAAATGAGGCTAAAAAGCCCTCATGTCTAAAGAAAGCAAGGAGGTGGCTGAATTTACAAGGCCATAAAGAAGTTTTTGTATTAAATATTTCTGCCTCTCTAACAAACTTCACTACCCAAAAGAACTATTATGAATTTTTTAAAAATATTAAATGAAGACATAAAAAAGAGAAGTAACTTGTACATAAGTTTCAAACACTTCAATTTAAAAAAAAAAAAACAGAAGTTCATACCAGAACTCTAAGCCATAAATTAGTGACTAGTTAAGGATTAAATTGTTATCTTTTTTGGTAAACAAATTGATTATCACTTTTAACAGATATTCTAGGTTACAGACTTAAGCTTGGTGCTATTTAAAGAAGAGATAAGCTATATTTCACACCCACGTAGTGGTTTCAGTGAATTATTTGTACACAAAAGTTCATTCCTTTGGTTACATCTATCATACAACAAATAGCGAATTAACACATTTTAAACTCAACCCTTCCCTTAAAAATGCACTCAATGGCAAGAGCTATGCATTTACTGTTGTATTCATCTTACGCATTTATGTCTTTGTCTTGGGGGCCATGAAAAAGAATTTCTCTGCATAAATGCAACTTATGCAATTTAAACAAAAGACAGGAGCTCTACCCAATAAGTGTGCAACCATTCCAGCTTTAATAGCTTCTAAAAACTATACAGCCCCTTAGCCGTGATTGTTTTCAGAAATGTAATTCATTCACTGAAGTAGAAGGAAAGTTAGGCAATCTTCCCCAATGATTTTCTAAAATCTCCAGGTGCCTGTTTTCGAGCATGTGCATCTGTGTGCATGTGCATCTGCGTCATGATACGCAGTAGTGGATCTGACTTGCCTTACCCCTCCTCCAAATACAGCCATTCCAAAGCTCATGCCAAAGAAACACAGACCCATTTCCTTGACCAGCACTAGACAAATTTTTCTTATAATGATGATAATCTTAAACCAACTTTGAGGCAGAAATACTGAAAGAAGTAATGTTAGTGTGGTTTCTGAACAGGAAATTGCATTTACCATGAAGCAGACGATGTTCCTGTAACTGCAGAGATCTGTACTCCACCCATTTTTGTTTCAAAGTTTGCTGTGAGATTAAAAAAAAAAAAAAAAAGTTTTTATTATTAGGAAACCCCAGTGAAGCTAGCAATTTAATTCTAGGTGTTGAGATTTGTCATTAAATTTTTTACCTTTCTTTCTAGTACTACCATTCCATCTCATCCATTTAAAATATTTTTGCTGTATAAAAGGAGGATATTGAGAATACTATGCCCTCAAAAAATAATCTAGTAGTACCAACAAGCTTTCTTTTAAAAAACAAGAAAAACAATAAAATATACTTTTATTTAAACAATTATTTTAATAAGATTATTTGGGTTTGTGAAAACGTACTTGCTGTTTAGGCAAGGATTTATACTCTAGGATTCCCACATCTGTAGGATGAAGACAATAATAGAGCCTAAACCCCAGAAATGTTATGAGGATTAGATGAGTGCATAGATGTAAAATTTTTAGAACAGTGACTAGAACTTAGTTAATGCTCTACAAATATCACCATCAACATACAAGCCCAAAGACCTCCACCTCCCGGGTTCAAGCAATTCTTCTGCCTCAGCCTCCCAAGTAGCTGGGATTACAGGCACGCCCCACCATGCCCGGCCAAATTTCTGTCTTTTTAGTAGCGACGGGGTTTCACCACGCTGGCCAGGCTGATCTCGAACTCCTGACCTCGTGATCTGCCTACCTCAGCTTCCCAAAGGGATTACAGGCGTGAGGCACCGTGCCTGGCTTGGACAGCTATTTATTTTCCACACAAAAAAGGAGAACAGAACTATCTGAAATGCTTCCTTAGCGGGCTAAACTTAGAACACTGCTAAGCACCCTAACTTCTTAACTGCCTCCCTTCTTGGCTGCCCCAGCACACGAGAGCTGAGACCCACAGTGGGAATTAAGTAGCTGCCACATGGGTCAAGACAGCACACAAGTCTTGGCCTATCCCACAGAGGGGACTGAGGCAATGGCAATCTAAAACAAACCAGGCAGAAGGCATCTGAAAAGACATAGCCATAGGCTCACTGTCTCCCATTATTTATTCTCTACTGTTCCCCTTCCTTTGCAAATTCAGGTCCCTATAGCAAGCCTAGCAAGTGGGCACAGCTCAGGTTTGCCTGTGGACTCTTAGGCCAAAGGAAAGACAGCCTAGTTGAAACAAGCAATCCTTGCCACAAAGCAATCTGCAAGGAGTAGATGAAGGCTAAAAAGGAAGAGGCAAAAAATGTATATTTGGAGAAGGATTAAAGGAAAGAAAATAATAAAATTGCAAGAACGTCATTAAATGCTTAAGAGGAACATGGCTTGTTCCTCAGTCTTCAAAGATTGAACAATAACTGGGCAGAATTTTCCAAACTTTGATACTAGTAACAATTAACAGCAACCCTTATGGTTGCCAATATAAAATCGAGCAATAAATCAATCAAATGCTTGACTCAATCAACTTCTTGTTCTTTCTGTACCATAATATAGTCTAGACTAGCTTTAATACTGCTTTGAGGGCTGAGGGCAGTGGCTTACGCCTGTAATCTCAGCACTTTAGGAGGTTGAAGTGGGAGGATTGCTTGAGACCAGGAGTTTGAAACAAGCCTGGGCAACATAGTGAGACCTTATCTCTACAAATTTTTTTTTCTAATTAGCTGGGTATGGTGGTGCACACCAGTTCTTAAGAGGCCGAGGAGGCTGGGCACAGTGGCTCACGCCTGTAATCCCAATACTTTGGGAGGCTGAAGCAGGTGGATCGCCTGAGGTCAGGAGTTCAAGACCAGACTGGCCAACATGGCGAAACCCCATCTCTACTAAAAATACAAAAATTAGCTGGGTGTGATGGCAGGCATCTGTAATCTCAGGTACTCGGGAGGCTGAGGCAGGATAATCACTTGAACCTGGGAGGCAGAGGTTGTGGTGAGCTGAGATGGCACAATTGTACTCCACCCCAGGCAACAAGAGCAAAACTTTGTCTCAAAAATAAATAAATAATTTTTTTAAAAAAGAGGCTGATGTAGAAGGATCACTTAAGCCTGGGAGGTTGAGGTTACAGTGAGCTATGATCATGCTACTGCACTCCAGCATGGGCAATAGGGTAAGACCCTGCCACAAAAAAAAAAAAAAAAAAAAAAAAAAAGGACTGCTATGCTGCCTTATTCCCAGCTTTTAACTGTGTAAATCTGTGGTTATATGAAGGTCAAAATTAGGGACGTAGGGAGTATAAGGCTAGCAAGTGCCTGGCATACATACCAACCTCTTTCATCTTTCTTAAAGAGATTTATTTCCTACAAGAGACTAGCGTCCAGTTGAGGAGCATAGGGATAGGTCAACAGTAAAAACTAGAGACAGAAAGAAGAGGAAGTTATATTTCTGCACTTACTATCTAAAAATACGAAGTCAGCACTGGCTGACTTTATATATACAGTCAATTTTTGGAAAAATACTGGTTTTGCAATATCTGATTTGTTGATTTGACCCAGTCATTTCAGTATGTCGTCACTTAAACCAAGAAAATACCAGTGTAAAGAGCAGATGTGTCAAAGTGACTAAGGGTTTTTCAACTGTAACCAAGCTTCCCTATTTTCCTTTGGGTCTGTTTCTGCCTGTGTTACTGACATCACAATTGTTTATTTAGACATATCTGAGCTCTCATTGGATGAGAACTAAAGCACAAGTGAGATCTAACCCCACTGGGCAGCATCACCTCACTGTGCCTAGTTCAGTGCCAGCTACATAGCAGCTACTCAGTAAATAATGGTTGAATGAATACGTGAAAATAATGGCTTCCTAAAACAACTCTCAGCTATCACACATTTGTTCCAAAGAAGTTTCCAATGCTTTCAATCTACAGGAGACATACAGCTGAACATTTCCATGGCACTTTAGTACTTCAATTGTGTTTTCACTGATAACATGATATTTAATTTTCATAACTTCCCTAAAAAGTTACAGATTCGAAAATGAATATTCAATGTAACAAAATATTTCCCAAGCAATATAAACCCAGTAAATAGCAGAAGTAGATTACAAACTAGCTTTCCCAGCTAGCCCATTGGATGTGCTGTTTTCATGTTGAACATTTGAATCATAGGTCAGAAGAAAGGGAATCCCTGAAAATGTGGATCAGAAAGGACCACTGTTTCTAAAGAAGAGCCCCTGGTGCAATGAAGAGTCTTTGAGGGAAAGAATGCTGACTTACACAGGATGCACAAAATAAATGTCACTGTGTGGAGGGGAAACCAGCCTGACCTTGGCTATGGGTCAGACCAAGACATTTTTGGCTCAAGAGTTAAACGGAATCTCATAATTTCAAGATTAGAAACAGGACAGACATGCAAGATAGAAAACAGAATGAAACTTAAAGTCTTCTGGATATGGAGAAGCAGAAATAAATTCTATGGCAATATATGGTTTAAATACACCTATCTGAAACACAGGTCTGAGACAGGTTTTCCGCTTAAGAAAAAAACATTGGCTGAAGCTCCATCACTGGGAAAGGAGGCTGAGAAAAGCTGATGCTGCTGGCTATGGCTCATGTAGAGCTTGTATGTTGAAAGGCAGGAATACCTAAACACAGCCTCGTGACCTGAGCCAAACAGCTCACTGAGTCTTCAGGAAAGGCACGGAAGCCCCCAGACCTGGCTCTGGATTGATAGCCTTGAAGTGCCAAGTGGGGGCAAGCATCCAGTTATCACATTGTGCTGAAGGGAGAGGCTATATGCCATGCAAGAGAAGTAGGCAATCTAAACCTCCAAACACAGATGTTTAATGATAAAAAAGATAATAAAATTGATAATTTGTGCATAGATTGTCTCTAAACAAAATGAAAATAGAAAAGTGTTCAAGGCCAGGTGCGGTGACTCACACCTGTAATCCCAGCACTTTGGGAGGCCTAAGCGAGCGGATCACCTGAGGGCAGGAGTTCGCGACCAGCCTGCCCAACATGGTGAAAATCCTGTCTCTACTAAAAATACAAAAAGTTAGCCAGGCGTGGTGGCAGGTGCCTGTAATCCCAGCTACTCAGGAGGCTGAGGCAGGAGAATCCCTTGAACCCGGGAGGTGGAGGTTGCAGTGAGCCGAGATCATGCCACTGCACTCCAGCCTGGGTGACAAGGGCGAAACTCTGTCTCAAAAAAAAAAAAAAAAAGAAAAGTGTCCAAAAAAGACTTTAAAATAAGAATTTTTATAATCCTCTGAGAGATATAATCCTCTGAGAGATCAATGTTTATAAGAACAAGAAATTTGAAATGACAAAACAAGAACAGATAGACATGAAAAAGAACTACAAGATAATAAGAAAGTAATTTTTATAACTCAATAGAAATAACACATTCTGTACAGAACAGCTAGCAAGAACATTTCTGGAGATGTTACTAAAGAATTCAGAAAGAATATAACACAAAAATATAAATAAAGACCTATGAAATAGTCATTAGGAAGCATGAAAGATAAATCAAGAAACTATGCCTAACATGAATTCCAGAAGATAATACAAGAGTGGTGTAGAAGGTATATTCCAAAAAGATTGAGTTGATAGTTTTCCAAAGCTAAAGAAAGTCTTTAAACAGAAAGAGCACTATAAGATCTACACGGTATAAATTTAGAAATGAATCCAGAACTAATTGCATTGTAGTAAAACCGTAGATCAATAAGGACAAAAGAATATCTTAAAGCAACCAGAAAAAGGATTAAAGATGGCCACAAATACTGGTTTTCTAGAAGATCCAAAAATAGAAAATCCCGTAGAGAAAGAGTTATCAAGAAAAAAAAAGAAGCATAAAAAGTGGTACAAACTGCAAGAAAAAAATGGGGGCACACTCAATTTTTGACAAAAATTTAAAACATCAGAATAATATTTTACTGTCAACTCAGTTAATAAATTTAAAAACTTTGTTAACAAAAACATAAGTCGCTAAAACTGTCTTTAAAAAAAACCAGAAATCCTGAGTAGTCTCACAACTAATAAAGTAATTGAAACAGTACATTAACAGTATTCCCATCAAAAAAGAATCCTAAAACAAAATGATTCAGATGGTATTATTAAAATTCTGCCAGAAAATAAGAAGAGGAAAACAGTCCCCAGGTCATGCTAAGAGTCTAGTAAACTTGATACCAAAACTTAAAAAGATAATCTAAGAAAATAAAATTACAGGCCAGTCTACCTGAAAAATGAAACTCTTTCAAAATCCTAAATACAATATTAGCAAATCGAACCTGTAATTACATTTACAAATTATAAATTTCAAGAATAAGCCAGCTTGGGTTTATCATAGAAATGAAATGGTAGCTTTATATTAGAATATATTTAAATTTCATTCACATATTGACAGAATTTTTTCAAATGAATAAATGAGAAGACCAGCTTAACAGATGCATAAAAAAAGTATTTGATAAAGTTTAATGGACAAGCACTATAAACACTACCAGCAAACTTCGTATAGAAGGGAGTCTCCTTAATCTGAAAGATAGCTCATTCCTAGTGGAAAAGAAATTAGGAAGAATTTCCTTTAAAATCAAGAATAAAACAAGGATGCCTACAACCATAATTTCTATTCATTGTTGTATGGTAGCGCCTAAGCTGTGAAGCAAAGTAAGAAAAAGAACCAAAACTCATTCATAACAGATAGTTATTATCTCTACAGTAAATCCAAAATAATCTACAGATAATTCATTAGAGTTATTAGAATAGATATTACTATTCTATAATTTAGCAAAGTGTTTGAATATAGTCACAGCACAGAAAAATTTATTTCACATGTCTATTAACGTCAATCAAAGCATTAGTTTTTGTAAAGAAACGATAATAAGAACAAAAAACATAAGGTACAGAGGACTAAGTCTAACAGAAGATGTATAAGACCTATATGCATAAAATTATAACTTTATTAGAAAGACTTTAAAGAAAACAACAAAAAATGGTAAGATCATCTATCAATAAAAAAACAGAATACCATATGATGTTGTTTCCTCAAATTGATATATATATATATAATGTGCAATCAGAGCCAGGAATGGTGGCTCAAGCCTGTAATCCCAGGAATTCAGGAGGCTGAGATAGGAGAACTGCTTGAGCCCAGAGTTTGAGACTATAGTAAGCTATGATCACGTTGCTGCACTCCAGCAAGGGCAATAGAGTGAGACCCTGTCTCCAAAAATAGATAAATAAAATTTGAAATCAATCAAAACACCAACATTTATTTACATATAATCTGCTTTTATAATTTATATAGATGATCAAAGGACCAAGAATAACTGTGCCCAATGTGATATCAAGATTCATTATAAATAGTTTGGGATAAACAAATTGACCCACGGATCATATTAGAAAGCCTATAAGCAAATCCATGCATATGTGGAACTTGCTTAAAAATAGAGGTTTTACTGCAAGTCAGTTGAAGGGGAAAGGGGGACTACAAAATAAATGGTACTGGAAGAACTGGTTATTCATATGGAAAAAAATTAAATTGGAATTTTCCCCATACCTCATAATATATATAAAAATTTATTCTGGATGAATTAAGGACTTAAAGGAAAAAGGAAAAATGTTAAAAAGCTTTAGCAGAAAATATAGATTACCTGCCAAAAATAATTAGGAGCTCTCTCATAGACAAAAATATTAAAGGAGTAATATATTCAAAGTGCTAAGGGAGCTAAACACCTACTTAGAATAATTCAATTACCTATCAAAACTCTCTTCCAATAGTAGCAGTGAAATAAAAACATTTTTACACAAAAATCTACTTATCCCCACAGAAGGAAGGACTATAGCAAGAAAGTAAGTAAACCTAGAGGTAAGGAGTACAATGCAACAAACAACAGCAAACATATCAAAACGAACAAGTTGGTGTATTTCTTCACTACCAGCTATAGAACAAAAATCTGTATTTTGTACTTTAAAAAAATTGATACAAATCCTCTAAAGTAAGTATAATAAGGAATATAGGGTCTTCAATGGGCATTTTAAACATTGTATGGTGCTCATGATGTTCTGGAAGAGGATGGAGATACTGAAAAATTCATACATTGGTAAGTATGTACATTAAAACTTAAGGCAAAAACATGCAAAGAATAGAAATTGCTTAAAGGCATCAAATAATGATTTGTGCAAGTTAGTACTTTATTCCATAGAATATAGCCCTATTTTTCATTCTTGTTTTCAATATTTCTTTTTTCTAAGAAAAGGTGAAAAAGTTAAACTTTTTTAAAAAGATGTTCACTAAGATTATCTTTCTTTTGCAAAAACAAATTAACTTTAAATTCAAGTACAATATGAACCACTGTTTACCCCTCATAAAAATGTAGCAACAAAAATGTTAGAAATGTTTTCTTTAAAGTCAACCATAAGATTACCATTATTTACAGTATATTGATGATCCTAGCCAATGCTATAGGAGAGGAAAAATAAATTAGTTTCAATAATTGAGCTAAAGGGGCAAAAAATTTTATTATCTGCAAATGATAAGAAATCTATATAGAAAATATAAGGAAATCTATAAAAATTATTATTAGAATAAAGGGAGTTCAACAAAACTGGATTTTTTAAATTTAAACAAAATCATTAGCAATAAGTGGCTGAAAATTAAAAGATTAATATAGCAAGAACAATGAGGAAGTAAACAAGAATGAATATAATAAATGATATGTAAAAATATAGGAAGATAATTACAAAATATTTTTTAAGTCCATAAAAGATCTGAATAAAAAGATTGAGATCCTGAATTCAAAGTGAGAAAAGTGAAAGCCATAAAGATTTTAATTGCTCTCATTTATTTCATAAATACAATTCAATTCCTGTCAAAATTTGAGCAGAGGTTTTTTCAAGGAATTCTATAAATTGATTTAACAAAGCACAGAGATAAGCACAGTGGCAAGAGTATCCAAACCAATGTTGACAAAGAAAGCAAGACTTGTTGATGAGTTGGATGTGGAGGAAGAAAAAGATACAAAATAAAATCCACTCTCTTGGGCTCAATAATTAATAAGCTCATATTTCATGAAGAAAACTAACAAATGGCAGCTATTTCTAAATAAAGCCAAAGTAAGCAACCTGCTTAAAGTAAACTACAATCTCTGCTCAGATTGGCTACCTGGTTGCTCTGCAAGGGGGAGATTGGGATGCAGAGGTCACTGAGACAAACAGAGAGGTCTTTAGAACTATGACTCAGATGCATGAGTGAGGGTCTGGACTTCATGGCTTAGGAGACCCTCATCAGCCCAGAAAACTGAGATTTTTAAAAGCCTCAAAAAACCATCCCAGGGAATTTTCAATGGACCTCCTGCATTATTTACTATCTCTTGGACGCTAATTTCTTCCTCCTTTGAATTTGCTAGTGTATTTGCCAATGAAAGCAGATTCAAGGACAGTCACAGGATTAGACGGATAAGGTTTTCGTTTTAAGGATGAGGCAGAAGAGAAGGACACCAAAAGAGGACACGGAAAAAGTGAAAAACCCAGGCCCTCCAACACACTTGGGAAAATAATGACCTTTTTTGTTTTAATTCCAAACAAAATGTAAATCAATAGAGATCACAGGTGCACTAATGAAGAGTTCTTCAAGTGGCATGCCTTCCTGTTGCCTTTCTGAGCCTCATAGACACACAGAAGGAGGAAGGAAGAAAGTGATTTACACTGGTTTGCAGAATTTGATATTCCTCCAAAGGTAATTGTGCGGCTCTTGATAATTCAGCAGTTTAGATTCACCACGACATTTCTTTTTCAAGGGCTATCTCAGTTCCTCAAATAGATCTTTATTTTACCACTCACACATTCAAGGATGAAAAATGTGCCTCACTGCATTAAATTAAATTACCTTTAAAACCTGCAGCTTTGCTTCAAGCTCCGTTCTTTTCAGAATCATTGTTCCATTAAGAGTCTCTATCCTGTTTTAAGGAAAAAAAAAAGAAGAGGAAGGTGGGGAGTGAGTAACATGAGTGATTCGTTTAAATAAGTACCATACTACAGAGTACTACACTTTGAGCACATACTATACTAAAAACGAAATACAAATGTTACAGTTCTCATGGCACTTCGAGTAGCTGGACCAAAGCCAAATCTTCTGATAACAGAGAAAGAAAATGGGGGAAAACTCCCCTTGAGAAGGTGGCTAAAAGAAAGGATCCTAGTTAATTTGTAAACTATAGCTTATTTTATAGAAGTCACTATGTGACAATGATGGCTGCTCTCTACTAGAATCTGTTCTTGTGGGGATGGGCTGAATGACCTCACTCATTTGGTAAATATTTATTGGGCATCTACTATGTACCAGATTCTAGAAACCATGCTGAACACAAGGGGCACAACAACAGAAATAATAGGCTCTAGGGGCTTTCACAACCATGGAATTAACATGCTACTTCTTGAAAGAGGGAGAAATCCTTTCCTCCATAGGATTCTAGGAGCCTTTACCTCTGTAAATCTCCTTATAATTTTGGTACTAGAAGAAACAGAAGTACAACTACTATGACATAATAACCTTCATATGATTCTTTATCTCAAAACATTCAGTTTACAAACTCTAATCCTAGAATTATCAACTTACCAGTGTTCTGTTCTTCCCACACCACACACATTTCTAAAAATAAAATACTTGTTCTATTCTGAGTGATTTGATTTGTTCTGTGTGTTCAAGTTAAAGGCTTTTATTTTGACTACTAAACCATCAATCTGAATATGATTTAAAAATTTCATTTGTGAATCACACACCAATTTTTAAAGTGTTGGTTCAAGTTCCTTCTTGTAATTAAGCTGTACCTCTCTATAAAGATGCAAGGAATTTTTCAAGGCATGGTAAAAGCATTAAATGTGGAGATCAGTCTTCTACTTCTAATAGCATCATGCCAGGAATAATCAGGTGGTAGCAAGCTATATACTGTCTGTTTTCTCCTTAAGGTGATCTTGACTCTCTGAGAAATAGTGGGAATCCATATGAATCTGTTTCATTGGGATTGAATGTCAGTTTGACCTGCTGAAGCAATAGATGTGTATGGGCAAAACTGCAACCATTGATTTGGCCATTTTCCTCAGTATTTGTACAGACTGTCTCCCATTTTCCCGGATTTCCAACAGTTACCTCCATCTACAACCCCTATTTACCTGTGGTCTACCCTCTTCACCCATGTGGAACATGCTTTCTGACTCTAACTACCAGCAGTTCCCCTCAGACTCTGCACGGTTCCTCTCCTTTGGATCCAGGGTTCTCTAGAGCAAAAGCACCTCATCCTTTACCCTGAACTCACAGGACCTATAGAGTTGGACCCAATTTGTTACCACCACCATCTTTCAAATCTGCTCTCACAAACACCCAAAGCATCCTTTGAAGTTTTACACCAGAATCACTGAAAAGCATCCAGCAGATTTTCTACTGGCAGCTTCCAAGGAGCAGCTGTAGCTGAAAAGGACAGATCCTGGCATCCAGAGCAGGTGGTCAAACCCCAGCCCTATCACTTACCAGTTATGTGACCTTAACTAAGCCCCCTCTAAGCTTCAGGCACTTCATCTATAAATAGGAATAAAATTAACCTCATGGGTGGCTGTGAAGAATAAATGACACAATATATGACCCACCTCAATCAGAATAAAACCCAAACTTGTTGGCATGTCCAAAGAGATCCATGGTCTGCCCCCAGGCCAACTCTCTGGCTTCATTTCTTATTATACCCTCTCTAATCCATCAAATACCAATTATACTGTCTTTTTCTCTTTCCCTTGTACATGCCAAGCCCATTGTGAGCACTCAGAGACCTCTCTCTTTGCCTGAAGTGCTCTTACGAGGAGTTCATTTGACCATCCTTCTCTTCATTTAGATCTCAACTCAAATATCGCCTCCCTAGAAAAGACCACTTTACACATCTAAGCCAAACTAGCAGCCTTCTTACCTAGCATGACAGGCCATTGCTGTTTTGCACTTTTCTCATAGTAGTTATCAATAACTGAAATATACACATTACTTAAATTTCAGGCTTTTCTGAGCCATTTCCTTCCATAACTATTAACGTACTAAGAGAGTCTTTATCTTCGTCTCTCCTGAGCCTATCACAGAGCTGGAAACATAGTATTTGCTCAATAAATATGATTTTAATGAATGAGCGAATTTCATCATTTAACTATCCTAATAAGATTTTATTAGGTGCTAGTATTGTTATGGTAGAAAAATCAGTCAAACCTCTAATTGGGAAAGCCAGTGTTCTATTAAGAAGTTTGGGGCCAGGGGCGGTGGCTCATGCCTGTAATCCCAGCACTTTGGGAGGCGGAGGCGGGTGGATCATGAGGTCAGGAGATTGAGACCATCCTGGCTAACACGATGAAACCCCGTCTCTACTAAAAATACAAAAAATTAGCCGGGCATGGTGGTGGGCGCCTGTAGTCCCAGCTACTAGGGAGGCTGAGGCAGGAGAATGGCGTGAACCTGGGAGGCAGAGCTTGCAGTGAGCCAAGATCGCGCCACTGCACTCCATCCAGGGCGACAGAGCGAGACTCCGTCTCAAAAAAAAAAAAAAAAAAAAGAAGTTTGGAACATTTGGAACATGTGGTGTGAGTATGTGTGTTTCAGGGTGGGGAGGGTTGAACAGACTATTCTTCCTTCCAAATGGAACACTAGAAGAGAAAAACAGGTGGCTTGTCACATAAGAGGAAAAACTCAGCCCTTCTGACCTTTGATTTGTTTTAGCTACAGGATTATATCAACCATGAAAATTGGATCAGTTCTTCCCAGTTTAAAGAGAATGTGTGCCAGTTTAATTGAATTTGACATTAAAAAAATACATTTGTAAAGGCCATCCTTCCCACACAGACGTTTGGGCTATTGATGTCCTCTGACTTCAGATGTTGACAGTATGTTCAAGTGTGAGGAATCTTGAGAAACAAAAGGAACTGATAATGTTTGTACCCCACTCTAAAGCTCCGGTGCACTGCCTCACTCCGTCTTGTAATGCTGAACAAAAGGCCTATTTATTCACTCATCAGGCTTTATGAGAAAACATAACATTTTGAAGCCCCACGGGAACTAGACAGATAGTTACGTTAGCAGGTTTCCGGACGATCTGATCAGGTCAACGACTTGTTTGTAGGTAAAACCTTCTGTGCTCACACCATTGATATTTGCAAGGACATCACCTGGGAGATGCCAAGAAAAATGAGTGTTATGTTGGTTAGTTAAATAATCCCTCCTGACATGCAAATGAAACAAGCAGCTCCAAGTCTTAAAAACATAAAGGAGCCAAGAAAACTCAAAGCAACAAATACATCCTGACCTTCACTCTCAAAACATTTTATTTTCTTTCCATTTAAATGATTCCTAACATGAGCAAAAATTTAAGTTACCAGCTTGCAGGCCAGCACAGTGAGCTGGGCTGTCCTCCTGTATTTTGCATATCAAAGTGAACATTTCCGAGGAGCAGGCATTCTGATTCTGGGGCCTGTAAGACTGTAAAAATTAAGATGATATATAGTTACTATTTAACAACCTCAACATCTATTTGCCAAAATTTAAAATGATGTCAATTATCATTAAGCAGTATAATAGGTAAGTTCAAAGGACAAAGGATTTCCACTATAAACTAAATCAAGGTATCAATTTTGCAATTCTACCAGACAATCTGTAGCCAACTCCATTCATAAAGACATCTGTCATGAGAAAGAAAGTGAAATGAGAGTGGCTCAAGATTTTATATTTTCAAGCCCAAGATATCACCTGATGCTATCACGATTTATTTTTAAAAATTGAGTTTCTCATTTCCCAATGGGATAAAACAACGATGGCCAAGTGCAATGAGAAAAATCCCTAAGTGGTTCTCCCAAGCTAAAACACTCATTATAGGAGTATGAAATTGTACACATGCAGCAAGGAGACATGCCAACAATGATTATTTTAAATCAGAGTTCTGCACATAATGACAATCTGCCCTGCATTTATTCAAAAGTACTATAATTGACTCAATTACCTTCATTTCTGAGCACCCTCTGGTATGCCTGTCCTGAATCCTCACCGGTTCATTAGTCACCCAACTAAATTAGAAAAAGTTAAGCTTCAACTCTTGCCTCAATTAGGCACAAGTAGTTTGGTGGTGGTGGGTTTTTTTATTTTTAATTATACCAAAACACTGAATAAATGTTTGCTAGATATAGTGTCCCAATGACCTATAACAAATATAATTTTCTTTTTTTCACACATTTAAATTATGAAGTCTAGTTCCACTTAGAAGCAAAATCAGTGTTCTGAGTAGAGTACGTCTTTTAAACATCTGATTCCTAAAATTAAGCTACATTAAAGTAGTACTTCCTTGTGAAAAAATTGATGTCTGATGTTCATTCTTTCTTATTCAATAATCCCTGAGGCATCACAAGTCAGCCACATGCAAGCAACTTCTAGAAACTTGGGTCTGTTCACCTCTAAAGGACTTCTATCTAATCTATAAGGCACTTAGAATCCCCATATCTTAAAGGTAGAAGGGACTTTAAAAGATCATGCACTATGTTCCCATCTATGTCAGAAACTTCATTGACAGCTTTCCTGCCAGGGGTCTTCTCAGTATAGCCTAGACCCTTCTGGAGATGAAAGACTGATCTAGTTCATGTGGTACATGAATAAAATATACAACTGACACTCCTTTGGGAAACCACTGTTCTAACAATTCTCATTAGCAGTGAGACTCTACCCTCCATTCCCAGAGATCAAAGTAAGTACAGTGCAGTAGAAACATGTTGATTTATGTAGCTGGCACCTCCATATATGTTCACATTGGGTGTAAAATATGGTAGTTAGAAATAGAAAAAAACAGAAACCCCAAAGCTACAGAAAGTATTAATTGGATGCTTTTTTCTCTTACCCAGTCTTCTAGCTCCCATTAAGGGATCAGTGACACAATGATCACCTGCATTTCTTAGAGACACAAAGATCTCATTGTCCTTTCTCATGCCCAGTGACATTCATTCTAACACCTGTCATTTGTGGATCTTCTATTGGTAAGGCACATCACTAGGTACATTGCATGTATTATTTCATTTAAAACTCCTAAGGACCCCATAAGGCATTAGGAGGATATGAATTCAGGTGTGCATGAGTCCAAAGTCTGCATTCCTATTGGGCTGCACGATTCTGATAAGCAGCATAAAACTAGCTCCCATGGAGAACCATGGATCTGGTCTCTTCCAAAGTGTCATTCCTCTAGTAGGCCACATCCCAAACATGTACTCACACTGCATGCACAATATGGGTACATGAGGTTCTATCTGATTTTCAAAAAGTTCCCAGAAGCATGTCTCCTATTTGTTAACTGCTGCAAATCTGATGAGTACTAGGGAATAGATTATGGTGTGTATTTGACAATGGAGAGCATATACCAGAGGGAATTTACAGGAGTGTGGGTTCCTGCATCACTGAGATAACACCTACATGCTGCCATTTAGAGGTGCCATTAGTTCATGTTGATCTACAAAAGTTCAGTGGTGTTGTGGCCTGACATAGTTTTGACTCTTGCTCCACGGAGAATAAGTGTTTATGGTATGGGAGAAAAACTTAAGAAAGTAGTGACATTATTATGGCAGTATAAGAAAAATAAAGAAAGGTGAGTAGTCGTTTATCCAGTTTTCAGTAGCCACTGCTGCACATCCTTGAGGATAATTTTCCTTTAAAAAGAAGCAGTGACAAAAAGCAGTGTCTCTACAACAGAATAGGGAGTAGTTCATATGACCGGGGAGTAAGAGGGAGCACTATGCTTCTAAAACCTATAGATTTCACCAGTTACTGTGGTGAATTACAGATTCCTCCAAATTTAAAAGTACAGGAGTTAGGAAAGTAGAAGTGATCCTCTTTTCAAAGTGCCTTCTCTGTCTTCATTGCAGCTAAAGTTCCATTTTGTTTCTTTACTCATAAAACATGTTTTTCTTAGCAGTTTCCTGTTCCTAATCTTAAAATAAACACTGACTTTCCAATTGTGGGGCTGATATCACACCAGAGTTTTCTGAAAGCAGCAGTAAAGCTAAGATCTAAAATCTGATATAGAGTGTAAGAATATGATTATGCAAAACACATCCAAAAGACATGCAAACGTACTATGGAAAAAAAAAACAGAAATGCTTAAGCTACTACTGTTGCACTTAATTGGGTTAGACTTCATTTGACCTACCTCACCCATTTTACAAATGTGCTCATGAAAAAGCAGACAGCTAATAAGCAATGAAATTCTTAGGCAATTATGCTGAAACTTATAAAGACTTAAAAATTTCCTACAGCATGAGGCAATCTGCAAGTAGAGCCAAATGTTCTCAAGTGTTTCAAATAACAATTATAAAGCATTGTCATTAGGAAAAAAAGCTACAAATTGCTCATTATGTACAATATGAACTCTAGTTGCAAAACATACCAGGAGCTATCCATGAATATATGCATTCTATATACACAGATGTATAGTCTTTCGAGTGTCTCTTGAATGCCAAAGTAAATACTTAAAATCTGATACACAGTATAACAATATGATTATACAAAACACATGCAAATATATCAAGTACACATCTGTAAAATGTATTTCACTCTCTTATCTAAGACCTAGCTGATACCAACCTAGCTGATCAGTCTGGGACTTAAGGGAAGACTGAAGCAACTAAGCACAAACTGCTGAGCATATCGCAGAGGTTTTGTTATCATCTTCAATGTTTTCTTTCCTTAATAGTACTCAACACACTGAAAAACTACCCCCAAACAGCCACACACTGAATAAAAGTCATAGGCTCCATCATTCTCTAATCCTAACTTCATTTTTTCTTTGCACATAACATGACACTACCGGTGCCACTTTCTTCCTTGGAAGTCTAGAAAATGTGAAAATTGCCCACCTGAATTTCAAATCCAAATGTTTCATTATCCTGCTTCTCCACAGTAACAAGCTTTCTGTAATAAAAATGTTTAAAAAAGAAACTGCATGAAAATTAAAGTATCACATTTGGCACAGATCTATCATTAAAAATAACTGTCACAATTAAAAATAACTGACATTTATGTAAATTGTAGTATGTAAGATTCTGTGTGTGTGTCTGTGTGTGTGCGTCTGTGTGTGTGCGTAGAGAGAGAGAGAGAGAGAGAGGAAGAGAGAGGAAAAAACAGTCTGGAGAGCTATGTTCCTAAATATTTTGGGAGAGACAAAAAATAATTCAATCTCTTTACCTTTGAGACCAGGAAAAGTCACTTAAAGAACTTGATCTGGTCAAAGCAAGCTGAAAAACACAAAAGACATATAGTTATCCCAGGGTCTTCAAGATACACTGTAAAATGTTCTAAATCTCTCTCTCTCTCTCTCTCTCTCTCTCTCTCTCTCTCACACACACACACACACACACACACACACACACACACACACACACACACAACCTGTTCTTTACCACCTTCTTTGGCCCAGCTCCTGGGAAATTGTTGCATAAAGGCAGCCATTTCCATTCTCTACATTCTCTAGTGATAGCAGAGGAGAGTAGGGAGACAGGATTCTAGGCATTCCAGTTAAAAGATTGAAAGAGGTTTAGATAGTAATACAATGTGGCAAAAGAGTTAAAATAATGTGGCAAAACTCCAAAGCTTCCAAAGAGAACTTCCTCTCTGGTCTGTATTTAAAACAGCCTCTGAAAGATTAACCATAGCAATTTGTAATCACACTGAAATCCAAAGAAAAATAGCATACTTAGAATGGCATATGAAACCCAAATACTTTATAGTTTTTGGAGATGATGATGAAATGACAGTGTTTACTATAATAATTCAATACGTTACTGTTTTTAGTAGGATAAAATAATCTCTAAACAACCAACTCACACACACAATTCAGGTAAAACCAGGAACTCAAAACCTCATTTCTGCTTATGATTTATTTTTGTAATAGTTTTGGAAGACTAACGTGAAATTTCCAGCCAAGAAAGGAAAGAAACCTCAGAATAGTATCAATGGTATAAATAATATCACCTTCATTCCTCTGCACTTTTGGAAAAGATCATATAAACATAAGCTTTCAGGACACATTCTACCACTGTAAACAGAAGCAGCATCAACAAAAGGTGACAACTTATTTTTTAGGAAAATTGCAGCAGGTTTTTGTGTTTTTTTGGTCGGTTTGTTTCTTTGTTCAGGAAATGTTTATTAGCCCTATTCTCAAATGTTGCTTCAAGGGCCCAAAACATAAGCTACTAGCTAACCCATGGTTTTTAATTGTCAACCTGAAATGGTTGTCATATATAAATGAACACATAAAATATCAAGAGATCAATGCATAGTCAGTCCAGACAAAGCAAAATAAAATAAGTAAAGGATGAAAACTAGAAGGGGGAAAATATGTAGGAGATATTAATGCTTATGTGACAAGTTACACAAATGAAATGCTTATTAAGACATTCATTAGGAGTGAAGCCTACATCACTGTAGGAATTTTGAATTACCAGGTACCAAATGCCAGCATTTTCACAAATTTCCTGGAATGGACCAGTGTTAAGAATTCAGCCACCAGTCCATAAACTTAACGTAATGGAGAGGTGGTCTCTTCTTACCAATTTGCTGTAAATTAATTATATTTTCCTCTTTTGTTAGTTCTGGGCTTCAACTCACTTATATCGCAATGGAGACTGAAATAAATTGCTCAGACCCAAAAAGATTCTCTAGTCTTGCTAAAAAGTATCTCTTTTCAATTTATAAGCACTAACTGTGGAATGCCTACAAGGATTGGTATGGTTTGTTGTAACCTGATTTTGTACCTCGTATGTACCGTTACCAAGGATAGGGACTATTCATCTATGTTAGTGGGCTTCCTTGCAGAAGAGAGCCACAAACTTGATATTTCCAAGCATTCTCAGTCTCTCCCTTATATTGTACTCATATTTTCTTAATCTATTTTTATTATCTTCAGCTGCTTGTTTTCCGCCCTTAAGCCAAATTACGTAATGATAACTAGGGCTTTTTTATTCTTTTTATAAAAGTTTCTTATACCTCTATAAATAAGGGCTTATATTTTTAAGGTATTACTCTTGCTATCAGTATTCATCATATTATTCATATATCCATATAGAGAGAGCTATATATATATGTATACATATATGTATATATTTATATGAAATGCATACTGGATCAAATACTTCACATCTGTACATAATCATCTGTGTGATTTGGACCTCTTGGGGAATGTTATTTGTTTTACTTTCTGCCCCAATGCCCAACACAGGGCCTGGAATAGAATGGAAACTTAAAAATGGAGAAATAGATAAAAATAAATAAACTACTAAACGAAAATGGAAGCAACTGAGATGGTTGAAGAGCCACATTAAATATTCACGTTCAGGAGAAATATGTAAAGATAGTCTTCAACATTGTCCTTTATTAAATTCAATATCATAGGAAAAACTCAAGGATAATCACTAAAATACATAAAGTAAAATTTAAAAATCTTAAATATGTAGCAAGATTTAAAAATGAAAGAAAACAGACAACTGTATATCCATATGCAGAAGAAAGAAACTAGACCATACCTCTCACTCTATACAGAAATCAACTGAAAATAAGTAAATGGATCAAAACCTTCATGTAAAACCTGAGACAATAAAACTACTGGAATAAAACATAGGGGAAAGGCTTTAGCATATTGGATTGGGAAAAAATTTTATGAATAAGACCTTCAAAAAACAGGCAACAAAAGCAAAAATAAACTAATGGGGTTATATTAAACTAAAAAGATTCTGCACAGCAAACAATTAACAGAGTGAAAAGACTACCTGTGGAATGGAAGGAAATATTTGCAAACTACTCATTTATATATCCAGAATATATAATGAACTAAAATACCTCAACAGAAAAAAAAAAATTTAAAAATGGGCAAATGATCTGAACAGACGTTCCTCAAAGGAAGCTATACAAGACTGGGCATGGTGGCTCACACCTGTAATCCCAGCACTTTGGGAGGCCAAGGAGGGTGGATCAACTGAGCTCAGGAGTTCAAGATCAGCCTGGCCAACATGGTAAAACCCCGTCTCTACAAAAATACAAAAATTAGCCAGGCATGATGGCAGGTGCCTGTAATCCCAGATACTAGGGAAGCTGAGTTGGAAGAATCGCTTCAACCCGGGCGGCGGAGGTTGCAGTGAGCTGAGATCATGCCATTGCACTCCAGCCTGGCGACAGAGTGAGACTCCATCTCAAAAAAAAAAAGAAAAAAAAAAAAGAAAGGAAGAAAAAGAAGACATACAAATGGCTAACAAATATATGAAAAAATGCTCAATATCACTCATCATTGGGGTAATGGAAATTAAAACCACAATGAGGTATCATCTCACACCAGTTAGGATAGCTATGATCAAAATGACAATAAATAATAAATGCTGGTGAGGATAAGGAGAAAAGGGAACTTTCATACACTGTTAGTGGGAATGTAAATTAGTACAGCCACTATGGAGAACAGTATGGAGGTCCCTCAAACAACTACAAATAGAACTACCATATGATCCCGCAATCCCACTACTGGGAATTCATCCAAAGGAAAGGAAATCATTATATCGAAGAGACATCTGCACTCCCATGTTTATTACAGCACTATTCACAATAGCCAAGAGATGGCATCAGCCTAGGTGTCCAACAACAGATGAATGGATAAAGAAAATGTGGTATATATACACCATGGAATACAATTCAGCCATAAAAAAGAATGAAATCCTGTCATTCACAGCAACATGGATTGAACTGGAAGACATTATGTTAAGTGAGATAAGCCAGGAATAGAAAGTTAAACACCACATGTTCTCACTCATATGTGGAAGCTAAAAAAAGTTGATCTCATAGAAGTAAAAAGTAGAACAGAGGATACTAGAGGCTGGGAAGGGTTGGGGGAAGAAATGGATAGGGACACACTTGTTAAAGGATAAAAAATTACAGCTAGATAGGAAGAATAAGTTCTAGTGCTCTATACTGTAGGCTAACTATAGTTAACAATAGTATATCATGTACTAGTTTCAAATAGTTAGAAGGAGGATATTCAACAGTCCCAAAATGAAGAAATGATCATTGTGTGAGGGAGGTGATGGATATGCTAATTACTCTGATCTGATCACTGTACATTCCACGTATCAAAACATCACTATGTATACCATGAGTATGTATGATTATATATCAACTGAATAAGTACAAATTTTAAAAACCAAAAAATTTTAAATGAAAGAAAACAGACAAGAACAAAAAAAAAAATTCAATCCGAAACAAGAAATGCAGAAAAAGTACTAACAGAAAACAAAGATAGTAGTGCCTTAGTACATAGCTGCTAAGTGGATGAATGGTGGCAAGAATTAATAAATTATTAGTAAAATTTTGAGCCTTGTCAATTTTAAATACCCTTTTAGTATGCCGGAAATCAGTGCATCTATTAGGAACTTCAAGATTTCATCCAATCGGTCTTTTGAATCAAAAGTCATTCTGGATAGATTCAAATGTAAAATCTTTTAAACCACAGGACAGACCTGAAGCCTCTATAGATATTTCCCCCACCACTCTACTTCTAACCTTTCTATCTAGCTAATTGACTAGTTAAAGATGAAAATATTTGTCTAGCACAACATGAGAAGCATAGCAGATTTTCAGTTCCTGTGGACTGACTAATTTGGGTTATCAGCAACACCAAAAGTCAGATTAAGTCAAATTACAAATTAGTTTCCATTCGGTATTAGCTAAGAGGCTGTTTCAAGCATCTAACACTTAAACAAAAAACAATTTAAATAAATTAAGTACCGTCAAATTCTCTGACACGTGCCACGTCTTGACACAAAGCCTGCTTGTTTTTGATCCGGGCTGTCAGACTCAGGCGATGTGGAAAGGAATGTTCCCAGGGTTCGAAACTAGCTCACACACCAAACTACCTGCCTAAAGTGAAATGAAGTGTGTCTAAGGTCTTATCAAGGGTTTTGCACTTTGAAAAAAAAAAAAAGTCTTTCCTGCCCCGCTTTCCCTAGGGCGAGCAGCCTTATTCAAGGATCTGACCAGTGGGGTCTATGTTCCCCAGACAGCCCTCCAGTCAGAGCCTTTTCTAAGGGTTGTAGTGATGGCGCCAAAAATCATGAATGAGGAACTGGTGTGCAATTCACAGCATATGCTGGCAACAGCTGTCTTTTATTACACATTATCTAATATGAGAAATCTAGGTTTAGCAATTTGGCAGGCTTGCAAACTACACATTCAATTATGACTGCTGAATAGACAAAGCTTCTTAACTCCTTGCTAGCCATAATACACTGATACCTAGGGTTGGGCTTATGATCACTCTTCTGTTTTTAGTCAGATAACTTAAAAGATCAGGCATTAATATTCAAAATTTAATTTCTTCTGCTCTGCAGTGATTCTACACATTCCTCTTCAGTGGGAAACCAAGACCAAATACTTCAGCTGTCAATTTCTGAAAGACAGGAGTACTTGGCAGCTCAGCCAGATAGCCAGCTCTCCTTAGAGAAGCTCAAAGTTCAACACTTTAGCCACTTCTGGGTTACAGAGGTTACTTCCTCCTGGTCCCCACTCTATATACTCATCTCCTGAAAGTGTTGGGGAGGGTGCGGGGGAGAGGTTACTGATTCCAGAGTGAGGTTTTTTGTCACTGTTACTTGTTTCAAAGGCCCCAAAATTATGTGCTCTGCTCCCTTTCCAGTCCCCTGCCTCACTCCCCAATTCTTCCATGCAACTCCCACCCACTTTTAAATAAGGAGCATTAGGATATCAACGCTCCACAGACTATTCAAAGATGCAACAAAATAATGGAGCTGAACTTAATTTCCTGACGTTAAGTGCCCGGAGAAACCGAAATACAATACCGCCATTTCCAAGTAAGGTCTGATGGTGGGCTCACAGACTCTTCAAGAAAAATTATTGGATATTGACCATGCATGCCACAATACAGATTAAAGAATAATTTTCAAAGTCTTTTCTAGTGAAATTAGCACAGTTTTCTACCTAAAATTGTCATGAGGTGATTAAAATCCTTTGGTGTAGTTCAGGACAATTGGGAGTTACGGCACCTGATGGGTGTGCTGCCGGACACACCGTGAAAGCTCCTGCAGGGCAGAGCCCAGCCCAGCAGTGTACACATCCCAGAGCAGAGCACACATTCCCTATCTGAACTTATAGATGAAATCAGCCTGCCAGAAGTTGCCTATTTAGCAATAATGTGATAACTAAAAGAAAATTAGGAAAAGAGAGTCAGTCTGTGGTACCACTGAAGTTTGTGGACTTGTTTGTCAGGTCCCTGGTTCTCACTATAGCATTCTGTAAAAACTGCTTTCCAAAAGCAACGTACTACATTTATGAGAGTGGGTGGTAAGACAATCACTACTTCTTTGACATCATTGATAGAGACTGTCCTTAATTCCTCCTGTCTCCTTCCTACCGAGCTTTCCATTGCAAAGATTTTTTTTTTTTGTCCTAAAACTGTGTTCACAAGTAGAAGCCATACTGGGGTGTCTGACACTTCCTATCAGTACAGGTAGTGAGATAATATGCACACAGAGAAATCTATCTTTAAATAATTCTGAATGTAAACACCCAATTGATTCTGAAGACTAATAATTTGAAACTACAAGCTAACCAGATATAGCTTTGCAGAAACCAAAGCCAACAACAACAAGAAGTATGAGCTGTTGACGTCAGCCCTGAAAGTGTTGAAAATAACAGTAGGCAGAGAAACACCTGCTCATGTGATTGCCTCACAAGGATCTTGTTGCCTGCAATTTAGTCAGTGCCAAATGGGTGATTATTCTCTAAAAACCAGTTAAAGGAAATGAACATCCATTTGGAAGATTGTGAAATGTTGGGATAAACTTGCATCAAGTCTCATTGATGATAATTGTACGGAATCAGAACTATCATGTACAAGAAGTTTTGTTTTGCTATTTTTTAAAGCAATTCTCACAACAGTAAGAAAAAGCTGTTTGAATATGGAAAGTCTACCACATGAAAGAATTTGAGAGAAGGGGAATGAGAAGACCTAGAAAAGATGAGAACATCTGCATAAATTAATTAGTATGGGGATGTGTGTGTGCCTGTGTGCATATGTGTACATGTATATATGCACATACACACACACACACACACACACACACACACACACACGTGTATTTCATATGCCAAAATCCCTCTCTTTATCCTCCTCTGATAATCAGCCTCTCCTACTGATTGCCTTCTTTCAGTTCACGCTATCTTCACTCTGGCTTAAAACCAGATGTGACTCCTCCGTCTTCAGTCCCTTTCATATTAAAGCCTTTCAGTCTCCTTTCTGTTCCCCCATTTCCTCTTTCTCCAACTACTGCAAAAGTTCCTCCCTCACCACTAGTCTCTACTCACTAATCCACTACATTTCTACAATAAGGTTCCTGAAATCCTCTACTTCTCAAACACGTTCAGTGGCCCTCGTGCCGGCTTTTTCAGGGGAAGTTGTCCAAGTGTTCTGTAAAGCAGCCCAGCGCTGAGATCTCCTCTCACCTCCTACACACTAACCAGGTTCTCCTGACACACTTAATATTGTGTTGTTACACAAAAAAGTCCTCCAGGCACCAGGATCTATGCCTCAGCTTCAATTTCTCCCTTGCTCTGGAATACCCTTCAATATCTGGAATACCCTTCAATATCTCGAATATCTATTTCCAAGGCTATATTTACAGATGTTTCACTTCGATGAGAGTATTCATGTTGTTTTACTTTGCAGAAAACCCATTCTTTCTGCTTACTGAATTGTAAACAGTATATGGGTAGGAAACATTCCCTTCTCGTCTTTTTACCTCCTACACTTAGCATGATGTCTGTCTCCTTGTAGGTGCTCAGAAACCATCTGTTGCATTGAATTGCATGGGCTAGAGAGTAGATCAAATGAGTAAGGTTGCAGGTATGGAGGACATAGAGGGTGGAAAGTTCCCACCCTGATTGAAAAAGTACCCACAGTCTCCAGCAAAAAAAAAAAAAAAAATCATAGCCTAATCAAGTGAACCATAGTTGGTGTGATAGTGTCATGGCAAATATAAAGAAAATCTGACTGCTTTATATCTGAAAACTGAAAAAAGATGTCAGCATTTCTCATGTTGCTTTATCTTCAGACAGGTTGTAGATTGATAAAATGTTCATCATTACATTAAACTTTGTATCATAAAAGCACTTTAGATTGAGAACAATCAATAATCCAAATCATGGAAAATTGTGCCCTTATCTTCACTCCGAAAAATACCAAGGAATCAGCTATTATACATCACTGAAAAAAGATCATGTCTCTCCCACTATGCCATACCTCTCTAATCCTGAATTTAGAAGGCTTACGAGAAGCACATGATTGTACATGCAAGACTTAAGCGCAAAAATTCTTGCTCTAGGGCAATTCTAAATATTTTCTGTAGAAATGCTACATCGAAATTCAAATATGTACCTGGGGATTTAGAGCAAGTTGTTTAAAAAAAATCCTGAAGAGGTATTATGGTTAAAAAAAAATTTTTACATGTTAGAAATTGAAGAACGAAAAAATCAAAATAAATTCAGTTAGACATAGATTTTTCCAAATGAGTTTTCATCCCTAGAGACAAACTTTGCAATAAAAATATTAAAATGGCATAATCTAGCATTTAATAAACACACACTGAATGCCAGTCACTGTGTTAGGCACTGCACAGTTCCTTATTTAACCAACATAAGAACCCAATAAGGGTGGTTCTATTATTAACTCCATTTTAGAAAAAACAAAACTGAAGCTTAGAGAGGCAAGTGGCTTGCTCAAGATCCCACAGACACTAAGTGGTGAGCTGATATTCAATCTGGCACTCATCTATCCAAAAAAAAAAAATCTTACTTTCCAATAGCCTGAGGTATGTGCCAGCAACCCAGAGCTGAAGATAATTAGTCAACAAAATTTGTCCTCAGAAAAAGTATTTCTTATTTGATTATGAACTGAAATGACCATCAAGGACTGCAAGTAAGGATGGAAGGGAAAGAATCAGTGGAGACACAATGGGGAAAAGAGAATTAATTCTCATACTGGTTGTATCTATATAAACCATCTTCAAGTTTTTTATGCTTAATGATGTTTATTTTACCTGAGCACTTCTTCAAATAAGAAAAACAATCTTAATTTTTGCCTTGAAAAAAAAGTTTGATTGTGGTCTCAAATCTTTGGACTGGTTCACCTAGCTCCCTGAGCATCTCACCTCCTTCACCCATAATAATCAGCCAGTAATTCCAAAGCCTCTAAAATATCACCATTAGTATGAAGTCAGACAAACATATCACTCTGCCCTCAAGAGAATGTGAACACTCTAAAGGGTACAAAATAGCAATCATACCTGCTTTCGTCCCCGAGGCAGAGTAGCCACCGTGTCTGCTAGCATTTGAATCCTTCTATTATCGTCCATCGTAAGGCTGCCGGTGAGTGTGGAGTAAGAGCTATACGCTGGCCCAGCGCAGAAGTCCGCCAAATTGCCATTGCTGCTGTGTTGCAGGAGCCTTTGTAAAGACATTGTGAATAAAGATCACTCCAGCTAGCACATGGTTGAGTGGCCTTGCAGGATGGGGGAAGCTAAAAGTACAACTGTGACAAGTAATCAAAAGTAGCAAAGCAGAAAGAGCCCATGTGACCTCTGTGGTTTGAGGAACTTGTTACACAAACCCTATCTTGCTATTCACTCCCATTTCTCAAAGCTTTTTTTCTTTAAGCTCCTGAGAGAACCTGGAGCTAATTTTTACAATTTAAAGAAAAATCAACTTATTTTTTCACCTCAAACAGCCAGAATTCTTACGCTTTTATGTTCTGTGGCAAGTTGCATTCACACCACCATTTGCCATTTTTTTCTTTAGAGAAGAAAGAAAAATGTCCCCAAGTGCTACCATTTGTTTCCCATCCATTCTCTTACTTAACATTAGCAATGCAATGCAGAAGTCAGCACACGAGGACATTCAGTTCTTGTGAATATGGGCAAGAATTACAGGTGCCGGTCATAATGTTCTCTCTCGAAGTCCTTGTAATACTGTACTTTCCCTGAAGTATACCCTAGATCATTAATGTTCATCAAAAAGACATTATATCTGCCACTGAGGTTGTAACCATTCAGCATTCTTCTGGTTGTCCTTTTACTACTTTGTCCTTACAAAAATTACCCATGATCTTTACAAAGTACAATGGGAAGGGAAAGCCAGCACATTTAGGGCACAATGTTGCCATTTCTTAGACGAGACTTTGCGGCAGCATCAGCAAGTGGTCCCAGGGGAGGAAAGGAGTGGGCAGGAAGGTAACAGGCAAACCAAGGTGGCACCAAGAACATTGCCTGTTGGTCCCTGCATGTGCATATGGGTCAAGGGCACCATCACCAAGTACTCAAGATCACAGATGCTTTTTTTTTTTTTCCTTTGGCTGAGGTTGGGGGCAGGTAGTTTTGAGAGAACTGGTTTCAGTGGAGGAGTAGGGGAGGCAAGTAAAAGGAAGAATCGAAACAAAAGTCAAAAAGAGAAGTTTTATATGGCACAAAAAGTCAAATGTGCTTTTTAAAATCTCTGAAGATCAATACTAGCATTTGAAAGAGTTAGCAAATCTTTGAACTAAAATGAAATGTGTGTGTACTGGAAGTGAAGATGAATTCAACTCAAGTAGAAATTGCCAAATATAAATAGTAAAATCTGAATTAATAGTGCTTCAAAAGTTGAAGCCAATTATAGATTTTAAAAACTCTATCACAGCATGACTCATTATACTGGAATTGAATTTTGACATGGACAAAGTGATATCACCACAAACATATAACGGTCTAAATCAGGAATTAAAAACACATACGTTTTCAGAAGCCAGGTAAGTAACATAAATGTGTAAGGCAAAAGGGAGTGGTAAATACCTTGGCAACTAAAGAATACATCAATTATAAAGATATTCACGTAAAATCTATATTTATAGATATGTACAGATATGTATACAGGTATATGTGGGGTGTGTGTGTGTGTGTGTGTGTGTGTGTGTGTGTATTAGGAAGACAGAGAGAGAGATTGATTTTAAAAACATTTTCAGGCTAAGAGGCACATAAATTAAATCATCACTATTAATGGATGACAGCAGTCCACTGTACCCTAGGAATCTGATAAAGTTAGGTAAATATTTTTAATTTTTATTCTTAATATTTTAAAATGCCAAATGGAAATTATACATTTGCTTAATATAAGGCCACCCACTCAGGCCAACTGACTCACCCATTTTTATAAATGACTACTAAAATTGTACCAATTCATTGTAATACTGACCTTAAGCTGATGTAAATCATAGATCATCATTCAATTAAGAAACTGGAAAATACTTATTACTTAACTCATGAAATGTGTTAAGTAAAATTTTTCAAATAATGGGATACCTGGATACAAAACAAGGGTCAAAAGTACCTCTGACATCCAGCCAGCCCATATCAATGTGGTCACACCTGTTAATTACAAATTTTTGACCTAGTCTATTTTTATTGGTCATTTCCCTGTTCTGTCAGTGCCTGTGTCATGCCAGTCACTAATATCATGATCAAAAGTGTCCCTTGTGATAAAGGGTGGAGAAACAGTAATCTTTTAAGGGGAATGTGACTTCCAAACAACAAATCCTTGACTTACAAAGGTGTTCTACTGTTTAGAACATCTCTTTTCTTTTAGGATTTACCTTAGGAAAATTATAATAGACCAGACTCTCTTCCCCTTCAGCCTCCCATTTATTTTAGAGAGGTGATTCTGGAAATGAATTGGATCAAGCTACCTAGGTACTCAAAAGATTTCAGGAGTATCTCACTGTTCACAAAAAAATAAAATAAAATAAAAATTATTTTATATTATCTGATTTCATTCTCTGAAATGTCATATCATTTTTTTAGATTCTTCTTTTGAGACTTAATATATTCTAGTTAGGGCAATAGTTAATTGTATACAAATCTGTTTCTCTGCTAATGTCCAATTTCCTTGAAAGCAAGGAACATCTTTTATCTTTAAATGTATACTTTATGTCCTACATACAAAAATTGTTCAATAAATGTTAATAAAAAGAGAAAGGTAGATATTAAACAAAATGATTAAACAATAGTGTTCTGTGGTATTAATAAGGAAAAAAATTAATTTGGTAGGAAATGTATGTACTACAAGCCCATATTCCAAAGTGCTACAATTTTCACTAAGGGGTGATCTGAGAGATGAGGACAGAGTCTCTTAAAAATACGTCTCATCTGCCTTTATGCTCTAAAAGCTAATATTTGTTATGTGGGGCAAAGCTCTTATTTGGAACATTTTGTTCATAAATATGCAAATACCCTTGGAAGGAATTAATCTTTAGTACAAATGAGATGAACACTGAGGGCCTACAACATGGAGATTTGGTAGAGTCAGGTGAGAGGAATATACCTAAAGCACGGAACAGAGAAAGAAAGGTGGAAAGGTTTGCAAGACAAACTGAGCCAACCTTACAATCATCCATGAAAATCTTAGGCAGCTGTAAGAGGGTTGACAACAGGGTTCCAGTGTCACACTACTTAGATTCAAGTCCTAGCTCTGCTGCTTTAAAGACTATGGACTGAGTTGTATCCCCCCAAAATTCATACATTAAAGCCCTGAGCTTCAATGTGTCTGTATTTAGAGATAGGGCCTATAAGGAGGTTAATGAATCATTTAAGGTTAAACGAAGTCATAAGGGTAAGGCTCAGATCTGATAAGATTAGTGCCCTCATAGGAAGAGGTGGCAGAGGACTCTCTCTCCACCATATGAGGACACAGCAAGAAGGCAGCCTCCTGCAAGCCAGGAAGAGATCCCTCACCAGGAACTGAATCTGCCAGCACCTCAATCTTGGACTTCCCAGCATCTAAAACTGTGAGAAAATAAATTTCTATTGTTTAAAGCCACCCAGTCTATGGTATTTGTTATGCTATGGTATTGGTTATGGTGGCTTGAACTGACTAATACACTCTCTAAACTTTAGTGTTCACATATCTAAAACAAAAATTTGCAGGAAAAAATAGACAGAATAGCCCATGAATAGCACATGGTATAAAGTAAGCTATATCTACTGAATTTTGCTTTAAGTAACAAGCCTTCAAAAGGAAAAGCTAAAAAAGGATATAACATGAATTCTATATGAATAGCCCTATTCATTACTAAGTGCCTCTATGTGCAGCAAGGATGCCCTTGTCACCCTGAAGAAGTCTAAAGGCTACACAATACATGTGAATTCCTTACCATCGAATATCAAGATGTGTTTGAAAACCATCATCAGAGCCAATGTGTGAAATTTCTGGATTATTGTAAGACACAGAAGAAGAGTAACTGGTTGCTTAAAAAATGAGACTTCCTCTATGCCTTTCTGATCTTAAGATAGCTGTTGAGTTTTTTGTTTGTTTTATTTTTGCTATTTGCCTTTATTTGCACAAGAAGATTTTATCTGGCTTCCTGGAACATCACAGGATTTTGTTTTGTTGTGGTTTGGTTTGCTAATTTGTTTTATTTTGGCCTTTTGCCTTCATTTGGAAGGGAAGTTTTTATTTGGGTCTCTGGAATGATGTAGGAGATGTGTTAAAGTCATATAGACAATATTTGAATATTGTGCCTTTGAATTTATATAAGGTAAATTTGATTTAGTAAAGTTACTCTCATATATGAGGATCCACTAACTGTGAAAACTGCTCTGTCCTATGTATCACCTTATTTGAGTGATGGAGCTGGGTAGACAGATGTCCTCATCCAACTCAGTGTGGATCACTGGAATTATGAACACTACTCCCCAGAGAGTAATAGCCTTCTTCAGAAAAGGATAAACTAAAAATTTGTAACTAGGACAAGCCCTGAAAAATAGGCAGCTCAGGAAAGGAAAATAACAGAAACAAAGGTCATAAAGACCCTATATTAGAAATCCTAGTGTGATATAAGCCAAATATTGGCTTAGAGTTGTGACATGCATATTTAAAACAACACAAAGAAAAACTTTAAACCTAATATAAATAATAGCTAGCAATACATCAAATCTACTATGTTTTTAATACAAGTGCAAGGAAACAATTTTCTGATTTATTCAAGTTTAATTCAATCAAATCATGAAGCTATGGGTAGATTGCAATATCATTCAAGGGATTAAGCCACTAAATTCAATTGGGGCTTTAAATAGATTATCTAGATCAGTGTTTCATGAAATAACTCAGTAAGATAATTTCAACACTCTTTTAGATATAAAAGTAGACACATTCATTTGGTGCACTTATCACCTAGAAACATCATTAACTGCACTTTTAAATATTCCTTTTGCAACTTTATCTATTTCAGGTTTAGGGGGAGTACTTTGAGCATGTTGGGCATATGGCAGAGATGGCTTCATGTTGAAGGGTCCATGCTGAAGGTACACAGTAGTATTGGGGCCACCTGGAAGCAGTCAGGATGTGCATAGGTTTTAAAAGGCAGCTTCTCCTGTGGACTTATCCATATATCTATACAAAATGCTCTGTGAATGCGGGTTGTTTGAGTCTTAAGAGGTAGTCTATGCAATGATTTTAAAACTGTACTCATGAAAATGTAAGGAGATCCTTTGAATGTCCTGGGAAATAAGGGAAGAAGAAGAAAAAGAGAAAGGTATGAGAGGGGGGATTCTGAGACTTTCAGCCCTGACATCAACCATTGTAGTTGTAATTGCTTTGCTTTATATTGTGTTCCCATTCATACCACATAATTTAATCGGGTTAAAAATAAAACTGAATGAAAATACAGGCTTATAGAAAACAGAAAAGACTCTTCACATAGAGTGTGAAGAACAGTAGACTATTGAATCACTCTGTAAAAAAAAAAAAAAGCGTCAGCCCTCTAATGAGTTCCCCAATTTCTACAGACTATCACCTTTTTGGAGAGATAAAGCCCTAACAGCAAAAATCCCTTTAAAAAGAAACACAAAGTAACCAGGATAACCAATAGTTAAAGGAACCCTAATTCTGGATTTGTTTAAAATTCATTCAAAACAAACTTTTGTTCATTAACCTATTAAGACAAAGGTAGAGAGGGTTTAACTCAACCGGAATGAACAACATTTTTGTACTAAGGGAATTGTTCTATAATATGAAGATGTCTTTCCAAGAAAGATTAAAGCTTTAAGAGAAATATATAATTGGTTGACCACTTATTACCCGGAGTATTTTCCTTCTTTGAGGACTATTGTATTTTTTAAAAAGTAGCTATTTTTATTTTAAAGTTACTTGATTAATAAAATATTTAAGAATATGTCCAATCAAATATAAACGTCAAGATCAAGATATAGAGGCATATAGACCACCTGTCTATATAGAGAGATGGATAGATAATTTTCATTTAGTTTTATTTTTAACCTGATGCATATATATCTTTATCTTGCTGCCATAACAACCATGAAATAAATGAATTGTATTCACCACACCCAATAGAAATTGGCTTCAGTGAAGAGGGCTGTTTCTATTTGAATATAGGAATAATTTGTTTTATTTTATTTTATTTATTTATTTATTTATTTGAGACGGAGTCTTGCTCTGTCGCCGAGGCTGGAGGGCAATGGTGCGATCTCGGCTCACTGCAAGCTCCGCCTCCCAGGTTCACGCCATTCTCCTGCCTCAGCCTCCCGAGTAGCTGGGATTACAGGCGCCCGCCACCACGCCCAGCTAATTTTTTTGTATTTTTAGTAGAGACGGGATTTCACCTTGTTAGCCAGGATGGTCTCGATCTCCTGACCTTGTAATCCACCCGCCTCGGCCTCCCAAAGTGCTGGGATTACAGGTGTGAGCCACTGCGCCTGGCAGGAATAATTTACTGAAATGAGTTCATTCAAATCTATTTGAGGCAAAGAGTATGACCTTAGGCAATAAAATAAAATCACTAAATTTCTGCATTAAAAAGAAATTAAATTCAATGTAATAGATGTCGCAGCTATTAAGATTGATTTTTGCTTTTAAAAATTCCAAGTAAGCTGGGGATAGAAGGAAAAATACCTTACCATAATGAAGAGTATCTACCAGAAATACCCACCCAACATTAACCTTAATATTGAAATGTAAATGTTTTCATTATTGTAAAAAGGCAGACCACGATGACCATAACCATCATCACTCTTCACAATTTTACAGTATATCACAAACAAAAGATATTGAATTTATAAAGAAACACAATGAAACTGTCAAGTTTGTTGATTATACGGCTTCATAACTAGATTATCCAGGACAATTCATGAAGAACAAAAACCTGGTGAGAATTTTTCTGAAGTATAGCATTCAAAAGACAACATACAAATATAAAGAAACAAGCTTCTTATACAATAACAGTTATGTTATATATTTGTTAATATATTATACTATAATATTATCTTATTACAAAAGAACTTATAAGAATGGGAGAAAGACACATCAAAATAGCCAAAAAGTCATAAAACAGAAATGAATTTAGCAAGCATTCTTAAGATGTTATGAAGAAAATTCTAGAGTCCGGACTAAGGAAAGGTATGCCATGTTCTCATATGAGAAGAGCCCATCTTGTAAAGACGTTTATTATCCCCAAATGTTCTAAAATAGTTCACTGCAAGTCAAAATCTCTGTAGGTTTTGTGTGTTTGCTTGCTTGTTTGTTTATAAAGTTTGACACACGTTCTCACACTCATCTGAAAGAGAAAGTGCACAAGACTAGCCAAGAAAAATCTGAAAATAAAAGAGGTAAGAGATGGAGGTAAGGATGGGCATTGGGAAATCTGTCTTTAATATTATATGGGTTAGAACTGTATTGTCAAACAGGAAAGGTCAATAAAAAGAATGTCTATAAATACAATATTATCAAAGAATAGAGACTCCCCAAACATACACATGCATATGTAGAAATTTATATTTCCAAGAAGTTATTTCAATGTATTAGGAAAAGAATATATCTTCCAATAAATAAGACTGGAACCCATTTGAAAAAAATTAAATCTTAGCTTTTTATGATAATATAATAGTAATTTCCAGGCAGCTTAAGGAGTTAGAAAAGTAAAAATAATTTAAAATCTATAAAAGAATAGCAGAAAATATAGAATATTTAATATAATTAGGTTGGGAATGCTTTTCCTAACAATACATAAGAGCCCAGAAAGCATTAGCAATGTAAAGATGAAAAACTTCTGTTCAATGAAAGCTATAATGTTCACAGGTGAAAGCTAAGTGAAAGATAGCAAGAAATTATTTGTGACAGAAAATTGCTCAATGGTTGTAATAGAGTTCTTAAAATTATACTTCTCAACAAAGTATTTTTAAATAGCAAAGGCTAGGAACAGATAATTTACAGGTGAAATACAAATTGTCGATAGATTTATTAAAGGAACTCACCCTAATTAGTAATCAGGAAAGCAAAAACTGAAATAGATACTACTTTTTGCTCACCAAATAAACAAAAATAATAAAGGTTAGTGAAATCCAGTATTGGCAAAATTGCAAGTAAGTGAGCACTTAAACACTTTTGGTAGGAATACAAATCAATAAAGACATAATAACAGTGGGGTAATTTGACAGTATCCAAATTTTAAATGTGCAACATGTAATGTGTTACACTTTTGACAGTTAATGGTAGTGAATCTTCTTTTAAGAATTGACCCTTAGGGCAGGGTGCAGGGCCTCACGCCTGTAATCCCAGCACTTTGGGAGGCCGAGTTGGGTGGATCACCTGAGGTCACAAGTTCGAGACCAGCTTTGCCAACATGGTGAAACCCCATTTCCACTAAAAATACAAAAATGAGCCAGGCGTGGTGGCAGGTGCCTGTAATCCCAGCTACTCGGGAGGCTGAGGCAGGAGAATGGTTTGGACCAGGAGGCAGAGGTTGCAGTGAGCCATGGTGGAGCCACTGCACTCCAGCCTGGGTGATGGAGCAAGACCCTGTCTCAAGAAAAAAAAAAAAAAAAGAGAGAGAATTGACCCTATGGAAATACTTCCATATGTGCAAAAAACAATTCAAGAATGACTCTTGTGGCATTGTTTGTGATTGCAAAAAACCGGAGTTTTAAATTTACATTAATAGGGAACTGGTTAAATAATTTATGGTAATTTAATTCAATGGAATACTGTGCACCTATTGAAAAGTATACAATAAACATTCATATGCTGATAAAGAGTTTTAAGACAAAGTGGAGAAAACGGTAGAATAATAGGTATGGTGTGATCTCATTTATACTTTTTTCTTAAAGTTCACATACATATATGTACACTAACATGTACAGACATTAAAAAAAAGACTAGTAAGATATATACCAGCCTGTTAATAGAATAGTGGTTACTTCTTGAACCATTGTGGGAGAAGATGGGTAGGAAAGTTCAAAGTGTATGCCATATATGGCTTGAATCTTTTATAGTAAGTACGCATTCATATATTATTTGGTCAACTTTAAAAATATCAACAATTCACAAAGAATTTTAAAAAGCAAATCACATTTAGTTCATAATGTCTTATGGTTTTAAAGGTCCTCATACCTCTGTTTATGCTTACCAATGAGAATTATTGGTTTACCCACTGGCTGTTTGGTGTTGGTTTACAGGCTAAGATTTTATTTTGCTTAATGTGATTTTGTTTTCATTCTTTTAGGCAATTCTTTCATATTTCTTTGTCTTTTTTTTTTCCTCCTCAAAAAGATCTACTGAAGTCTCCACAAAATAATGTAGTAGCAGAGAGTAGCCATTAATTTTTGTGATGGTAAAGGGCATTGGTGTGTTCTTTTGAAATCCACTGTTTCTAAAGTGGCAGTTTTCTAGTGTCTAATTCACTTATTACCCCCACCCTTCCCTACCACACACACAGTTCCATTTCGAAATCCAAATCTTCTGTCAAAATTCAAGGTAAACAAGTGACAGAGTTCCTTCCTCTTCCCTTACTTAGCATCCTGCGTCACACTCAGGGCTTGGCTTTTACTTAATCTTAACTCCTGCCCAATGGGCGTGGACAGGCAGCCCCACAGAATCGGCAAGGGCTTCAGGGCTGTAGAAAGTAACTTCTTAGAAAGCAAGAAACCTGTTTGGGGACTGGAATTTTGTGTAATACTTGGAACAACAAAACACCAGCATGAAATCTAGGTGATTTTCCCCAGGGCTTCAAATAAAATCCAGACTCCTTACCCTATCCTTCAAGGTCCTGCATGTTCTAGCAGATCCTACAACTTCATATCACCCTGGTCACGCTGGCCTTCCTTCTGTTCCTCCAGCAGGAAGCAGTTCCTCCTGAGGGCTTTTGCACTCACTGCTTCTTCTGCC
Organism: Homo sapiens; assembly: GCF_000001405.40. Classification (NCBI taxonomy): domain Eukaryota; kingdom Metazoa; phylum Chordata; class Mammalia; order Primates; family Hominidae; genus Homo; species Homo sapiens. Next base: position 157,453,763 of record NC_000002.12, read on the forward strand.
CAAAACACTGTTCCCCTTGGCCTGTTTCATTTGTCTTCTCTCTCTCTCTCTCCAAATCCCAGTTCAAATATTACCGACTAGGGAGGTCCCAACTCAACCCATTGAATAAAGGTGATAAGTCACATCCAGATGTGGATGGACGAGCTCTAGGGAGAACTTTCACCTTAGTGTTCCCCAAATAGACACTCCTCCACTCTGCTTACCTTCTGGAGCTGCCTGGATTCGCTCTGCCCCCTATAGGGGACTTGTCTTTGAGAATGGTAAGTGGATCGGCAGAGAAAGGCCAATAGGAAGCAACAGTTGGAATGATCCTCACCTTCTCCACTTTTGTTTTCAGAGTCTAGAAAGTTATGTGTGTGTGTGTGTGTGTGTGTGTGTGTGTGTGTGTGTGTGTGTGTAGCAGAAGGAACTACAGAAGATCAGTAAGGTAACTTCTTAGAAAACCAGAATCCTCTATTTTATTTCTTTTCCTGACTGTTTACAATTTGTAAAAAAAGATATGAAACCTCAATTGTTTTGAGATTCAAATGTAACACAGGGAATAGTATACCAGTCATTTTTGGGTGCCCATAACCTAGCACAGAGCCTGACTTATAATAGGCAGCCATAAACATTTCTCAAATTTTATTTAATTGACATAAGTCAAATATATACAGTTCAGGGTAGTAAGCACAGGAGAGAAACCAATAACAATATAGCCCTCTAATAAATCCATACTATTTGTTAGACTCCTCAGTAAAGAATAGAATCGAGTATATATTGGTTTGCTATATATATCAAATACATATATATATTTCTCTTTCTTTCTCTCTCTCTCTCTCTCCATCTGTATATCTCCAGTCATCCCTTGATATCTGTGGGGGATTGGTTCCAAGATCCCTGCAGATACCAAAATCCACACATGCTCAAGTCCCTTATATAAAATAATGTAGTACTTGTATATAATCTATGCGTATCCTCCCATATACTTCAGATCCTCTCTAGATTACTCATAATACCTAATACAATGTAAATGCTATGCAAATAGTTGTATTGTTTAGGAAGTAATAACAAGAAAATAAAGTCTGTACATGTTCAATACAGCTACAACCATCCATTTTTATTTTCTAATATTTTCAATCCATTGTTGATTGAATTCACAGATGTGGAACCCATGGATACAGAGGACTGACTGCATATATATATATATATATATATATATATATATATCTCATATATTTATTTATTTCTGTATATGTATGTGTATATATGTATATGTATATACATATGTGTATATGTAAGTGTGTATATGTATTATTGAAGTCCTAAGAAGACACTAGCTGAATTTACAGACTGGAAGGGATCTTAGAGTCATCTCATCTACTCCCTTAGTTTGCAGGTAAACAAATGAAGGCTCAGAAAAGATGGCAGTCTTGCTCAAAGGAATAGAGTAATTTAATGGCAGAACTATGACTAGACTGCTTGGCCTCCTTGAATTCAATTCTGCAAGCACTTACTGAGTATATATTTATAATAACAGGCAATATGCAAAATGTTTCCAATTTCATACAAACCGTAAGAAGAGTATGATATTTATCATTCTTTTCAGATGAGGATTCTGAAGCCAACATACTTGCCTAAGGTTAACAGCTAAGACCCAGAACAGCCAGAATTAGAAACCATATCATCATTTTCCAAACATGAGAAGGTTAGCCACTCTGCAATACTGTCTCCTGTTAATTGTGCTAACCCTGTGAGAATGTAAAAATGAGCCAGATCCATGCCCTCATGGGGAAAAAAATCAAGTAGGAAAGATAGAGACTGACAAAAAAGGTTTTGTGTGATTACAATTAAAACAATAATTCTAACAATACTATGGATTTACCAAAGAGGATCAAAGTATTTCTTCTATTAGAGCTCAGCTCATACGCCTAAGAAGTTTACAATCTTGAGAAAGTGATGACAAGTATATAGCTAACCTTAATAAAAGGAAGATTGTCAATTATTGGTTCTATCTTTTATGGACTGAATTGTGTCCCCCTAAAAAGATACGTTGACATCCTTACCTTTGGTACCTGTAAGAGTAACCTCATTTAGAAATGGGGTCTTTTTAAGGTGAAGTCATTACGGTGGGCCCTAATCCAATATGACTGGTGTCCTATAAGAAGATTAAAATGCCATGTGAAGATGGACACACAGGAAGAACCCCATGTGATGATAGAGGCAGATTTGGGATTGTAAACTTTGTAGCTGCTAGTCAAAAAGCACCAAGAATTGACAGCCACCACAAGAAGCAGAGAAGAGGGAATCAAGGCTTCTGTGCAGAGTCTCAGAGGGAGCATGCCCTGGTGACACCTCCATTTCTAACTTCTAACCTTTGGAACTGTAAGAAAATAAATTTTGGGGTTTCACCGTGTTAGCCAGACACTGAGTTTCCAGAGGTAGCCAGCTAGGACTGCTCCCTACTCATCAACGGAAATGTACAGAAGCTACGGGACAAACACCTGACCTCCTGCTTCTGCTAATGTCAGCCAGAGAATGGTCCACTTCTCTTGCTTGGTAAGAATACTATCTTCTGCTTAGGAGAACTGACTTGCAGTGTCAAGCAAACCTATCAGTTCTCATACACATGCTCATTTACACCTCTGATTGTAAAAAGGGGGATTGTTGAGACAAAACCAGTAAAAAGAAGAAAGCGCCAAGGACTAAGCAGAAGACAGTAGCAATTATCCAGGCTCCAGATACCTTGTTTCTTTCCCTGGCTCCACCACCTGTCAGCCATAGAGCTTTGAGAAAATCAGTGCCAGTTTGGGGTACATTTCCCCTTATAACCAATACAGGAAGAAATGCCACATCATTATGAGAATCAAAATAAATGACATAGGCAATAGAAAAGGTCTTTGAGAATGCAAAGTCTTATGAAAATTTAGGAGTTTAAATGTCCCCTGAAAGATGCTAGAATTTGACACACAATTTACACTTCCCTGGTACTATATTGCTGAAGACCATTATGGTTCAATTCTACACTTTCCTGGTACCATATTACTAAAGACAATTATGGTTCAATTCTACTATACACACCATGATGATAGTGACATAGTGTTCCAAATCTAGATAATGCTGTCACTTTGGCTATAGAATAAACTTCAAACTCTTTAACATAAGTTTGCAACACCTCCCCTGACCTGTATTCAGCATTCTTTCATAGCTGAACATCACTGTGTGCGTGCTCTTACATGTGTCCTGCTTACGAAAGAAGTAAAGCCTACTGGTGATGCTTGGGCTCTTAGCCCCTTGCACAAGTTATTTAACTGTGCTTCTGTGTGCTCATCTGTAAAATGGGACCAATAACACTGCATATCACAAAGTAAAACACAACAGTGCCTGGTACATAGTAATTGCTCAGCAAATGCATCCTACAGTTATCACTGTTATTGCTTATGGTTTACACTCCAACTACTCTGGACTGCTGTGTTCCCTGAACAAACATGGTCCTTTCCAGGTTCTGACCTCTAGCTACAGAAATTCTCCCCACTCTCCTAGCCCAACTTAAATGCCACATCTTCCCTGAAGTCTCGTCTGATATTCCCAAGCAAACATGAGCATCCCCTCTTCAAATAATCCAAAGCACAACTTGGGGATCTCTCTTATGATAAATCACATTTTGCCTTGTTAAAATTATGTATACCTGTTTTTTCTTCTTGGGAGCTCCACCTCCAAGACAGAATTCTTTTCTCATTTATTTTCTGTCCCTCTAGCACCTAGAAGAGTGGCTTTTTCATGAGAGCTCATCAGTAAACATTTGATGAATACATTCATAATCTGCCCAAAGCTCTGACAGTTGACTTATTTTTACAGTGATTCTTTACTTTGGGCAATGTAGGTGTTTGTTGGATAATATTTACTGTGTCTTTAATATTTAAATGTAATTTATGCATTCTAGGCTGTTTGGCTTAATTGCAAGACTATAGAATAATTTTGCTTGAAAAACAAAACCCAAAACAATAACTTTGTTTTGAAAGCAAAACCCAAACACAGCAATAATGTACACTTTATTTCTTTGATGATAAGGTACCATCAATTAAAATATGTACTGTTGATTTACTAACTGCCTTTCAAGAAAAATTTCCATATTAAACACATCCATAGATGGTAAGACGTATCTTGATTTCAGAAATGTAAAGTTGGAGAAGATGAGCATTCAGAATGAAGAGTGTGCTTTGCACAGCCCACTCCATGCTCCAAGATATGCACACATTGAAGTAGAGAAAGAACAAGATTCACCAGGACAATCCTGTAGGGTACACAGCTCCCATCTCATTTGTCTCAGACTTCTCTTTTTCTTTTCAGTTAGACTTCTCATTTTGTTACTTCTGCCTCTGGAATGTCTGATATCTCTCTCTTCTTTTCCATGACCACCAGCAGCTTCCTAGTTGAGGCCCAAAGTTCAGTCCTCAACACAACACAATAGATGGCAACTGGTCTCCCGTATATGGTCTTCCCAACCAAACTATTCCTATCTAATAGTGTCAAGTTCCCATAACTGTTGATTTAGATTTAAACTTCTTAGCCTTGCATTCAAAATCGTCTACAATCTAATTTGTACCTAATTTTTCAGTCTTAGCTTTTAGTCTAAATATATTGGCTTCCTGCTGCAAGATATGACAGCCTTCCTCCTGACAATTCATCTAGCATTATCATATCTCTGTATCTTTGTTTAAACAGCTCTCTTTCTAAAACCCCCTCCCCATTCTCCCCATTTCTATTTTTTACCCCCTTGATTTTGATTTTTTAAATTGACAAATAAAAATTGTATATATGTATGGTGTACAGCATGATGTTTTAAAATATATATACATTGTGGAATAGCTAAATCAAACTAACATGCATTATCACACATATTATTCTGTGGTGAGAATACTTAATATCTACCATTTTGACAGTTTTCAAGTATATAATGCATTGCCATTAACTATAGTCATTGTGTTGTACAATAGGTCTATTGAACTTATTCCTCCTGTGTAACTGAAATTTTGGATCCTTTGACCAATATATACTCCACCCCATCTTTGTTAAAATTTTTTTCACTTAGGAGCTGAGTTTAAATGCCACCTAATCTTTGAAGTATTCCCTGATGGAAGCAACCAGAAATGTCTCGTTACCACTCCTGGACTCCTATAAGATTTAGTTTTTGCCCTACTCACATAGATCTTGACAAATCAGCATATATCGCAGTTATTTGTTTGCAAGGCATTCTTCTATTAGGACAAGAACCTCATTTTACATATATCTATGATATGTAAAAATTGCATAAATATAAATCAAATAAATAAAATATTTGGAGCAGATAATTCAGTTAATTGAATGTCACATAATGGTTTCTGAGATAATATGGAGAAAGTCAAAGCTGATAAAAATGGCCAAAATTAAAAATCTTATTCTAAACTATTTCATACCCTCACTGGGTGAAACACTCAAAAGTTTTGTAGATGTATGCTGGGCATGTTGAGAATGCATTGAGAGATACAACAGCTATTGTTCCTGACAAATTTGTCTTCTTTAAACTAGGTAGAACCTGCGCAATGTGGAAATAATAAAACACTGAACATTCTTGGGTTCAGGGAAGGAGAAAAACCAAAGCATATGCAATCACCAAAATACCTTTGTTTTAGATTAGCAGTATCAGAAAACGACGCCCTCACCCATTTTACAGGAGGACTGAGGGAAGCAACTTATGCCCTTCCTGCTAATGGTACAACAAGCTCTGTAACAGAATTTCACCCTTCTTCATAACACTGGAGAAGAATAAAAATGAAGTATGCGTAAGAGATTTACATCTGGAAAGAGAGTAATTACTGGCCAGGACTGATTAAAATTCTTACTAGGACCTCAAAAAAGTACACTGATCATGGCTAAGCAAGGAAAGGAAAACATAACAGCTGCTCACCAGAGCACGCGCGGAGGGAGGAACAAAGACAGCAAAATATATCACTGGCTTCTAGCCACAAGTTAAGAAACTGAATGAAGGAAAAGCCAGATTGTATGGATCTGTCACTTCTATCTATGATATGATATTCAACTCCACAATCAGTGTGTAGGACAACACTTTCATTCGGTGATAAGCGGATTGTTAATAGTTCCTAGTCTTTCTTATGCTGCTGTATTTTATCCCCCTAAGTAATTGCTATTTCTGGGTAAAATGCGTTTTCTCTTTTGTCTGATTTATAACACCTCACAAAAAAATTCTGTATACAATACACACAAATGCATAATCACATAGGGAATGTTTCCTTCTCTCTTCACCCTGGAAAACAGACCCAAAGGCTTATACCCAGAACAAGCAGAGTGATTTTTTTTTTTTTTTGCCAAGTATTGATGCCCCTCTTTCCCTGGATTAGCGAGTCAGTTTATTAGCTGGATTTTAGAGATTTTTTTTTTTTTTAATAATAGATGCCTTTGAAATCCTTTCTAAAGTGCAAGGATTCCACGATCAATAAGTGTTCATTACAATTAACTTTGATTTGTTTTCCAACTACTGAAAACTGATAATATTATATTTATGCCTTTGAATTTTTCAAAAAGTAAAACTTCTCTTAAATACGAAATAGTTCATAAGCGCATAGACCATTATAGATTTTTCACTCTACACTGTGTCCTTTGCTTATGGCTTGCTATTCTTTGCTTAATGGTTTAGCTTTTGAAACATGACTCACTCTCCCAAGCAACTAGAAAACAAAAACCCACCTAAACTAGTGAACTCCCCAGGGGAGAAAATAATTGTATTTGTATGGAATGCCAGAGGTGTTTAGAGACATACTCAGAGGTAAAATAGCTTTTGTCATTTTTCAAATGAGCCACGCTAGCTTAGTCTAAACTTTCCTTTTCCCCACTTTTGAAATGTGATTTCCCTGAGGGCAGAAAACATGTTATGGAAACTTTGGACCACATAGGACGCTGAAGATCATCTAGTGCTTGCTCAACAAACCCAGAGGCCCTCTTTATCATACTTCAAGTAAAAGTAGTTAATTATTTACTTATTTCCATGAGTTCCTGAAGGACTTGGGTGCAGAGGGGAATTCGCTCTTATTCTGCTTTTAAGTACTGGTAGCCTGTCAGTTTGATTTAGTTTTGTAATTCTCGTTCTTTTTTTAAACTTTTGTTGTTGTTGTGCAAAAACTCTAACAAGATTTGCAGAGAAACACAACACATTGGTATGCAAGCCAGGTTTGAGAAAAAGTAGGGCAAGCTGAGAGGAAACCAGTGGACTCCCCAGAAGAAATTGTACTTGCATTAATTTTTCTATTTTTATTCCTTTTTTTCTTTCCTAGAGCTTGTGTTTGAACACTGCCAAGAATAAGCAAGACACAATGGGCTTTGCGAAGGGAAAGAAAAGAAGATAAGCACTGAACCCAAATGCCAAGATTATAAATGGAATAAAATTTCCTAAATTCTATGAGTGTTTCATCCCTAGCTTTAAAAATGCTGTATCTTTTTTTTCCCCCCTTAACAAGGCTAACTCAATACACTCTGCATATTTCTTTTTGTTTTATATTCTTGGTAGAGGAAAGGCCATTATAAAGTTTGAGCTGGGAGGACTTTTAAAAAATCACGCAATACAGTGCCCTCATTTGACAAATATGGACAATTTGACACAGGGGGTCATTGGGAGTAGCTGCGGTCAGGCACTGATCTTCTGTTTCCCAAACTGTTGCCCTTCCCACCAAACCACACTACCTTTTACTGGAAGATCATGATTAGAACTTTGCCTTTTTAAAATTTTTCCTCATAAATTCAGCCTTCCAAACTTTTAATCATTCTTATTCCCTTTCAACTAATCTCTAAAATTTTCAACATGGCATAAGGCAACAGATAACTTTTCAATAAAACATAAAATAATTAGCTCATTTGTTCATAATGGTATCAAACATTCCCACTTTCTAGCTTTACTTTTAAAAAAAAATTCTAATAGAAGTACTTGTTTGCTATTTTCTGACTTGAGACCAAATTCTCATGCATATATCTGTTTTTGCTCTTTTCCAGCTTATTTTCACGTACTACAGATCAGATTGCTGTTTAATACTGAATCCTGCTGCCTACTTCCTGTCATCTGTCCATCAATTCAAAAATGAATATATAGAGAGAGATGTATTTCATAGTATCGACAGGACAAATTTTCTAAAGACTGAATGACTTTAAAACCTTTTCCAAATTGCTTGAAATCTTCTCTGACAAAAAAAAAAAATCAATATTAAAACATAATTCTAGGTAAGCAACAACAAAAAAAATAGGTCATCACTCTTCACATACGTGGAAAAATCATTCTTCAGGTACATGGAAAATGTCCAAGGGAAAACATCACTAAATGAACTACTGATTTCCTTTTTCCTGTTCTTTGAAATCAAATAAATCTAAGACAACTTTGGTGCTTAGTTGTGTGGGATGGGGTAGCAAAGGAGATAGAATATAGGCTTAATCATGGTAACTGGACTTTCATTGAAAAATAAAATACGCATATCAAACCAGTAAAAATCCATTGCATTGACTGGGCACAGTGGCTCACACCTGTAATCCCAGCACTTTGGGAGGCTGAGACAGGAGGATCACTTGCCTCCAGGAGTTCAAGACCAGCCAGGGCAACATATTGAGACCCCATCTCTACACAATATTAAAAATTAGCCAGGTGTGGCGGCTTGTGCCTTTAGTCCCAGCTACTCAGGAGGCTGAGATGGGAGGATTGCTTGAGCCCAGGGGTTGAGGCTGCAGACAGCCGTGATTATGCCACTGCACTCCAGCCCGGGTGACAGAGCGAGATCCTGCCTCAAAAAAAAAAAAAGGAAAGAATGAAGAAAATAGAGGAGCATAAGGGGAACAAAGAGGAAAACAAGAGGACAAAGAAGAAGAGAAAGAAGAAAAAGTAGCAGGAGGGGAGAAGGTTGGAGGCCCTTCCTGAGTCATTCAAACACTTCCTCAGAGGAAGAGAGAGGATCCAATTTGACTCCCAAATTACTTTGAACTCTGTACTTAATGTCTTTCTGCCCAGCTGTCCCTTCTAATCACCTTTCTATCCACACTGAAAATACTGAAGTTTATCTAGGATAAACACTGAAGTTTTTCTAGGATCACAAAATCAAAAAATATGATTATAGTTAAAAACATCTTTGGGACAATCTACTTCCTCTGCTTAATTTTATAGACAAGGAAACTTATCTAGTAACAGAGTATTCAGTTTGCTGAAGAACACGTGGAAAATTATCCTAAATAAGTTAGTAAACGTAAATTACTGGTTGGCAATTTATTCCAAACAAAATTTTGTTTTGTTTATTCTAAAAGAAAATTACTCTTGGTGGTGCAGGCGAGTCCTTTAGATTAGTTTAATAGTAAATGTAGTTTATATCTGAATATTTAAAGAACACTTTTCACTTGCCCTCAATGTTCAACCCCAAGCATATATGAAAACACACACGTAGGAAAACTAAGAATTTCGTTTAGTTAAAATTAAGAATTTCCTTTAGTTAAAAGCAAATAATGTCCTTTAGTCAAAAGTTTAGTTTCCTTTCGTTAAAACGTCTCTGGACTGTCCCTTCCAGATCCTTAAATTTCAGAACTGAAAGAGCTGGAGTGGAGCTGGTTGGTGAAAAGCAAGCTTCCTCCACTGAGTTTACTTCGTGTAGGAGAAACTTAAATGTGGGAAATAATTTTAGGGTAAAGAAAGCCTCAGTTTTAGCCTTTCCTAGGTTGTAGAGATCTGGAAGATAATTCTGAGAAAGAAACCAAGAAGAAGCTAAGACCTCAGTTACAGGGTCTGGAATGGTCAGGTCAGCACGAGGACTGGCCTGTGAAGTCTTCTGATGATCTAAAGGAGTGCAGGACATGGCAGACCTGGCACTCTTCAGACCCTCAGAGAAGAACCAACTGGTTATTTCTCTTCAAGCAATCACTTAAGGTGGCACTTTCCTGAAAGGAAAGACCATTCATTATTGCTATGGATTGTCAAGGGAATTTGTAGATAGTCTTCTTCTGGGCCAGACACGGTGGCTCATGCCTGTAATCCCAGCACTTTGGGAGGCCGGGGCAGGCCGATCACGAGGTCAAGACCAGCCTGGCCAACATGGCAAAACCCTGTCTCTACTAAAAATACAAAATTTAGCTGGGCGTGGTGGTGCATGCCTGTAATCCCAGCTACTTGGGAGGCTGAGGCAGAAGAATTGCTTCAACCCGGGAGGCGGAGGCTGCAGTGAGCCAAGATCGCACCACTGCACTCCAGCCTGGGTGACAGAGCAAGATTCCATTTTGTGGGGCGGGCGGAGGGGAAGATAGTCTTCTTCTTAAGTTTTTAGTTTTTCAGTGTTAAGCAAGACCTCTGGGGAAGAGGGTTAGATGAAATCCAGTGACCACACGTAAGAACTGAGCGGTATCATTGAGCATCCATCTGGCCCTAAAAAAGCAGAGAAAGTATCCAGAATAGATTAAAATATATATCTCATTCTCTCTCTCTTTTTTTTTAAAGGGGGAGGCAAAATGGAAATTGCCCTAGCCTGAATCCTAGCATTTGCAGTAGAGAACATGCTGGAAGACACTATCAAAAATCAGTTTGTGGGGCCACAGTTCCTGCCAGAGTAACCTAATTGTCTGACTCACTTTTAATCTCAGTGGATGTGGTGAGAATGACTGATGTTGCTTAACAGCATTTAGTCTTGGTGTTAAATATGGGAAATTTACAAAAAGATTCTTATCTACGGAGGAGTGGAAAACATCACCACACAGAGATGAAAGGGCCCAAGAGAGGAGAAGGTGGGAAATGTCCCCTTCCTGCCACACGTTTCATCTGTGCATGTAGCTCCGACTGGCTTCAAAGGAAAATCTGCACCCAAGCACCCAAAAGAAGTAGCTAAGTGTGTGGTGGGACTGAACAGCAGGCCCATTACAATAGCATTCCAAAAAAAAATTTAAAAGCCAAGTATATGTATGACCTGAAGGTACTCATGGAAAAATGACAAACTATTCAAAACTGAAAAGAGGCTTACTAAAATATTGTTACCAGGTGCAAAGAGAATCATTTCTCAACATTATAGTTTTTAATACAAGAGAAGAAAGATTTGGAGCAACAAATCACAGAAAGAGCTTTTCTTAAAAAACAACGTTGTATGACTTTAATATGCAATTTTCTGTGCCCCTAATTCCCAGACTAGCTTACACATCAGATGGATCTTGTTAGTATAGTTGAAGATGGAAGGAAACATTGCTGGTTCCTCTTCTCATAAACGTACCATGTGATAGAGCTCACTTCTAAAAAGAGATGAGGAAAATAAAGGCATAAGATATATATACCATGTAACAAAACTGCACTTGTACCCCTTACATTTATACAAGTTTTTATAAAGGCAAATGTAAGTATGCTTTCTTTAAAAAACTAAAAAGATACATATACCAAAATATTTAAAGTCTTCCCATGACAGCATATTGAGTAAACAACCATTGGCACTACTATATATTTTTGCAGCTATAAGAGTCATTAGTTGTTATGTGCTAACATATAAAAGGAATCAAATTTAATATATCCAATTTGGAGGAAACTGTCCTATTGTCCTTTGTCAATTATAGGTTTTAAACATCCTTTATGAAATCACGTTTTGATGTCTTGATTTAGGAAATATGATCAGAGTAACTTGACATCAAATTAATCATACCTACTTTCTTATCATATTTGCTTTACACATTTTATAGACACAAAAACTTGAGTTGATGGTCTAGATTAAACTCAACCATTTCCTGGAGAGAATCTGCGAATATTCTGTTCAAATCAACAGCATTTAGCAAAGGCCTACAACATGTCTGGCTCTAAGTGTGGGAGAACGTGATGCTGAAGTGAGCAAAGCCTAGCTTCTGCCCTGCACGAGCCTTGAGTCTAGCAAAATAACTCAACATGCCCACCTCTACAGAGTACAAGACAGAAAACAGCACAAAGCCATTCAAAGGACACAACAGAGAAATTCATCTCCTCTTCAGAAGGGAGCCGAGGTTGCCTTTGAAGGTGAAAGACAAATTTAGAGAATCAGCACAATTTCAAGTCAGAAATGGTACCAGGGAAGAACCAGCATTTCACATGTGAATGAGAAGGAGAGTCATCAAGAGGAGAAAACTGGGAGAGCTATCAGAGATTGGCGACAAAGCTGGTATGGCAGGAATGTGGGCAGCTGCGTAAGACAGAACTACCGAGCACCTCATTGGTGTAATGAATACACTGAACTTGATTCAGTTATCAAAAAGGAATCGCCAATCTTTCTGAGTAAAGGCATACGTTACTAAATGGGGATTTTAGGAAAATTGATAAGACAGTGGCTTATAAGATAATTGGAAGGAAGAAAGCTGAAGACCAGTTCAATTAGTGCCACCATCTTAAAAATAGTCAATTAAAGCTTGTACTAGAGGCCAGGCAGGATGGCTTATGCTTGTAATCCCAGCACTTTGAGGGGCAAGGCCGGTGCATCATTTGAGGTGAGGAGTCGGAGACCAGCCTGACCAACATGGCGAAACCCCGACTCTACTAAAAATACAAAAATTAGCCGGGTGTGGTGGTACATGCCTGTAATCCCAGCTACTTCGGAGGCTGAGTCAGGAGAATCCCTTGAACCTGGGAGGCAGAAGTTGCAGTGAGCCGAGATTGTGCTATTGTACTCCAGCCTGGGAGACAGAGGGAAACTGTCTAAAAAAAAAAAAAGTTTGTGCTAGAGCAGTGTCCGTGGATAAGAAATGGACAGAGTAGAAGAAAGAAACACTGCAGAAGGATAAGCAAGTTGTGAATCCTAGGCATAAGGAGCAATGGGAGAGGGACTTGCAACTCTGAACCATCCTGGGGACCAGGGAGGATGATGCTATCACAAGCAGTGATGGCAGGGAACCTAAGAATTTTGCTCTGTTATGTGACCCAATTTCATTACTACCACTACAGCCAAGCTCTTCCAAACAGTGTTCAACTTCTGAGTCCCAAAAATTAACTCATGAAAACCTTGCCACATTGGGAAATCTAATTTTTTCTTTATTTCACACTACAGAAGCCATTGGCAATGGAAGGTTAATAAATAACATTTCATAGCTTTCCAAAAACAATCATTCTGAAAGCGAAGCGAAATACTCATCTTGAGCTCAACTAGAAAATGGAAGGTCTGACCATCTCTTCAGACCAATGTCCCCTCAGGGAATCTGGCCTGAACATCAAAAGGCTGTCATGAAATTCGTTTCAATTGCTTCATCTTCCTCTATCGGGCAACCCCCCCGTGGTTACCATGAAGTCATACTCTACCACTGAATCTTATGAGTAGGAGAAGTGCTTGGATGGCAATGGTGAGGCAGCTGGAGGTGGGCCTTTAAGGATCTGTTCAAAGGAATGGTTTAGAATAGTCTAAGCTATAAAAATAATCATAAACTATATTAAAAGGAAAATGGAGTTAGTCAATGCTATGGATACCCACTTGAGTGAAGAAAATAGTGTAGGTAGCATGGCAGACATCTCCTATAAGTAGCCGGAAATATTTAGCTAACAATATTGGCCTTGGCCCTCTGATAATTGTTTTTCAAATATACTTAAATATGAGCAGAAGAAGGTCTTCTTCAATAGTGTCTCTGATTCTAAGCCCTTGTAAACACATTATTACCTATTGTTTACTCTAACACTATTGGAGCCAAACTCGGAAGGAGAGTAGAACCCTTGGAGCTTGAATGGCCAAATGAAGACCCCCATGAGGGAAGACCTACAAGGGAATGCATGTGTGTGATGCTGGGAATTGATGTATTGCCAGGGGCCAGGTTGGGCTGATTCCAGGCTATCAGTTAAAGTGATGTGATGCCAGGAGAGAACAAGTGTATCAATATCCAGGGAATGGAGGAGGCTGAGAGCTGACTTGGAAACTGAGTGTGACAGTAAGAAGGACATTACAGAAGAGAATACAGAGGAATAAGAAAGACAAAATAAGACATAACCGGATGAGTTCCAAAACAAATCCATGAGTATGACCTTCCACCCTGTCTCCACATCTCTCATATGCACAGCCTACTTTGCTATGCTTGCTCAGATGTGTTCTTCAACAGCAGACCTCAGCTGGTGTTACAGGCCTAGTTTCAACGTCAGAGGGCCAACATCAATGATACCAGTTGTTCAGGCCCTGCTCTGATGGGCGTCTGATGGGAACCCAGCCACCATACTCTGAGAAAGCCAAGCAGCTCCATGGAAAGACCACGTGAAGGTGTTCTAGCCGCAGGGTCACCTGTGGACTTAACTGAAAGCCAGCATCAAACACCACACATGTGAGCAACTGAGCCTTCATATGATTCCAGCCCTTAATCCCTGCACCACCCCAGCTGATCTTGAGTGTAGCAAAGATGAGGTTTTCCAGCAAAGACCTGTTCAAACTGCAGGTCTGTGGGCAAAATAAATGTTAATTTCAGCCACTAAGTGTTGGGATCATTTGTTACTTAACAGCAGATAACCAGAATGGTACACATAGTATGACTTCAGAATTTACAGTGAATTCAGGGAGACAAGCATGTTCACAGATGCGTCAACCATGTCAAGGTACGACACATGTACCTTAATTGATCCATACATAAAAATGAATGTGTATGCATATGCATATCTAGTTTAGGCATAGAAAATTTCTAATACATAAAATTAAAAATAGTTACCTCTGTGGAGTAGTCCTGGGTTGTTAGGGAAGGAAGACTTCTTTTTATTTGTCTCTTTGTATGTTCTAATCCTGGTTTTATACACGTACTTACTTCATAACTTCAAAAACAGTTTAAAGTTTCAAAATAATGGTAAAATAAGAGAAAAAAGGCTAAACAAGTCCTATAGGCACCCCATGAGTACTACACGTTAGATACCCCTTGAGAACAGTAGGCAACCAAGTTGTTGGGAAAAGCTGCATTTTATCTCTGTGTCTCAGTTTCACATCTATGTAAAAAACAGTGCCAACCTCATAGGATTTTTGTGGAAATTAAAGTTCTGTAGGACTACCTGACACAATAGTAAGCACTCAATAAAAATTAATAAAAATATCTAAGAAACCTGGAGCTGCTGAGCACTGGCATGGCATATGAACACAGGGCCCCAAGTGGCAAAATTTGACTGTTACTTTAAGGAGAAATACCTTTTGTTCTCCTTATATCAAAGAATAAAAAGGAGCCAGCATTTTAGATACAATGGCAAGGGAAGGTGTAATTTGGCTCTGTAACAATGTGATAACTTCTGCAAATGCCACATTGACTTACATTTTCCAAAACACAAAAGACCATGAAATTAAAACCTCCATCCCACTTCCCCATTCTGCTTCTCCTTCTTCAGGGTGTTCACTGGGCGTGACAAGTTGTCTGTGTATTACAGATGACTGTCATCCATAGGTGGCCGAGGAAATTGTGTTTACGATAGTTTGACATCTAATGTTTAGCTTCTCCCTGTATTTTAAGAAACTAGACATTATCTCAATTATGTAAAAGAATTACCAATTTTTTCACTTGTTTTCCTGTGTAGGTTTCGCATTCAAGTTATTTAGGGTGGGCTAAGTCACTTAAAAGATCGAGTGGGGTGATTCAGCCTTCTTCTCCCCCAAAGTGTTCCATGTTCTAAAAAGTTTGCAAAAACATGATCTAGTTCTAGAAGTATGAAGGGTTGGAGTAGTCTAAGGGATAGGGAGAAGTTGAAATTGCCCATGAGATTACGTGACAGAAGACCATAACCGTAAGTATTTTCATAATTGACAAGGAGTTATTTTAAGTTTTTTAGATTTCAGGGTAATGGTGTCATCATTCTGCTTGCAAAGTCAAATGAGTAATGATCAGTTCCTCTCTGATTCAGGGACTTCTGTTGCTGCTTCCTGTTTGGTTTAACTCACCCAAGTATCTTAGAAACATGAAATATTGTTTCAGCTTGGTAAGGATGTCTGGGCTTGATTTTTTTTTTTCTTACGAACCAGGTGTTTTACCCCATGCAAATTTCTGGCATTTCAGGAAAAAATTTTTGTTTTCTTTTCTTCAACTTGAGGATGATTTCACCTACTCAAAATATAAGAAAACTCTTTACCTCCACAATTTTTTAGAAGGAAAAACCTTCCAAAAAATAGAGAAATGCTGTGTGGTCAGGAATACTTTGTTGAATTTTATTAATTTAGCCACTTTAAATCCCTTTTGGCATAAACTCAGTGAGATTAAATAAACCAAGAGAGTGACTAAATAACAAAACCTCTCTGATTCCATCACTGTGCAGTGAATATGAACAAATGTGTATGTGAATTTTAATGAATATGAAGAGTGGGCTATACAAATTACATACTTGAAGTTCTTAGTGATACGTTAAATTGAATTGTATAAGGGCATGAAGAGTTCCTAATTAACTCTATATGAAGTTCTTGAAAGAGGAAAAAAATCACCTACAAGAATTCTGTGACAACCGTTATCCAGGACTTTTAAACGCTGGTTTAAATCACCAGCAAACAAGCTGTACATAGGATTTACATAGTCAACTCATGTTGATAAAACATAGTCAGCTCCAGGTCTTCCAGACCATTTCCCCCTCATTTTGGAAAAGGAAACCATCTTCAGATAACAAGCCAAGGACTCTTGTTGATATCTTGTAAGCACCCTTTTATCACAAGTAATTAGCACACAGACTGCTTCAACAGAAAAGGCACTGAGGTTCACATTACTTCAAAACAACAAGAAATACAGCCCCATTAGCCCATAGTCTGGGGCTAACCACAGCTTCTATTCTTAGCCTCCCAGGGTCCATCTCTTACTCCACCACTGAAACCATCTCTTCAATGCTCTGATGAGAAACAACAGGACACCTACTCTAACTTCATTCCCTCTAGGTAAGGAATTCCACACTTTCTTACCTATCTGCCAAAGCACACACACCAGTTCACAGCCTCTTACCTAGGGTAGAGGGTAAAAATTTAAACTTCCATTTTTATGCATTATTTCCTGCTCATTTGTATGGGCCATGTTTGCTCGTCAATTTAACGTAGTGTCTACAGCCTGGGATGCAGTGGAGAACTTCAGAGGTCTCTAACTTTCCTTCAATAATGGTATCTGCCCACACAATGGAAGCTTATTAGTACATGAAAACCCTGCTTATTCAGGATTTAAACATCTGGAAAGCTAGAATAAGCAATTCTAATTTTGCAGCAAAGAGAAAAAACATAAGTAAAATTGTTTTGTTATAAATTTTTTTTCAAATCATAAAGCTTCTACAGCATACCAAAGGGTCGTTGTATTGGCAGGGTAAAAAAAGGGGTTGCTGATGTTAATTTTGACTTGATAATCCAAGCATTTCTCTCCCTGTCCCGAAGAAGGGTGGTTTCAACTAAAGAATTTCAGATCATTTTTTGCCAAGAATTAACACCCCTAAGCCCATAATGACTGACATCCAGCAGTCAGTACAAACAAAAATGAAACAAAACAGAAAGTCAGCACCTAGTGACTCTTCTGCCCTTGGATGGAGTGGTCAGGCCTCTCTGCTGCTTGCTGACTCTGGAGTCTGACACCCTTGCTTCCCTCCAATGGGCCTGTTTGCCCTCAAGAAGACCCTTTTCTTGCCTTGAAACCTGCAATAACCGTCAAAGCCACAGGGCCCATCTGGCTGTTCCAGTCAAATTGCTGCCAGTGGTCCCCGTAACAGGAAGCATGGCGGCACAGGTTTCCTGAATCAAGGGTACTTGTGCTCAGTGGAATTCTGGTGTTAACAATGGTATATTAAGTTTTATATTTGTTCCGTATGCTGAGAATACTATTCAGTAAACTGAAGTTTCTTAAACTCTCTGAACCTCAGTCACCTAAACCACAAAATGAAGATAATAATATTTATTTTTGCAGGGTTGTTCTGATGATGTGAAAAAAAATGCCTAGGACATTGGCTACTATATAGTCACTCAAAAAACAAAACCCTGGCTGGGCACAGTGGCTCACACCTGTAATTCCAGCACTTTGGGAGGCCGAGGCCAGTGGATCACGAGGTCAAGAGTTTGAGAACAGCCTGGCCAATATAGTGAAACCCCGTCTCTACTAAAAATACAAAAAGTAGACAGCCATGGTGGTGTGCACCTGTATTCCCACCTACTTGGGAGGCTGAGGTGGGAGAATGGCTTGAACCCAGAAGGTGGAGGTTGCAATGAGCCAAGATCGCACCACTGCACCCCAACCTAGGTGACAGAGTGAGACTCCATCTCAAAAAAAAAAAAAAGAAAAAAAAAACACAACAAAAAACAAAAAACAAACAAAACAAAACCCTTAGTAGTAGTCGTTGTAATAGTAGTAGTAGTTAGAAGTAGCAGTAACATTAATAAAGATATCTGGAATGATATTAGAACAATGATGAGAAGGGGGAAACAAGCTGAGACCCAGCATATCACTGACCAATCAAGCTCTGAAGAACAATTGTGGCAAGCATGAGAATGCTAAAGTTCAAGAAGTTTGAAGTCCAGCACAGTGGCTCACACTTGTAATCCCAGCACTTTGGGAGGCCAAGGTGGGAAGATCACTTGAGCCCAGGAGTTTGAGACCAGCCTGGGCAACATGGCAAAACCCCATCTCTACAAAAACTAAAAAAAAAAAAAAAAATTAGCTGGGCATGGTGGCGGGTGCCTGTGGTCTCAGCTACACAGGAGGCTGAGGAGGGAGGATCGCTTGAGCCTGGGAGGTCAAGGCTGCAGGGAGCCAAGTTTGCACTATTGCACTACAGCATGGGTGACAGAGTGAGACCCTAACTCAAAATTTAAAATATCAAAAAAAAAAAATTTGAGTCAGTGAAGTCTGCTTCCCAGCAGAGCAGAGATGAATCTACAGAAGGCATCCTGGAGAAATGGCAGCATCACTTCAGCCTTCTCCACCCACATCCTCTCTAATGAGGCTATTCACTAGTGGGGTCCATTCTCAGAGGTCACTCCAGTGGGTATCAAACCAACCTCCAGAGAAGTTAGACCTGTGGTCAGACCCCAGAAGAGTTCTTCAATCCAGGGAAACATCTTCAAGATTTTTCTTCATGAAAAAAAATCAGTTTTAATACATTTTTCTTTTTAATGTGTGTTAAATAACCCTGAGAATACACCTCAAAAATTTCAGTGATGCCATCATCACCAACAGCAAACAGAGATTAAAGATTTGTATGTCCCCATTACTTGCCATAGCCTGTCCAAGCTTGGTTTGGATGATTGACTGCTTTGTCACCCTGGAACTCCTGGAATCCCAGTGTATCCTTTGGGGGAGACCTGGAAGCATGAGACCCACAGCTTTAAGCCTTTCTTTTTTGGGTTCTGGATTACTTCTCTGGGAAACTTTCCTTCATCACTCCTTCTAAAGGGTAATCTGAGTGTCCTTCCTGTGGACTGGGTTCCATTACAGCACAGAGGATTTTTCTTAACACTGCATATTTTAATTAGCTCTCTTGTCTGCATTTCCACTAGACCGTAAGCTCTCTCATGGTACAGGCTCTTTCCTCTTTTCCACTGTGCATGTCTAGCACCTAGCAGAGTGCCTGGCAATGGTTGGTGCTCTCTCTATATTTGCCATATGAATGGATGAGTGCTAGAGCTAGAGGTAATGGTGGCAGAGTACATACATCACAGGTTAATGGCAACAGATTCCAAGAGGGAACAGAGGGGTTTATGGGACATGAAGTCAAGTCCCAGGCTAATATAGCTCCATGCCTCTAAACAAACTTAGTGACTCCAAAGGTATTTGAGCCTACTTGTAGACATTCCAGTTTTAAATTTGCATGTTACAATTCTGGTTGTGACTTTATACTTACAAAGCAGCAGCCAAAGTTATAGCTATACTACCGGTAGGTATGTACCACAGAGAGATGAACTGGCCCAAGGGACAAGATGTTCCTGTAAACAGGCATTTGCATTTGAAAATGTGGCATTTGGGGTACAGTACTTGGTGGCAGCCAAAACTGCCTTCAGAGAGAAAGTATAGATGGAAGAAGAAAGTGAGAGTGGAGGAGTGTGAATACATATGCATCATCTCCTTGGCTCAGCAGAGCACAGCAGCAAAATAATGCATATGCCATGATGATTAATGCCCTGGGACTCAGTCATGCTTTGCAGATCCAACAACCAGCATCTCATACCTTGGGCTGATGGAGAACCCAATGCAATCTTACTAAGACTAAATGCAAAGAAATGTTCTAGAGGAAAGAAATGTTGTAGTGACAATTCAATGGAAAACACAGTTTTAAGTATATTTTATTTCTGTAAAAGTTTATTGGGCATAAGCAATTATGTTTATGTTTTAACAAAAATATACTGCTATTTCCTAAAAAGAAATTCAGGAAAACAACATTTTTTTCCTCTCAGCCTACATAAGTGATCACTTACTGCTGGAATATGAGATTAGGTAGTGGTAGACAGGCTATAGCAAGAGAAGACACGATCAAGGCCCCAGGGTAATTTGAAGAGGGAGGGAGAAACTGAAGAAATGAACATGAGTGTGTGGACCAGGCATCCATTATGCTGAGGACAAGTATGTAAAGGCCTGAGTTCAGGAGGCTTTTTTCAGTATCAAGAAATCCAAGTGAGAACTAAAAAATAGGGACATAAATTCTCCTAACCATAGAGCAGATTCTACAGGCAAGAGATACAAATATCTACCTTCCTGGGAAATAAAGTGTTTGAAGAAAATAATGAGACCTTCAAACTCCTCTAAGGCATTTTAGAAAGTCTAACTGCAATAAAGATAAGAAAGTTGGAAACTTCCACATATTTAGACTATAAAAATCAAAGTAATAGCTAATAGACAAATTACATCTACTTTTGCTGCCCCCCTCCCCCAAAATTAAAATATTGCATAAATTGAAAGGTCATGGACTTAAACAAAATAAAGAGAAAATAGAGACTGATTTTGAAGATTTATTATTTTGAAAACATCTTAACCAAAATATTTTAGAGGTTGAAAATATATGTGGCATCTATAAAAATGTAAATTTGGGCAGAGAACTGGTTTGTTTTAGAAAAACAAAACTCACTTTCATCACAAGACAGAGAAGCTCAGGTCTTTCCTTGCAGCCGTTCTATACACTTCAGTGCTTTGAAGGAGCTGGCCATGAGCACGAATTACTCCAGTATTTCTATTTGCTCTAAACTCCATTCCAACTCTGCCTTCACTTCAGATTTGTAGTCATATCCGTGAGCCTCTCACCATTTCTAATGATCTGCCCTTTTTTATTTGTCTCGGTATTTCCTTTTGTATTTGTTTCTTTTCCTTATTTAAATACATTTTTCCCATGATTATCTCTCTGTTGCAGATAATTTGTAAAGTAGAGAGGATCCCACTACCACCAAAAATCATCATGAACATTTGTCTTAACCTCCCTAGTCCTTTTTTATTATTGATTTTAACCAGATGAGATAATTATGCATAAATAACTATGTATATTCTCTTATTACACTTAAATAGTGTATCTTAAAACACTATCTTGTTACACTTAAACACTAACACTACCCGCTATAATTTTCTTTTATCACTAATAACTAATCACAACATGATTTTAATAGTGATATGACAGTCCATACTATAGCAGAACCATAATTTTCTAGTTTGATAGTAATCTAATTTTATTAAATATTGTTATTTCTGATAGTTCACTGTTAGAAATAATAATGTGATCAAATTTGAACATAAATCTTTGTCCATATAACTATTAGTATAAATCCTTACATTAAAAAATAGTGGTTTAAACCCCATTGAAAAGTAGGCAAAGGATATGAACAGACACTTCTCAAAAGAAGCGATATATGTGGCCAACAAGGATATGAAAAAAAGCTTAATATCACTGATCACTGGAAAAATGCAAATCAAAACCATGATGAGGTACCATCTCGCACCAGTCAGAATGGCTGTTGTTAAAAATTCAAAAAAATAACAGATGCTGGCCAGTTTGCAGAGAAAAGAGAACACTAATACACTGTTGGTGGGAGTGTAAATTAGTTCAACCATTGTGGAAAGCAGTATGGCAATTCCTCAAAGAGCTAAAAGCAGAACCACCATTCCACCCGGCAATCCCATTACTAGGTATATACTCAGATGACTATAAATCATTCTACCATAAAGACATATGTATGCGAATGTTCATTGCAGCACTATTAATGATAGCAAAGACACGGAATCAGGCTAAACGCCCATCAAACGACATCAATGACAGACTAGATAAAGGCAATGTGGTCCATATACACCATGGAATACTGTGCAACCATGAAAAAAGAATAAGATCACGTCTTTCGTGGGAACATGAATGGAGCTAGAGGCTATTATCCTTAGCAAACTAATGCAGGAACAGAAAACCAAAAACTGCATGTTCTCATTTTTAAATGATAAGAACTTATGAACGCAAAGAAGGAAACGACAGACACTTGGGTCTACTTGAGGGTGGAGACGGGGAGGAGGGAGAGGAGTACACAAGATAACTATTGAGTACTGGGCTTAAAACCTGGGTGATGAAATAATATGTACAACAAACCCCCATGACACGTGTTTATCTATGTAAATGAACCTTCGTATGTACCCTCAGAACTAAAAGTTAAAAAAATAGGGGTCTGAAAAATATAACTATTTTTAAGTCTCTTGATGGATATTGCTAAATTATTGGCAGAAAGATTGTACATGAAGTTACTGATCTTGCAGAACTCCCAACAGCTTTAGTTATTACCAGTTAAAAGTCTTTGATAAAATGTGCTCTGTGGAAAATGCTTACTAATTTTGCTTTATTTTCCATTTTTAAAAATTCGCCCTTCATATTTTACAAAAAAAAGAGTATTTTTCATACTTTGCTCATATTTTAAGCACTTCCGCTTTCTCTTTTGTTATTTTCTTCAAATGTATATGAAAATCACAGTTTCTTACATGTGTTGGTTATTTGTCTTCATTTTGTTTATGATATACAGAAATATTTCATTTCATTCATCAGTCTTTCCTCTGTGATTTTCTTAATTGCTTTTATGTTTAGAAAATCATTTTCTATCCAGAGATAAGATAAATACTCATCTATATTTCTTCCAAGTTATTTTGGTTTAACTCTTTATATTTAACTCTTTAACCCACTTGGAATAAAATGGGTAATTATCTTTAAGGGGGGATTGCCTAAACTGGACTTTTCAATCCAAATAACCAATTTCTCCAAATAGCAACCCTTGTTGGGTTGGATAATTTTATAATGAAACTATACCCTAGTTTCTACCTCCAATCTATTTATTTTTGTTACATAAATAGTTCTAATTTTTAACCAGTTTCATGTTGTTTTTATTATTGTGGCTTTTTGCAACCCAGTAGAGTGATTAAGAACCCTACTTTGAAGCAAGGATGCTTTTACTCAGATCTCAACTCTACCCCTGACTAGCTATCTCACAGTAGGCCAGTTATGGCCTCTCTGTGACTCAGTTTCTTCATCTGTGGAATTGGCATACCAATATTAACTTTCCTCATGAGGTTGCAATGAAGATTAAATGAGTTAGTTGTGCAAAATCTCTTGTGTTACAGAGAAAAGTCTGAGAAACCAAGGCACAGAATGAATGTATGTAGCTAAATGTGAAAGAATAACATTGTAGGCAAATATCAGTTTGCTGAAGACATTTCTTACAGCTATGCCATGTCCAACTTGCCAGCTCCTATTTCTCATAACCTGGTTTCATGACTAACTAAAGCTGTGAACACCAAAAACAGTATTCTAAGAAAACAGAATCTCAACTTTCAGAGACTGCTGTTTTTCTAGGTAATAAAGAGTCTCCATAGAGTTGCATCATTCAGAACAATAACAGTGACACATAGTTCTCTGCAACATTGGAAGTAGATTCACTATCAAGGGTAAGCCTTCCAGGAAGAGGCAGTCTCTTCTCATCCACCTTTGCTGCTCCCTAGTAGCTATGAAATAGCTGCTCCATATCAGTAGCTATGAAAATAAAATACAGAGAGAAGGTAGAAGGCTCAACTGCATCTATGATGCACTAGACATTTTCTGTCCAAGGGATGGAGTCATAAAACAAAACATGTACAGGGCTTAATACCTGGGTGATGAAACAATATGTACAAGACCCTGTGACATGTGTTTACCTATGTGACAAATCTTTACACGTACCCCAAACCTCAAATAAAAGTTAAAAAAATTTATTCTGTCCCACGCAAAGGTGAGGAAATCTGTCATCTATTTAGAAAGCCAATTTCTGTGCTTTGGTTACCTGTGACTCTAATATTTTTATTATCAATTAATCTTCAATATATTTTATTTTTAGAGCAGTTGGAGGTTCATAACAAAATTAAGTGGAAAGTGCAGAGAGTTCTCATATATCCCCTGCCTCCACATTTGCACAGCCTCCCCCACTATCAGCATTAGGCACCAGAGTGAGACATTTGTTACAGCCCCTCTATGACTCATTTTCCTTACCTGTGAAATGGGCATACCAATATTACTTCCTTCATGATACTGATATGAAGATATTTAATGAACCTATATAGCCAATCATTTTTACCCAAATACAAGCAATCACTTTTACCCAAATGTAACCCATGTTTACATTAGGTTCACTCATGGTGTTGTATATTCTATGGGTTTTGACAAATGTATAATGATACATCCAGCATTGTGATATCATACAGAATAGTTTCATTGCCCTAAGTATCCTGTGTGCTCCCCCCTTTTTTTTTTTTTTTTTTTTTTTTTTGAGATGGAGTCTTGCTCTGTCGCCCGAACTGGAGTGCAGTGGCACGATCTGGGCTCACTGCAAGCTCCACCTCCTGGGTTCACGCCATTCTTCTGCCTCAGCCTCCCAGACTACAGGAGCCCACCACCACGCCTGGCTAATTTTTTGTATTTTTAGTAGAGATGTGGTTTCACCATGTTAGCCAGAATGGTCTCGATCTCCTGACCTCGTGATCTGCCCGCGTCGGCCTCCCAAAGTGCTGGGACTACAGGAGTGAGCCACCACGCCCGGCCTTGTGCTCCACTTATTTATTGCTTCCTCCCACCTAATCCCTGATCTTTTTACTGTCTCTACAGTTTGTTTTCACCAGAATGTCGTATAATGGGAATCAAACAGTATGTAACATTTCCACGTTGGCTTTTCTCACTTACTAATATACATTTAAAGTTCTTCCATGTCTTTTCGTGACTTGATAGCTCATTTCTTTTTAATATTGAATAATATTCCATCATATAAATGTACCACAGTCTCTTTATCTGTTTACCTATTGAAGGACGTCTTAGTTGCTTCTAAGTTTTGGCAATTATGAAAAAAGCTGCTATAAACATCCATGTATAGGTTTTTGTGTGGGCTTAAATTTTCAACTTATTCGGGAGAATACCAAGCAGACCAATTCCTGGATTCTATGGTATGAGTATGTTTAGTTTTACATTAAACTGCAAAGCTGTCTTCCAAAGCGGCTGTACCATTTTGCATTTCCACCAACAATGAATGAGGGTTCCTGTTGCTCTACATTCTCATCAGCATTTGGTGTTGTCAGTGTTTTGGATTTTTGCCACTCCCATAGGCCTATAGTAGTATCCTGTCACTTTAATTTACATTTCCTGGTAGGTAGATCAAGAATAGAAGACTCTACCAATCGCTCCCCTCCCAAACCCCAAGGACTCCAATTTAACAACTATCTACCCACAAAAAAACCATCTTCATAAGAACCCATAATCAGGTGAGCACTCGTAGTACTTGGTTTTAACTTTGTATTGCTGAAAGGGGCACTGAAAAAGTAGAAAAAAAGACATAACCCTTCCCCTCCACCTCCCCACCCCAGCAGCAGTGGTATGGTACAGAAAGCTTCTCCATGAACTGGGGGAGGGAGAGTGCAGCAATTGTGAGGCATTAAACTCAGTGCTGTTGTTATAACAGAAAGGAAAACCAGTCCAAACTTAGCTGATCACCCACCCAAGGAAGGAGCATCAGCTAAGTTCTCATCAATCCCAGTGGTAAGAACTTGAGTTCCCACAAGCCTCACCACCATGGTCTAAAGTGCTCTGGGGCTCTAAATAAACTCGAAAGGCATTCTAGGTCACAAGGACTACAATTCCTCGGTGAGTCCTAGGGCTAAACTGGGCTCAGAGACAGTTGACTGGAGGGACATGTGACCTACTGAGACACTGCAGCACCTAAGGCAGGGCTGCTATTAACACTTCCCTAACGCCAGGCTGCATAGCTCACAGCTCCACAAGAGACCTTTTCCTTCCACTTGAGGAGAGGAGAGGAAAGAGTGAGGATGAATTTGTCTTGCATCTTAGATACCAGCTCAGCCACAGCGGGATAGGACACCAATTGGAGTCATGAGGCCCCCTTCGCAGGCCCTAGATCCTAGATGACATTTCCAGACATACCCTGGGCCAGAAGGGAACCCATTGCTTTGAAAGAAAGGACGCTTTCCTGGCAGCATTCATCACCTGCTAAGTGAAGAGCCCTTAGGTCCTGAATAACCAGCAGCAATATGCAGGTACTACATTGAGGGTCTTGGGGGAGACTCTGAAACTTGCTGGCTTTGGGTGACTCAGCACATTCCCAGCCATGATGGCTATGGGTGAGACTTCTTCTGCTTGAAAAAAGTGAAAGGAAAAGCAAAGGGGACTTTGTCATGCACCTTGGCCACAGGGTTGTAAAGCACAAAGCAGGCCTCTTGGGGTCCTCAATTCCAGGACTTGGCTCTTGGATGGCATTTCTGGACCTGCCCTGGGCCTGAAGGGAGCACGCTGCCCTAAAGGGTGAGTCCCAACCCAGGCAGCATTCACCACAAGCTGACTGAAGAGACTTTGTACCTTAAGGGAACATTGGTGGTAGTCTGGTAGTACTCCCTGTAGGCCTGTGGTGACGGTGGCCAAGAGGTGAGGCTCCTCTGCCTTTGAAAAGGTGAGAGAAGAGTGAGATGGACTGTATCTTGTAGTTTGAATGCCAGCTCAGCTGCAGTATAATAGACTTCTAAGGGTTTTGACTCTAATCCCTGGCTGCTGGGTGGCACCTCTGGGCCTTCCTGGAGCCTGGGGGAACTTGCTGCCCTGAAGGAAAGGACACGGGCCTGGCTGTCTTTGCCACTTGCTGATTGCAGAGAACATAGGCAGTAGCCAGGGAGTGGTTGCAACAGGCCTTGGGTGAAATCCAGTACTGTGCTGGCTTCAGGTCTGACTGAGAACAGTCATAGTGGTGATTGCCACAAGGGAGCTTGTATCACTCCACCCCCAGCTTTGGGTGGCTCAGAATAGAAAGAGAGGCTCCATTTGTTTAAGAGAAACTAAGGGAAGAGAAAAAGAGTCCCTGTCTGATAATACAAAAAATTTTCCCAGATCTTGTCTAAGACCATCAAGGCAGTACCTCTACAAGTATGCAATAACCACAGTGTTACTGAGCTTGAGGTACCTCTTGAAGCAGATACAGCTTAGATCACAACATCCAAGTCCTATCAAATATCTGGAAAGCCTTCCCAAGAAGGACCAGTACAAACACCAGACTGCAAAGACTACGATAAATACCCAGACACAGATGAATATCTACAAATATTGAGACGACCCAGGAAAACATGACCTCATTAAATGAACCTAATAAGGCACCAGGGACCAGTCTTGGAGAAACAGAGATATGTGACCTTTCAGACAGAAAATTTAAAATAGCTATTTTGAGGAAACTCAAAGAAATTCAAGAGAACACAGAAAAGGAATTCAGAATTCTATCAGATAAATTTAACAAAGAGGTTGAAATAATTTAAAAGAATCAAACAGAAAATCCGGAACTGAAAAATGCAATTGGCATACAAAAAATGCATCAGTCTTTTAATAACAGAATTGGCCAAGCAGAAGAAAGAATTAGTGAACTTGAAGACATGCTGTTTGTAAATACACAGTGAAAGGAGACAAAAGAAAAAAGAATGAAAAACAATGAAGCATGCCTACAAGATCTAGAAAATAGCCTTAAAAGGGCAAATCTAAGAGTTACTGGCCTTAAAGAGGAGGTAGAGAAAGACAGAGGTAGAAAATTCATTCAAAGGGATAACAGAGAATTTCCCAAACCTAGAGGAAGATATGAATATCCAAATCCAAAAAAGATTATAGAACACCAAGCAGATTTAACCCAAAGAAGACTACCTTAGGCATTTAATAATTTGCATTTCCTAATGAGATATGATGTTGTGTATCTTTTCATATGCTTATTTGCCATCTTTCGTTCTTCTTTGGTGAAGTGTGTTCAAATCTTTTGCGCGCTTATTAATCAGGTTGTTTGTGTTCTTATTGTTGAGTTTTACAATTTCTGTGCATATTGTGGATAACAGTCCTTTATCAGATGCATCTTTTGTAATTATTGTATCCCTGTCTGTGACTTGCCTTTTCATTCTCTTGACAGCTTCTGTTGCAGATGAGAAGTTTTCAATTTTATATCAATTTTTGTTCCCCAAAGTGCACAAATGTAACAGGCTACTGAGTACAAGTTTTTCTGTTATCCCAAAATTGGCAGTTAAGGCCACAATATTAAAATAGAGAAGTTGGAGAACTGAGAACAACTGGAGCTAACCACCTTCTTTAAGGCTTACGAAGACACAACCAGGTAAAGGCTCTGCTGCTCTAAATCATCACCCCAAACTGGACCTTCTCCCTCTCCAGTCAAGTCTGAAAGGAAGACTGAGGTGGGAACAGAGAAGAAGGAAATGATTAGAGGTGTAAGGTGGCCTTGGTAGGGGTGGGAAGGGAGTAATACTTCAGTTTTCTATCTATTCCACCAAGACATGCCTCTCACCACTGAACCAACTTCGGGGCTGCCATGAGAACCACTCTTAAAGCCTGGAAGGAGTGCCTATAGGAAGAGAAGGCCAGAATTACATTTCTAGCTTTGACATCTGCACCTGCAGTGGCCTTGCCAATCAAGCCACTGTACCTACCTGAACTGAGGGGAAAAAAAAGTGACTTAGAAAAGGGAGAGAGCACAGCTCTGGGGCAACCCACATGTGTATCTCCATAGGCCATGTGAACTTGGGAGAAGTAGCTAGGTTTGTGTTATCTTGACAAATTCTACCCACAAGGATTGGCCATTGAAAGCACATCTCAGCAGCAGGAGCTGGGGAGTGTTCCATGTATGAGATATCAATGACTGTGCAGTGGTGAGGTCCCTAAGGGGCTTCTGAAAACTCCCAGATAGAGACCTCTGCCTCCCAGTCCACATTAACCAGATAAACAGTCAAAATTTTACAGAGGACAAACTTCAGCTGCACTATTAAATGTGAGAGACTTGTCCTTTCTTTTCTTTCCCAAATCACCACAAACTGTGGAACCCTAGAAGAGGGAAGGAGAGATAGTATCCTGAAGGCAGACCACACCCACGTCTTCTATTCCCGACACCTTATATCTGATCTGTGATGTTGGAGGCAATAGCTCTAAATTAGATTGAGATTGAAGCTTTTCTAACACTGAATTGTTATGGTTTTGTTTTTTTTATAGAAGCCTAACCAAAAGATCACAGGATCTGCCCAAGTAAAAGAGAAATTTGACAAAGCTTAATTGAAAAAAAAAGTTACTTTCATATATATGCCCCAGGGAAATTCAGAATATTCAGCAAACTCATTACTAAAAGTAAACAAAATAATATGATATTACCATTAGGAAGAGAAGTACTTCATTAAAGTGATCACAAGTGAGAAATTAAGGAGTAGGACACTAAACATACACTCCATATTGTATTTTTAATAATAATTAGGAGACTTCAAATCAAAGAGCAAACTATACAAGATTAATAATGATGGCACTCAGTATAGCCGATTTACAGCGCATTATAGTAGTAGTAACATGGGCTACGAATAAGAAAGACCTGGATTCAGTCAAGTATTCTGATGAATGGCCCTCAATTTGGTTTTATCTGATGTTTTGTCATGAATTCGATTGAAGCCATAAATTACTGGAAAGGCTAGCACAGAACTGTATTTTAACATAATTGAAAGTATTTTCTTCAAACAATTTTGAAATTGTATTTTTTCAACATATTATATCACACATTTTACCCCATATCAATGACACTTTTCATGGGCATTATTTTCTCATCTGAGAAGATGGAAACAATAAATAGATTAGATGGACATATATAATAGACTAGTACAATAACGTGATAGTATGGTTTAGATAATTTTTAAAATCCATGACGATGTCTAATGTCATCAAGAAATATTAATTGAGCAGGAAGAATTTGAGCTAGGCTTTGCAAGACAGGAAAATATTGCTAACTAGAGAGGTTGAAACTTTATATATTGGGCAAAGAGGCAGAGGAAGGAATATATTAGGAATAGGAACCCATAGCATGGCATAAAGATGCTATAAAGCCATCACCCAGCAGATTTTAAAATCTTTTCAAAAATATTGTATTCTATTCTGAAACATAACTATGAAGTAAGTGTCATCATCTTATTTTCACTAATAAAATTAATTGAGGCATAAATAATGACTTTTACTAGATCCCTCAGTATAAACACTACATGAAAAGTCAAATCCAGATTATTTGGATTCCTAATTTTATTGTCATTCCATTACATTTTTAAGATTCTGTAATATTAACTTGGAATAAATTGGTGTTGTAATAAAAAATTATTCCATCTAAAAAAGTCCTGATGTATTTACTACCTCTGTGACCTCTGAGAATCCACATGGGAAATGGCCATAATAATGCCTTCTAACAGGGTTACTGAAAGGATTAATGATGAAATACGACCTAGCAGATGATAGGCACTTGAAAAACAGTGGCTACTGTTGTTAGCATTTTTTTCATCATTTATTCATAATTACCACCTATTAGGGTGATTATTTACTGAAAAGATATCAGTTACATCCAGAGTCATAACAGTACTGGTAAAAATATATTTAAGTGGAAATTTTGGCTTATGGAAAAAAATCATAATTCAGGGTAAACTAAATTCCTCAAAGTAGCTAGCATTTCACAATAACTTAGGTGCCCTAGTTTATGGACTACTCTGCAGGTAAGAAAAACATAAAGTGATGGGTTTTCTCCCATGCTATATGCCTTATAACATTTTATCAGGACTGGAAGGGCACTCAGAGGGAACATTTAGGCCAAAGGAGGCTACATGACATGCTCAGAGACATCTGATCATACCTCATCTCCATTCATCCTTCGTATGCCCCATCTGTTTGTTTGCTGGCTGTTTCTATCATATCATACATTTATGTGCCACCAAATTTCATCTTTGCCATTTAAGGAAGGCACCTAAGATACCAGTATTGGTTCCTCTGCTCTTGGTACTTTATTGCAGGGGAGTACTTGGCCTCACCATCTGGTTCAATACCACCTAACATTGCACTGAATGACCAGACAAGTATTTGACTCATGACAGTCTGTTTGATTTGTGATCCCTGTATCCCCTCCCCTCTTAGACCATTATTCTCTTTATTCATTCTTCCTTCCACGCACAGCATGTAGCAAATATGTTTTTTTGTTGTTGTTTTTTGAGACAGAGTTTTGCTCTTGTTGCCCAAGCTGGAGTGCAATGGCGCTATCTCAGCTCAATGCAACCTCCACCTCCCAGGTTCAAGCGATTCTCCTGCCTCAGCCTCCCAAGTAGCTGAGATTACAGGCGCGCGCCACCACACCTGGCTAATTTTTTGTATTTTTAGTGGAAGTGAGGTTTTGCCATGTTAGCCAGGCTGGTCTCGAACTCCTGACCTCAGGTGATCTGCCTGCCTGGGCCTCCTAAAGTGCTGGGATTACAGGCGTGAGCCACCACACCCGCCCGGGGGTAGCAAATATGAACCAGTCACAGTATTTGATGCATTTCACTTTGTTCTCTTTAGAAGTTCTCATAATGGTTGTCCTGAGGAAAATCAATTAAACTATTGACTTAAATACCATTGTGGGATCAATTATGATTCCAATTAGCTGTGCCATCTGGGTTGCTCATTACCACTCTTGGAAAAAAACTTGTTAGAGTGAGAAAGTGTGTCTCCTATCCTCATGTTTATTCATCGTTAGGTCTAGAATTTACCTTTAGACACTGGCCCTGCATGCTCAAGATCCCACAGCTAGCCTCCTCTATTGTGATGCCTTGGGTCTGTCTGCCCCAAACCATTTTTCCTGGCCACAGAGGGCCTGTTACTGGCATCCCTCTTCTCTTCCCACTGCAAGAGCTAACAATTACTAATTCATTACGTGTCAGTCACTCTGCTAACCCACTTTGCATGCACGATTTCTTCAAATCCCACGAGGTAGACAATACTGTTCTCCTCTTTCAAAAAGAAAATACTTGAACCTTGGAAAGAGAAAGGTGCCTTTTCCAACGCCACAGTGTGTTCAAACACAAGTCCCTGAGACACAGGCACTGCCTCTCATCCCAGCTGCCCTGAGTCTAAGAGCCAGGTTCCTGATGTGTTCTGCGCTCATAAGCCTTTAATGAGATAAACAAGCTAGAGAAACCCCAGAAATGGTTCTTAAAATTGAGATCCTTCAACACCAGCATCCTTTACAAAATATAGGTTCCCAGGGACACACATCCCCCCATCTCATACTTACTGAATCAGAATCACAAGAAGCGAGACCCAGGAACCAGTGCTTGAATACTGTCCGGCGGGTTACGTGCTTAAAATTTGAGATCTTCTGCTCTGTGTCTTTCTTACAGGACACCTAAAGTGTACTTAACAAAGTCTTCCCAGAGACAACGCCCTGACTCCTGGTGGTCTAGCCCTAAAATGTAACTCTGATATGATCTGAATTTGACAGAATACTTTGTGAAACACTCAAAGCTCACCTTTTGGCTATTTATTTGATGAAGTTTCAGCTGCCTCTGGCTGAGCTCTGAGCCCTATGTCACAGAAAGCACATAAAAGCAACTAGTTTGCTGATCTTTTCTGTAGCAGCCACAAAAAGAGATACCCTATTCAATCAAACTGTTTGTTGATTATCTATTCTTTGCAGATAATACAGAGGTGAAAGGACAGGGTTCCTGTCCTGAGAAAGGCTAGAGTGGATACAGCTAAGAAAATAATCAATTCTCTCTCTCTCTCTCTCTGTTTTTCTCTCTGCCCCTCCCTTCCTCCCTCCCTCTCTTTCTCTTTCACACACACACACTCCCATGAGCCCACTCAACCTGTCTTCATCATTAGAATATCATGTTTGAGTTCTAGTGCTTAACCAATGTAAAATTGGCTTTTCACCATCTCCCTCCTTTCTTTTTTCTTAATAAGAACCTTCAACTTCCTAGACCAATCTCGTCTCTTTCCTTCTCCTTGTGTTGATGTCACACTCTTGTATTTATTGAACCCTTCCATTATCAAAAATAGATGTCTAAATGTCATAAACTCGACATCTGCCTTGACATAAGATATCCCCATAGCAAATCCACTGATCATATAAGAAAAAATAGGCGAAACCTAGTATCAACAAGAAGTCCAAAATACTTGGATGACGAGTCAGTCAGCTTACTCATTAAACACTTGAATAAAAAATTTCCAGCAATAATTTCCTCAATATGATATTTATTTGAATATATAACACTGCATTAAAACTTGCTAATTTCTTCCCCTCCCCAAGATCAAAAGAAATAATGAATAATGAAAATCAACCCACACATTTCAAATTCAAACTTACCATAGAGGTCTGGTTGGCAAATCTCAGTCAGTGATTCCTCCTGGTTCCCAAGCCAGAGAATAGGAGGTTTCGTCTACTCTGCTCTAAATGAATGTACAGCCTCCTGAAATGCAACAGGTCATTAACATAATGAAAAGGAAATACAGCCTCCCCCTAATTCAGACTGCTCACCTTATCTTCCCTGAAATGAGTTCTCATCCATTTATTTCAGGACATGGACAAACTGTCTAGTATCAAATACTCACAAATAGAGATTGGAAAAAAAAGAAAAATTCAGTGATGCCTATGTGATTCTCAAGCTCTGTACAAATAAAAAATTCATCTTATACTGAATCAAGTGACAAAAGAAACCATTTCTCATCTGGAGTTACTCCCAAATAAATGTTGTACTTGTGGCTTTTATGTGGACTCTAAGCTTTCAGAGTTTCAAATGCTACTTACTATAATCTAACTACAAATTCAGCTCCACCTACTTCTGTTTTCAGGTAAATAATGAATGTATTTTAGTTGGAAGGAGTTTTCCTTCTATATATTTTTTTAAAAACAAAACCTAAGCCTTGCTCTTGGTTAACTTCATGTGGTTCAACTAAAGTCAGACTTACCTGAGTTTTGTCTTTGAAGCAGGATAGACGTCACTTAGGTTGTCTATCTTCTTAACAGAATGCCATGTTGGCTTTTTTCCACGTGACATTTAATTCCAATCTCTAGAAATAATTTGTAGAGAGAGCGAATTTGCCACACATACAGCAATTAACATGAAAAACCTTCCACACACACAGAAAAGCTCATGATGTGATCTAGAAAACAAGTCACTTCCAACTTGTGGAAAACTGAAGGTGTTCTTGCCTTTAAGGCAAGATCTGCCTCCCATAGTCATTCTAGTTATTCTGAACCTGTAACTGCCTCTCCCTGTTTTATTTTGAGATATTTATCATGTGTGATCAGTTGAAAGTTAACCTGGTATAACACAAAAGAAAAAAACTCTTTTGCTTGAATTTGTTCACAAAGGACATCCATTCTTAACAGAAAACATAGCTTTTGTTTTCCAAATCACATGTGAGTTGTTTAATTATGAAGTTCCTAACAATGATGGCAATTTAAAAAATAGTAACAAATGCATTGGAAACTATTGCAGTCTTGGCTAACCATATGTGAGACAGAACTCCGTTATTTGCCATCATCAAATATAAAGAAAATAATGAGGAAAGAAATCATAGCAGTGGAAAATTGTACTCATAAAAGAAATCTGACTTGTCTTATGGGTTCCTACTAACAGAACTATGTAACATTTTGTTGCCCGTTACTAGCCAAGGTTTTGTATTATGTATATGGGCCACATAAAACTGAAAAAACAGCTGTTTCCACACATACCCCCGTTTGCCTATATGACACTTCTATCTCCCCTTCAGGATCTAGCTTGATGTGTCCTCACGGATGAGTGTGTCTGTCCAATAGCTACTTCCACGGGTGGCCAAGCATCTGCATCCCTCTAAACACCAATCCCTGTAAGAATCATTAGTATCGACCCAAGTTTCATTTCTCCTCGGTGGCCTTAAAGAAATCTTTCCGATGTCTGCTGTGTCTCTACCTGTCCTGTAGTGCTGGAGCTGGCTGGAGAGAGGCAGTAAAGGCCGTGAGGCTGCCCTGTGGGAGATATTGACCCTGCACAGAGCTGGGGGAGGGCACAGTGCTGGCAGCTGGAGGAAGAGGAGGAGGAGGAATTTGTGTGCCACTGCAAACAATACACAGTGCCAACAAAAACACCATCCCTTTTCCCAAGAAGTTCAAAGCACTTTGCAAACATTAACTTATGAGCCCACATAGTCACGAAGCAATTATTACTTTATTACACCCTTAAGATAACCACTGCAAGCAAAGTGGCTAGAAAAAAAAGAATGCATTCATTGTTTCATTATTCCTCAGCTATTTATTGAATGCCTACTATGTGCTGGGCACTGGAGGTGGAGGAGCTCCTATGGGCTCTCACACTACTCCATGCTCTTTTGCCAACCCAGTTAGGGGCCCTAAGCACTTGGCTACACTAGCTATTATGTTTATTTACACTTTATTTTTGCCCAAATTGTTTAATGGAATGTGCAATGTGCTCCATTCTTCAGAATGCCTATAATGTGCTAAGTGCTAAGCGAACACACAAAAGAAAAACTTTTAAAGTTACCTATAAATCTCATTACCACTTTAGGAACTGGGGAATAGCAATTCAAAGTGCTGTCTTTTAAGGTGCCATAAACAAGCTTTAGTGTGTGCAATCTTTGTCTCTTTCGAGTTT